>NC_000001.11:187559587-188184587 GCF_000001405.40 Homo sapiens | reverse complement strand
CATTGAATTCAAACCACTATGGCGTGACTACATCATATTTAAATGAACAACAAATGAGAACAGAGATATCATGCTTCTAAAATAAACTGAAGCTTGCGATTGGTGCAATCAAATTAACAACACTGTAATCCACTGCCAATATTCACAAACATTATGTGCCCACAGGGATAAAATTATAGCCCTTACTAATACCTGGGATGATAAATATAAACCCTGCCAATAATGTACTCCTATTACATGGTTGGCCTCTTTTCCTGTTAATTATAATGATTATACTCCCTTTGGTGTAAGTCCCATTTATTTATTTATTTATTTATTTATTTATTTATTTATTTATTTTTATTTTTATTTTTTGAGACAGAGTCTTGTTCTGTCACCTAGGCTGGAGTGCAGTGGCACAATCTCAGCTCACTGCAACCTCTGCTTCCTAAGTTCAAATGATTCTCCTGCCTCAGTCTCCCAAGTAGCTGGGATTACAGGTACATACCACCACGCCCAAGTAATTTTTTGCATTTTTAGTAAATATGCAGTTTCACCAAGGTGACCAGGCTGGTCTCGAACTCCTGACCTCAGGTGATCCACCTGCCTTGGCCTCCCAAAGTGCTGGGATTACAGGCGTGAGCCACTGTGACCAGCCCCCAGGTCCCATTTATTTAGGCAAAAAGAAATTGCACTGACAATGTGGACTTTCTCCCTGGATGCTAATCAATGTAAATGTGGATGACAATATATACAACATACCATTACCTGGACCAAGGCTTTCCTAAAACCTCAAGGGTTACAATCAGCTTGTGCATTCTTTCCTAACCTGACCTCACAATACCAACTGCAAATTTTGCATAATACTCAATGCAAGTCTGTTTTGTAAAAATTGCAATTCTGGCTGCCCACTGTAAACAGCAGAGCTCTTGGATATCACAACAAAAACTATTCTTATGAAAAACATATTACATCCAAAGGAGATATCTAACTACGCTCTGCATGGGTGTTTTTTCACCCAAATTGACAACCACCTGCATGAAGCTATTACAAAATGTATCAGACCTACCAAGATCATCATTAATAAGTAAGTATTGGAGAAATATTTGAAGGAAATTACCTCTCAGTTTTACTCTTCTGAGTACTTCTTTAAAATGTACATGGCCCACCTACAGGTGATAGAAACTGTAGTGAGAATGTCTATAATGAAGGTAACCTGTGGGGAAATTTGTTGGTGTAGTCACACAGCCACGTCCCACACAATGAACCCTGAGGCTATTAAAGATATACAAATGATTGCTGTAGAAAAATTTCCCTTAGAATTGATGAAATGAAGCAAGTGGTCCCCCACTGAAATACAGCTGTGATAAACAGGGAAAAAAATAGGTGACGTATATAGCACAATTGTATATTTTTTAAATAACTTGGTCCATCTGTGAGCATCCCATATATGAGTACCCCATAGTTCAGGATCTAACTTGGTGCATGGCTAAATTAACAACTTTTTTTTCAAACCAAGAGAGCAGCTGTGAAGTTTATCCCCTGCTCATGAAAGCACACCAGTATTATTGGCAATCAACAAGAAACTCAATAACCAATAAATACTAACCTGAATAAAAAGGAACACACAATTGCCCACCAAACCAAACTTGCATCTAGCCTTAGCCACAGTAATACATTGAACTGCCTGCTGGGCTTGCTTCCAGCTATCCAATTTTAGCACAGTTAGCATAATACCTCTCCCCTTACTAGGTTTCCCAGTAAGCCCCACTTGTCAAAATAAGCCTATTCTCCTAATCATGGACATCCAAAAACAATTATGGACAATGGTAGCCTGAGTCCATACCTATCAGGGGAAACCAGCCCCCGATCAGCCCCCGATATTCAACATGAGTCCTTTTCTATTTTCCCTAAGCGTCAGCCGGTCTTGGAAATAAAGGGAAAGAGTACAAAAGAGAGAAATTTTCAAGCTGGGTGTCCGGGGGAGACATCACATGTCAGCAGGTTCCGTGATGCCCCCCAAGCCACAAAACCTGCAAGTTTTTATTAGTGATTTTCAAAAGGGGAGGGAGTGTATGAATAGGGTGTGGGTCACAGAGATCACATGCTTCACAAGGTAATAAAATATCACAAGGCAAATGGAGGCAGGGCGAGATCACAGGACCGGGGCAAAATTAAAATTGCTAATGAAGTTTTGGGCACGCATTGTCATTGATAACATCTTATCAGGAGACAGGGTTTGACAGCAGACAGCCGGTGTGACCAAAATTTATTAGGCGGGAATTTCCTCATCCTAATAAGCCTGGGAGAGCTACGGGAGACTGGGGCTTATTTCATCCCTTATCTACAATACTAAAAGACAGACGTTCCCAAAGCGGCCATTTCAGAGACCTCCCCGTGGGAATGCATTCTCTTTCTCAGGGATGTTCCTTGCTGAGAAAAAGAATTCAGTGATATTTCTCCTACTTGCTTTTGAAATAAGAGAAATATGGCTCTGTTCTGCCCGGCCCACAGGCAGCCAGACTTTAACCTTATCTCCCTTGTTCCCTGAACATCGCTTTTATCCTTTTCTTTTTTCAAGGTGCCCAGATTTCATATTGTTTAAACAATTTGTGCAGTTAACGCAATCATCACAGGGTCCTGAGGTGACATTCATCCTCAGTTTATGAAGACGACGGGATTAAGAGATTAAAGACAGGCATAGGAAATCACAAGAGTATTGACTGGGGAAGTGATAAATGTCCATGAAATCTTCACAATTTATGTTCAGATATTGCAGTAAAGACAGACATAAGAAATTATAAAAGTATTAATTTGGGGAACTAATAAATGTCCATGAAATCTTCACAATTTATGTTCTTCTGCCATGGCTTCAGCTGGTCCCTTCATTCGGGGTCCCTGACTTCCCTCAACACATACCAATTTAATTAATCTAGGTGCTGAATGCAAAGTGGGTAGCATGTAAACTTGTTTGAATGTAATAGTATATGCTCCTATTAACACCACCTGGAATTGGATTAGGCCACACAAACTTACCTTCACAGAAAAAAAGAAGAGTGGGAGGGAACCTGGTGGGCCTGCAAAGGAAATAATTGGCTACTCCTATCACAAACTTATCTTCGTCCAACCCTGGGTGAATTGTACTTAGCAGTATATCACCTAAGTACTTGCCCCCAAAACCCATACTAGGTATAACACTCCAATGACACAAATGAGCTTTCAAGTAGTTCTCATGGTACTCACGACCTTAGGATCACTATTTTGGGAGCTGTAAAATCATCATATGTGCAACCCAAGGACTGAAACTCTTGGTTGGATCTCATATACTAGAGTGCATGGTATTAGATAAACTTATATCCCTAGATACTTATTGGCTGCTAAAGGAGGAGTCTGTGCACTTAACACATCGTGCTGCATGTGGGTGGGTAACACTCACTAATTGTTACAGATTGCCAGGGACATGCATTAAAGGGGGTCACAGCATTACTCTACAGATTAAACAGATGAAACAAATAAAAATCTTATCCTCTTCTGATCTATTTTTGCTGGATTCTTCCACCCCACCCCTGCTAAGTGGGCAGATTGGCTGCAGACAGCTATTATGATTGAATGATTAATATTGGTGAATCGCTGGGATAAATTTTAATTGTATTGTTATTTTTAAAAATAACAAAAATCTCTTTTTTATACTTACAAAATAGAATAGTTTTACTCTACCCCCTAAATTATGATAGTGATCAAATAAAGTTATATATATACACATTATATATATATATACACACACATATTATATGTATACACTACATATATATGGTGTTCATATATATATGTGAACTTCATATATATATATATGAAGTTCATATATATATATGTGAACTTCATATATATATATATGAACTTCATATATATATATATGAACTTCAAGCTTCAAATTGCCCATGTTTGTATGTAATGTTTTATGGGCTAGTAAACTTGTTTCACATACTGGTTTTTCCAAAGATTTCACAAAGCTGCTGCATATCTAAATATATGAGGTATGTGAGGGGTAGAGGGAGTAATTATAAAAGACAAAATTTTTTTCAAATTTTCAGTTGGCATTGTGTTTTTATAGTTTTCGGGTCTTAGAACTAATGTCCAGGAAAGAAGTTAAATATGTCTGAAGTAAACTTAGTCTCAAAAAAAAAAGAAATGAAATAAAGTTGTCATATAATACCACATTTTGCATGCATATTAGATAAATAAGGTGAGACTAACTGTAGTCCTCTTTTAAGAAGTAAGTAGCTGTAGACTCAGCCATATGTCTAAAACTGACTTTGTAATGAGATTTCAGGAGTGAGAACAAATGCACATGACTGAACACAGAGTTCTATTATAGCATACTGTAAAATGATGAACTGTTAATTTAACAGAGTTTTGCATGGAAGTCTAGTCTTTTTCTGTAAGGCTAGGTTTTTTGGGAAGAATGATTGGCAGCCATTATAAAGCAAGCAAAGCTAACTCCTTCCAGATGCAAGCTTTCTATATTCTCTGCCACTCTTACTGCAGACATATGAGTAAGGGTAATATGCTTGGCTTCAACAGGAAAAACACCAGCATTTTCTCAAGTGAACTAATTCATCAAGGAGACAAAACCAATGTAGAGTCATCCACAGGAGCCAAGTGTATTAAATTGTATGTGGTCATCATGCATGCTTTCTTGTAATAAAGTCATGAGAAATAAACGTCATCCTAAAATCAAGTGCTTTACATTTAATTAACCAATATCAGAATATTCACTGACTTTCTCATAGGATAGATTTTGAAGTGGCTCCTGCAGTTTATTGTGCTTCTTTTTGCATGCAAAAATGATTTTGTTGACATGTAAAATAAGTAGTTAGATCCCTTTTAATAAAACCCAAATCCCATATTGCTCAGTCAGTAGCATAATCATATTCCAAAATAGGGAGCTTTGGAACATAGAGAATATAGCTAAGAAAAAACTCAAAGGAGGAAACATTTTTAGTTATAGGTAGATGTCTGCATATAGGAGAAACAACATCAGAAGCTGACAAGCTTTTTCTTTTTAAGAAATTGAGTTTATTGCCTTTACTAGAGAACATACATTTTTCCCTTGATTTCAACAACGAAAATTAAAATTCCTTATATTTTACATTTCGATTGTTTGTGAAAGGGAAATGCAGGCAGGAGATAATGAAGCTGACATATTAAACAAACATAAGACAACTCATCATGGTATGATTTTGGAAATGATGATAAAAATGATTTTTATGATTAGGGGTCACTGCTTTCAGTGTGCATAAAGAAAAGAGTGTGTCTCACTCCTAAATATAACTTGATGATGAACAAAAAGGATACAAAGGAAAGTAAGCACATAGTCCTGAAAATATGATATTATGGTACCAGAAAGTATAAATAAGAAATTACACAGAAATAATAGTGCTGGGTCTATGGATAAACAACACCCAGGAATTATTGCTTCAAGTTTGATTATAATTTTTAGAAAAAATAAAAGTGAAGGGAATCTTGAACAGTTTCATATTCAGAATCAATACATTTATTAAGCAGGTGACACTTTTCAGACATTAGTAAAGAACTCTTACAACTCAAACAACCCAATTAAGATTTGGCCAATGTCTTTGAATAGATATTTTATCAAATAACATATACAAATGGCCAATAAGAACATGAAAGTATGTTTTATATCATTAGTCATTAGGGAAGTGCAAATCAAAACCATATTGAAGTACCACATCACACTCACTAGGATATCCATAACAATTTAAAAGCATTGGTGATATAGAGAAATCAGAAGAACACCTGTACATTGCTGGTGGGAAGATAAAATGTTTCAACTGCTGTAGAAGCTAATTTGTTGGTTCTTCAAAAAGTTGGTTATAGAACTAAAATATGACCTGGCAATTCTACTTCTAGGTATATACCCGAAAGAAGTGAAAACAAGTACTCAAATAACTACTTCTACACATGTGTTCGTACCAACAGTATTCACAGTAGCCAAAAGGTGGAAACATCCCAAATGCCCATCATCGAATAAACGAATAAAAAGATAGGGTGGTATACATAAACAATAAAACATTATTTAATCAATAAAACGAATAAAGTACTGATAGATTACAGTATAGATGAATCCCGAGAATATAATGCTAAGTGAAAGAAGCCTGTCATAATTTGCTACATATCATATAATTCCATTTATATGAAATATCCAGATAAGTATATTCATAAGGACAAAACAGATTGGTGATTGCCAGGTGTTGGCGGGACATGGTGAGAAACTACTAAACTGTAGTTTGAAACTGCTTCAATAATTCTTTGCAATAACATGCTCATTTGGAAGCTCATATCCAGAAGTCTTATCTAGTCATAATAAGGCAATATTATGGGTGTTAATATATAATGTATGAAAGTGTACATTAGATACAACTTAAACATAGGAAAATTTAGTATTTTTTATTCATTTTTTCAACCACAAACTTTGAATGACACAGAAAAACCTGTCTTATATTAGTGTTATCTATTAATATAAAATGCAATGTATTTTTAAAGAGGTTTTTAAAGTGTGAGTAGATAATATTTTAAATAATCAGATACTTTATTTGTCAAGATTATCCCATTCTTTGACTAGAGAGGGTCACTGAGTCATTACTGTACTAGATTTAGTGAATATTAATTTTACTTGTGCATTCAGGGAAATAAAAACATATCCAAATAAACATGCTTCTTGGCATTTTGCTTCTTTAATTTTCACTTTTAATCCATTTCCCTTTAAGTCTTTAATCATCTTTTCACTGAAGATTTCTCTTTCATTCTGTTCATGTGTCTGAGGAATTAACAATCATATTCTCAGTGGTTTCATGTAATCAAAACCTCCTGATTCAAACACTGTACAATCTGCAGGGAGAACTTATTAAAAGGGCTTTGCAGATTTGTTTAGTGCTCTGTTCAGAATATGAAAGTGCAGACTTTTAAATATATCTGAGACAATATTGTCAATTCATTACACTGTTGAAAGAACTTTTGAACTAGACATTTTCCATTATTTACAGCATGAAATATTGAGAGTCAAATTTCTGCTAAAATAATTTTGGGTAATATTAACAGATGGTGCAAAATGAAGCCAAGTTTCTAGGCTTCAGATTCACAAGCTCACTGATTTGTAAAAACCCAGACCAAACTACAACATCAGTCAGTGATTTGTTGATGGCCTCCTAAAAGCTTCCCTAGCAGAAATGAGGCCATGGAGGCAGTTTAGATTGTGTGTGTGTGTGTGTGTGTGTGTGTGTGTGTGTGTGTGTGTGTGTCAGAGAGAGAGAGAGAGGGGTTCTGTAAGCAAATGACAGAGAGTCATCCTGAACAGGTTTACATATCCATAAGAGGCATGGCTGAATTTGATTCATTTCAGTGGAAGATTATCAGGTGATATAATAGAGACAGAAAGTCAAGCATATTCTTTAGAAGTCTTTGCTTATTAAGGGAAGGAGAAAGTGAGATGGTAGTTTAAGGAGGCACAGGATCTACACATGAGTCTTGGAATGCAGATCTGGGTGTAAATCTCAGCTCTGCTGCATACAGTGCGTGTAACCTCGGGCAAATCATTTAATTTTTGCACACATGAGGCTATGTGTGTAAAATGGGGCATATTAGCGCTTATTTCTGAAGCAGGTTATAAATTACATACAGATAAATTACTGTACATAAAATATGAAGTAAAGTATGGAGTGCATGTATGTAAAAACTTTCAGTACTATGAATGCTATTATAATAATTATTATACTAATTGCTAAAGTTTTCATTTTCAGTAGTAAAATTTATTTTTTCTAAGTTTGACATGAGTTTTGAAATGATTGGTATCAGTACTTTGATTTTAGTAAACTTTATATTGGGCAATCAGAAAACAAGATTTCCAGGCTTGATAGAATTCTGATTTTATATCTGTAAACTACAAATATGGAAATCCCTGATCTTGAGCTCAGAGTATGTATATGATTGTTAACATTTGAAAGGATGGAATTTTTATTAGAAAATATGCATCATATTTTGTGCAAGATATTCTGGCTGTCTTTTTTAACAGATTGCTTCTTAGAGCAGTTTTTCTTAAGGAACTTATTACACACATTCTTATGTTTCTTGAATAATTTAAAGCATTCTAGAAATTATTTTGGGTAATATCAGCTATAATAGAACTATATAGGAGAGTTTATTCTTATGAAGTGCAGTGTAAAAGTTATTTGAGCTGGAGGAATTAGGTAACTTGAAATCAAAAAAAGGTAAGCACGTTAGGAGAGGAAAGTATCAAATAGGTTGCTCTTCTCCTAACAAGTAGACTGGAACATGGGTGAAGATGTGAGAACAACACAGACACACAGACACACAGACACACTTCTTATGCCAAGTTGGCTGAGATGTATTGAGGCAGAAGAACCCCGGAGAGATGTGTGTCTACGGTAAAATCAAGGCCAGGTTGAAAAAGAATAGCAATTAAAGTCTGGGACTATAGCCAGGTTTAAAAAACAAAAAAGAGCAATAATTATTAAAATTAGGAAGAGGTGCATAAAATGATATTCACTTTTTAAAGCTGCAAGCAGACTGTGTTCCAAAAGTTTGTTACTATTAAGTTTATTTAGTAACTGATATCTGAGCATATTTCCTCTGTTAATATACTCTCTCTTTCTCTCTCTCTCTCTCCGTGTGTGTGTTTGTGGCTGTTCTGTTGTTATTAGAAAATTGCTATGTATAAGATATAAGTTCTTTGTGATTTAGTTGTCAATGAATGCTGGGGAGACAGTGAATAATAAGATAAAGCCTTTGATAATAAAGAACAAATAATAAGTTTAACAATTATAAAAACAGAGTTAATATTTGAGCAGTTATCATATGCCAAGCACTACAATTTTCTTTTTTTTTCAGATTAGGAAAATGAAGCAGAGATATACAACACTTGATTAGTAGTATTGGTCATACTAATAGTGACAAAATCTAATTGTGAATTAATTGATAGAGAAAGAAAAATACCTGGGCTCATATCCGAGCATCTCCATCTCCACTTCCTAGTTATATAAATTTGGTAAATTTATGAAAATATCATCAGTCTCTTGACATATAAAATGAGGATTAAAAATATATGTCAGATGATTGTGATAAAGATTGGTAGGAGCTTATTCTAATTTGTCAGAAACGATGGGTGCAAGAACTGTTCCAAGTGCTTTGCATGTACAGCTCACTCAATTCTCATAACAAAACAGTGAGGAGGATACTCTTATTATCACCATTTTATAGGTGAAGACACTGGCATGCAGAGATATTGAGGGACTTCTGTCAGGTAACAGAGTTAAAAAGTAGCAAAGCAGCTATATGAGCTAGACATTGGGGTTTCAAAGACCAGTATCTTAAGGATTATATGCGTTCCAACCAGTACCACTGCTTGCTATGTATTTTACACACTTAAGATTCTATATGTGTATGTGTGCATGTCTTTGCCTATATATGTATATATATCCATATACATTGCATATTGAAATGTGTTCATAATGTGTTTTAAACACATAATGAACTCCTAATAAAATATCGCCTTTATTGTAATTATTATCATTTCATAGAAAGTACTTCTGTCTCCGGCCTCATCTGTGGAGCCATTTCTGTTTAAGTCACAGAAAAAAAAAGTCAAAAATCTAATTGGCTTGTAGAGTTTTTGATATTGTGATATCTGATTGGACATAGGAGAAATGTGGCATGTACTTTCCACTCTACTTCCAAAATGAGACTCTATTTCCAAATGCAATGGATTCTCAGAGATTTTAAAATCAAATAAACAACAACAAAATAAACTTTTTTCATTCCCCATTGTTTTTCCACAATCTTAGCACTTTCTTAGCAGCAAATTGACTCATCTTCTAGGAGATGGAAATTTCATTATTGTCTTTGATCAGAATACAGACATATTTAGAATATCTTCCCTCCTATTTTTTCATAATTTCATAATCTCTTGTGACCTAGATGACATGTCTTTTTGATGCTTTGATTTCTCTGCCATGTTTGAAAACGCATAGATCATACAAATACCTGAAAAAAATTCTTCTTATCCTACTTGTTGATTATGTCGTTTAATCCAAGAGTTTTATCTCACATCACCAGCTACATGAGTAGGGAAACTGGAATTTTCTTCCTAACTCCAACTGAGGCAACTCTCAGTGTTGAATCAACACACCACGTAATTATTGTATAAGAAAATATGTTCCTTCTTCTAATTTGAAATAACATATCCCCCATACCATCTACCAGAAGTATGGATAGATGTAGATACAGATATAGATCATCTCCTAACATGTGTTTTACTTTGGATGCTCCTTTTTGTTGGCATTAATGGTAATTTGCTTGGATTTGAGTCACCTGGAAATCAAGAACAGTAGCTTTGGAGATCAAGTTACTCTGCCTGACATTCTGTCTCTCTGGCCTAGAATATGCTAAGAATGCAGCAATCAGTATCTATTAATATTTCTCTCGCTGAAGATGGAAAAGTGGCTGCAACTTTGCAGATTCCAGTATGTCATGATGCCCTAAAAAGCAGGACCTGTGTTTGGATATCAGAGTATTACGAAAGCTATGTAAGAGCAATCCAGTGCAAATGAGCTCAATAGATGTCAAAGGAACTGCATTTTCCTGATGACAATTTTACACAATGATTTAGAATAGGAACTTAGGTGGGGAACAGACTGTGGTCAGACTAACCTAATCATCAAGGCCAGCATCTTCAATTCCCTCTGCTCTGTTTCCATACTACCTCCTTTGTGTAACACAATCTCCATCTGCCTCCCTCTTATAAGGGTACCTGGGATTGCATTTGGGGCCCACACAGCTAATCTAGGGTAATAACTTCATCTCAAGATTCTTAACTAAATCAAAGTTACAAAGAGCCATCTTTGACAGGGAGAAGGGCACATGTAAGGTAACATTTACAGGCTATAGGGACTAGAACATGAATACCTTTTAGGGGAGGTATTTTTCAATTTACCACAGCAAATATTTAGTATCTGTGTTTCTGCTAAAAGATGTTGTATAATACAAAAATTAAAGTTCTGTTGGCTTCCTAGGTACCTCTAATACCTTTCTCAGGGCACAATTACTAATCCTATCAGCCAATCAATAATAACAAATACAATTAGCACATATATAGTAAATACAAGCCAGGGTCTGTTCTACGTGCTTAACATTTACCAACTCATTATATAGGAAATATACTTCCAAAACTCTTTTTAAATGTGAGAGTGAGGCCAGTTTTCTTGTATCAATTAACAGTTATTCAAACATTTAAAATAAACCCATTGTCTTACAGATAATGAGATATAAAGACTAATTTTCAATCATGGATATTTTCTAGCTACTTCTCAAGAACAGTGAAAAAAAGCTCATTCTGAGGACTGAAAAGTAGCCACTATGCAAATAGAATAGTTATTATTCCCATTTATTCACCTACAGTGGTGCTTCCATGAAGCGCCTGCAGCTAGGGCCATGGAGAATGAAGTCATTTTTAAGACTGCAAGATATACATACAGTTTTATTTATTTAAATTAGACTTGAAGCCATGAAAAAATCAATCCTTGAATCAAAAAGAAAATAATTTACTTAGCATAGCAGTTGATAAGGAGGTTAACTAATGTTTTCTTATAACTTTTAAATTGTAACACATATAAAATCTGCAAGTTTTTTTTTTGTTGTTGTTGTTGTTGTTGTCCATTTGAGGATGCTTAAGTCTCTAGCTTAATGGGAAATGGTGGTATGTTCAATGAATGCTTCCCAACAAGACTTAATTGACATTTGAAGAACATGAAAAACTTCTCAGCATAAAGCAATAATTCATTTTGAAATATAGTATAATTTTGTAACTATTATGTTTTCCTTATCTCTGCCTCATATCTTGAAACACTTAAACAGTTCATTTCCATGAATAAATACATTTTTCTATATCATCAAGTCCAAAACCAAAGTCATCACTTCTTTGGGACAACATTTTGAGGTTTTTCAGCATTGCCTTCAAACTCACCCTGTTTGTAGCTACATTTGAAAGCATTTTAAAAACTCTTAAGGTTTATTTCCCTAACCCTTCTCTTTGTTGCATTTCATAATCTTTTTTTTTCAGGTAAATGTTAATATATTTAATTATCTTTTAGTTTAACTTTATTAGCATTAATTGCCTTATTGAATGATATGTACTTCAGCAGATACCTGAGAGATATATGTTTTAGTAAGGGTTGTTTTGCAAGGACCTCTATTTCCTGATCTGCACTCCTATAAAGCCAACACTCAAGGAGATATTCTCTTCATTTTATACAATCCTGCTTATTTACCACCTTTGCCACCCTCCCAGTCTCATGTGCTCTTGGCGGCTCAGAGGCTAGTTTGACTACTCTGTGTATACTCTTGACTGCTGGGAGACAGTTTTACTGGCCTTACCCCACTCCATGAAACAGCCTTCAAGCTAATAACTTTAACATTGATTGAAAGAATTACTTCAACTTTCTTTGTCCTTGACTACTATCTGTATTTCATTTTGGATATATAGTAGAAAATCAACATCTATAGCATTCTCTTGATAACAAAAAGCAGAAATAAATAGAAGTAATGTTTTAAAGATGATGCAGTAAGATGATGCAAAACAAAAAGGGGGAAAAATAAAAGTAAATGAATCATTTATACTACAAACTCTTCTTTAGTTGAAGATGAATGACCGAGTCATGTATTTGATGAAACACATGAGAGAAGCACAGCAAATTTCCTTTGTCTAATCATTTCCTTGCTGAAATTTTCCTTAAAATTGGCCAAATTCTTTCATAAAGTCTTTTTGAAAATTCAGTTTAATAGGCCCTAAAAACGGTTTAGGGCCTAACGTGGGTTAATCTCACTACTAATAGATAATTTATTTTTGTAAGAATGTATGTATTCACTCCCCAAAAAACCCAGAGCTTTGAATCTGTTGCTGTTCTCAGTCTTGTTAGGCTCATTTAGTGATGAACACTGTTCAAAAGTTTGAACATCCAGTGTCATTTGTGCACTATTTAAATTTCAGTAATGTTTCTATTTATTTATATAAACTAATAAGATAAAAACATCCCTGATTTTTTTACATCTTTGAGGTTTTATAATTCTGTGTTAATTTTTGGAGCAAACTGTGGATAATTATGAGAAAGTCAAACCAGGTGCTTGTTACTCATTTGTAAACTTTGAAATACATTATGCCAAAATATATGTTTCTATATCATAATACAATCATATTATAACATAAAGATTCTAAAACATATAGGTCACTAAGTTAACAGAAGATTCCAAACCATATTTGTATTCTTCACCTTAAAGTAAAACCGCCCCTGGCATTTCAACAGTTGTAATTAATGCCAAATACTATGTAGCAAATCATTATGCCTGCTGCTTCCTTATCCACCTGCTGATTATCCTGTGATCTGTCTTGCTGCTTTGTCAACCTGATGAGTGGTGTTGCCCTCCAGACACCCTGCCCACCTGTTCATAATTTACTTCCACCATGTCATACTTGACTATTATATGAAATTAAAAAGAAATACTATGAAAATGATCACTTTCCAAAGCTGACATTATAATAATGTAGATGCTATGGTGACTTGTTCCTAATTCACTAATAATTGCCCTACATTCCTTCTCCTTATATTAAACAAGGGCGCCTTTTACCTTGTATTAAAAACTTAATTGTTCTCATGAATGTCCTTCACGGTGTGCTTTAAGAATATATTCTCCAGATAGCCACCTTCTTCATCTCTGCAGAAAGCTTCTGGGACCAAGAACAAGAAAAATGTGGCAGGTGCGGTAAGGGCCAATTAAAAAACAAATCTGCACTAACTGATGGGTAATCTTCAGTAAAATCACTAGTGACAATACCAGATGCCTGGGGAAAATTGACATTGACCAGATCTGTTTATTGCTGGCAGTGCTTTGATTCATCTGCACCATGCAGCTGTTGTAAAGGTAAATGGCTTGCACTCCCATTTTGTGCTTTTATGGGTTTGTTTTGTTGCAGCAGTCTTAGTATTTCTTTTTTTCACCCAGGCTTGTAATAGGTCAGATGCTACCATTTTCAAACAGCCTTTCCATCTTTCCTTGTTTCCCAGAGAACCAGATTTGCAAGTAGATTAGTGCTGCATTTCAGTTAATCACATTCTGAATTACTAAACTGTTTGAATATAGTTAATGAATGCACATTTACCTAAAAGGTGGACAATTCAAATGAGAAAAACAGGAGTCTTTGCCTTATTTTCTCCTATGATATTATTCAATTTCAGTGCATGTTCTTTTCTCATTTTGAGGACAGTCTCTCTTATTCACACTGTCTTAGCACATAGGAACCAGCCTGGCACCTATTCAGCACAGAGTAATGTTTGTTTAATGTTGCCCAAATAGACTCATATTTATTTCTAATAAATGTTCAAATACCAATGTCCTCAAATCAATATTTGCCGTTGTATTGAATACATTCTGTGGTTTTGTAACTTGTTAGATCTGTGTGCTTGGTGGTTTATTCAGGGTACATAAAGTTACATAAAGCCACATAGTGAATATGTCAAAATTTTCATCATAGGTTTTCATTACTGGTCTATAAATTTATAATGAAATAAAAATGTGCTATAGAGTATAATGGAAATGTTACTTTTTAAAAATAAAACAAGAGAATAAATATATATGACAGTCTTGAGAGAAAAGTTCCAGACAAGCCTGAAAGCACAGGAAACATTTATTTTCCCCGGTCCTTCGGGAGTTCACTGATGGAAAAGTTTAAAAAATTACTTATCTCATTAAACTACATTAAATAGGCTATGAAATACATCGTGAATCAATCCAATTCTTTCCACTCAAACCATCACCCCATCAAATCCAAGTCATCTTCAATAATCACCCAGACTCTATATTTTCTAACTGTAATAATATGCCTATAAAGTACCTTGAGATCTTGTTAAAATGTTGACCCTATTTCCCTAAATCTGTGATGGACTCCTGGATTCTGCAGTTTTAACACACTCCCATGCAGGACGGATCCTAGTGGTCCACGTACCATGTTTTGAATAGGGAGGACTTAGCTTATTTTCTTTTTTATTTTTATGACTCTTATCCCCTACCTCTTATAGTCCACAACTAGGTATTTTCCAGATAAGTCTTTTTATACTTACTGTAAACCCAACATCAACATCATACATTTTAAAATCCATCATATGTCATTTTTACCTCACAAACTCTAGCCACAGTCATTTCAATTCCTCAATCAAATCGACCTCTTCACACCTACTACTCAATAGTTGCACATGGATCTGTCTGGATCATTCTAGTCTCCACCTCTATTAATAGCTGGCTCTCTTGTCCTTCAGAATTCAGCTTAAATTCTACCAGCACAGATAGAGTTTCCCTAACTACCTTCATGTGAGTAACTACTATGCTCTACTATTCTCCCCTGTAAGTTTATCTTATAAATATTGTAGAAATTCATCTTGTAATTGTGTGTTTGCTTATTTACTTGAGTATTGATTGTAGTCCCTGCTAAGGAATATGTGCCATAAGAATTAGAACAAAGTCTGTTTTAGCAAGCAAGTTTTGTACAGGGCACACTTAATACCTGGCAAAGGGGAGCATTTAATAATATTTATAAAATAAATGTATACTTGTTTTCTAGGTTTTCTTTAGCCATCTACCTACTCACACAAACAAAACATTCTGAAATTATATTATTTTTACTTTTTTCTTTTATATTGGAAAATATTCATTCTAACACTTGGATATATTTTTACATTTGATCATTCTTATTTGAAGCCATTAATTCCATTCAATTTATTAAGGAGAAATTATCATAAGTTCAGGGCACAGTTGAATTTCATGAGGAAGATTCAGTAGGTCCAATGCCTCCAAATGGTTTGCAAGAAAAAAATTTGCAAAAGAATTTGTACTTGATTACTATTCTATGAACGGTTACTATGCAAATTCATAACTATGGGTATAGGACGTGTGTTACTAAAAAGGCCTAAGAACCTATGGAGTGCGTGCCTCTGAGTGATATTTTATAATTAATGGCTAATATTTATTGAATGCTTACTATGCCCTTTATTATTCCCAAAATGAAATGGCTAAAACCATATTCATAAATGCTGTCATAATTTGGAATAAAACATATATCTAACTTGACCTCCACAATATCTAACTTACCCACTACACTTTGCTGTTATTTTTTAATAGGTGCATTTTTTTTTCCCTTCTTCTCTACTTTTCCACTCAATTTTTTGTGTTCTGTTCTCTTCTCTTTCTCCCTATCACAATAACCTATGTTTCACTTTGGCAGCACAAATGGTAACGTGATTTGGAACACACCATCTCTTTCTTATTTTACCATGAATCTTAGGATTAGCTAAAAATAATTATTTTTAATTATTTCTAAAATGACTTAATTAACAATTAATCAAAATAAAACATTGAGACACACTCAAATTAGTTAGTATTTTTTTTTCTTAACACAAAAGCCTTGCTGAGAAAAATATAAGAATGAAACACATGCAATTAGGGATAGAGGAAGATTGTAATTTGTTTTCACCAACATGGTAATGTAAAAAAAATTGTCAAAATCTCTTCAAAATATTGGTTAAAAGAGTTTAATTCTTACCCTGAAATTGCTCTAGAAATCACTAGTTTGTGCACTTCAAAACAAGGTTTGCAAAATACACAAAACTCTTCCTGCCTTTTTCTCTCAGCATTTCTGAGTTCCTAATCCTTTTATAGAAGGTGAAAACCAATTGCTTTTTTTTTTTTTTTAATCAAAGCAATCTTCAGCCTGGAACACTTCTGTTATGTTATTTGAGAAACTCTCCCCCTTCTCCCTACCATCCTCAGGACTATAGACTCTCTGGCTTAGGGAGAGAGTGCTATTAATTGAGAATGACCAAAAAGTACTGCCAATTTGCTCCAAGAAGTCAGAGAACTTGGAAAAAGCTAAAAAGGCTATTCTCCTTTGTATTGATCCTTGTATGAAGCACAATCACAGGTCGCCAGCAGTTTTTCCTTCTCTTGTTTAAAATCAGATGTAATTTACTGTTGACAAACAACAGTGCAAGATGTGTTCGATTTGAGGTCACTTCTCTCTACTCTATGTTTTGATCCTATATCGACCAACCAAGAAATGTTCAGTTATTTTTAGCTAAGATCATACCAGCTATCTATAGGGATTTGCAATTTTACCTATAACTTCATCTAACATCTACCTGCAGATAAAAAAATACAACTGCAACCTAATCAGCAAACTAAAGCAAGTAAAAATATGATTATTAAGGAAAGTAAAATTTACATTTATGAGTTCATGACGACATAAAAACAAACTTCTCCTCTGAAATTTGCATAGCATTCAATCACAATTATAATCGTCACTGTATAAAAGTAGAAGAAATGAGAATAGTATATTGTTATATGATCATGTACTCCTTGTACTAAAATAATAGTTAGAAAACCTAACTTAAGATTGGTTTTTATAGTTTACTCTAAAACAAGTGTAATGTAGATATGAGGGGTGGAAAGGAATGAAAATATTTTGAAATACTGTAAAGAACTTCTCTGCTTTAACAGAATTATGTTGAAATCTGCTTCTGCACATTAAAAAAAAAAAAAAAAAAGGCTAACAAAATCTATCTTCCAGAGTGGCACTGAAAGAGATAACATCAACAACAAAATTATACCCATAATATTACTGAATTATAGGATTCAGAGCAGGGTAAACAGATGTAGGGTCAGGTATGAATTTAACAGGAGGATAAATACACTATTATGGCCACTCGTTTATGAAGATAAGAATACAGGTATTTTTAAAGGAGTGGACAAATTTATCCATTAAGAGTATTTATTTACTACCTGTTGTTTGTATAGGTTCCAATATTTAAGAACAAAATTAATAAAAGAAAAACAACAACCATGTAGAATAGGTACAATTTAGAAGACAGGTAAATAAAAGTGAAATTGTCATATAATATAATTAGTGATATGAAAGAGATAAACATGGCTGCTATCAGAGTCCTGGGAAAGGAGAGGAAAACCTACCCTAGATAAAATGAGGAAGTCATGGAATCTTAGTTGGAAAAGAAACTCTAGAATTGATTATTTAATGATGATTAGGCAGGTGTTACTTACTGGAGAAGGAGGGAACATCACTTAATGTGAGGGAGGTTTTTTCCTGAGGTCTAGAGGCTAGGACAAAGGAGGGGGCTTATAAAGAATTACAAACTACTCAGTATAATTTACCCAAGGGAAAAGCAGAAACTCTCTAGTGAAGATATAAGGTTGGAGACAATCTGCATATCATGAAGGTCCTTATATATCATAAAAAGATTATAGTTTATCTAAAAGCTGAGAGGAGTCATATAAGATTTTAATTGGATAATAATAATAAGCTTCCTGTATTGACAGTGTCCTATATGAACAATACTGTAATGTCTTCCATGCATTTTCTTTCATTTAATCCTCATATTAACCTTATGAGATAGGCGCAATGATGATCCTTATGCTAAAAAGAAGTGAACCAAGACTTGGAGAGGTTAAGCAATTAACTTGCCAAGGCCACAGAGCTAATAAGTGGTAGAGCCAAGATCACAGACTCTTACTCCAGAGCCTTCACATTATTAATTCCCTTAATTGCTTCCCAAGAAGGGACATGACATATCAGATTTGTCTTTTAGAAACATCACTTAGGTGGTAGATCACGTATTGATGGAGGGTAAATTAATGGCATAAAATAAGGTATCAGTGGAAGGTGGTTAATAGGTTACTGATACAATGAATTAGAGAAATAATAAGGACTTGAAATAAAAGAATGAACAGAGTAAGAGATAATACATAGGTAGAATTTAGAAATCTACATAATTGTTACAGACAAATTTATACTTTGAAACCTTAAACCTGAAAGTGATTATTTGGCCTGTCAAGAGGTGATAAAAGTTAAATGAGGTCATAAGGGTGAGGCCCTAGTCTGACAGAGCTGGTGCCTTTATGAGAAGAAAAAGAGACACCACAGCTTACTCTCTCTCCGTCACATGAAGACACAGCAAGAAGGTGGCAGTCTGAAAGTCAGTAAGAGAGACCTCATCAGGAATTAAATCAGCCAGCACCTTGATTTGGGACTTCACAGCATTCAGAATTGTGAGAAAATACATTTCTGTTCTTTATTTTTTAATGGTATTTTGCCATGGCAGCCAGAGCCGACTAAGACAATTACCTTCTGAATATGGAAGCTGAGGGAAAGGAAAAGTCAATGACTCTCAGGTTTCCAGTTTACAAATTTGCCATTTCCTGAGAGGTGTAACACAGGAGAAGTAAAAGATGTATTAGGAAAGAGAATGAACAGTGTTATTACTGGGGATTTTCTGATTGTACAGAATAACTTTTGGAGAAATTTTCAGTAGACCGTTACCAATGGGAATAGAGATATTAGGGCCACAAAGATAAATTTGTGAATTATTGTGAATATATTACATGATATGTTTTATATATACAATATTACATATAAAATCTCTGTATTAACAATGGTTATAGAAGGAATTATGGCAAATTATAAGATAATTTCTAATTTGAATTAAATAAAAATAATTAATATAACATGGATTCAATACCATTTAATATTATATCCAATATTAGAATACCTTCCACACACTTTACGTAAATTGTAAATTAATATAATCACAGATTTTAAAAACTTACTTAAATATTATATCTATGACAATCAAAATATTATAATTTCTTGAATAACATACTGTTATTGTGTCTCTGTTAGTACTGTTTTCATTTTCCAAATATGAAAGCAAAACCCATGCAATATTAGTTTATAAATGAGTAAAATGCCCTCTTTGATTTCTCAATTTCAGACAATTTTGGAAAATCAGTAATTTAGAATCACGTGATCACGTTTTGCAAATTATAAACCCTTCCTCATTTTTCCTGTTATTACTGTTTCCTCTAAAAGACTTAGTTCATGGGAATCATTGGGTAGTCACTCAAATTATACTATTTGTCAACTCTGTCGTGTTTCTTTCCACCCATTCCTCAGAGTGACCCCTCAACTTTCTGAGAGTCAGGGCCCTAAATCTTTCTAGTGCTAAATTATAAAACTGTTGTTGTTTTGATGAAATAGGTCAGTTTCAGCCTTGTCTTCAAAGCAAAGTCACAGCACTCACTAAGTTGTAGTGAATGCTAAGATTTATAGTCTTTTTTTTTTCTGTACTTACATAAAAAAATTTTAGAAATAATCAGGGCAGAAATCCATTTAATTATTTGCTTGAAATAAGAACTAGAGAGGAGGTCATGGCTTCACAGTGCCCTAGCAGAGCAGAACTTTCACTCCCCTGCAGATAAACAGCCAACAGAAGGCTGAAGGTAAGCAAGCACACCACAGCATGCATTTCATTACTGTGTGGAAGAGCATTAACATGTCTCAGTAAACATAATGCTTGGCTTATTGTTTATTCAGGGAATATCAATATTTAAAAGCTGGGCAGAAGAAAATGAGTCCTCAATGAATACTGAAAATTACTGATCAAAAATGAAAGGCTTGAATGAGGAAGAGGAGTGTCATGATGCCTGAAGAGGGGAAAGGTCAATTGTGCCAAATGCTGCCAAGAGGCCAAATGAGAGAAAAAGTAAAAAATGCTACAAGTGTTCATTGGCTTAACTAATAAAGAGGCATGTGGAGATCTGAGAATGTTTCAGAGAAGTTCGGCATTCAAAATGGCATGGAGGTAAAGAAATGGAAAGATCAAGTGAAAAATTTCAAAAAGGTACTAGAAAGAAAGGAAGGTAGGCTTTTCAATAGAAAAATGAATACTTTTCCTTCCTAAATATTATACAGAAGCATGTTTAAAATGATCACAGAATGACAACAGTGAAGAGAAAAGCTGTAAGTAAAAAAGAGTAAGTAAGAAAGTGTATGGATGAAATGCTCAGGACAAGGATGGAGTATGGACAAAATTGCTACCTGACTCAAGCCAATCTGAGTATGCATAATAACTCTGAATATTTTGGTAGTAATGGTATGTTCGAAAATCTTAAGGGGGATGAGGTTTAGTTATTGTTCCTTAGATTTACCACTAGCATGTCATAAAAATGAGTCTCAGCCCAAATTCTGCCTACATACACACATTTATTAAACAAATATTTATTACCCAGCAATTTCAAAATGCTTTATTTAACCTGTTTGATAAGTTTGATGAAGAACTAGCTTTCTGCCCTTTTCAATGCACCAGCCATTACTTTACACTATGAGGTTTACACATGACTGTTGTGATGATATTCCAGAAACAGTATTTATTCATCTTTATAGTTGACATCTGGCAACCAGAAATTCTGCTTTACATAACTGGACTCATGATGGCCTGAAATGAAGACTTGGGTGCCATTTTTAAGAATAAAGGTTAATAGAGCCCTTCAATTTTTATGCCTTGGTCATTCGAGGATCAAGTATACTTCTATAGTATTTTAGCCAAATCACAATCTTAAATACCTGTGCTTTCACAAATGAGCCTTCACATTTAATATCTACCATGCTCAGAAGAAAACACCATTTTTACTGCTGAAAACTTAATTAAGACCTGCAATATGAAAATTTGCAAAACCATGTGGTTGTTTAGAGATTCGGGCAATGTCAGAATATAGCCTTTCTGATTAGTCCTGGAATTTGTGTTTCTGTCTAGAATAACTGATTAGTTTAATATTGTTTAAATTAATTAACACATGTATGTTGAATTCTTGATGCTGAAGTGTCGTCAAATAGATGAAAATATCATAACATATGGACTTTTGCGAAAAGCACGGAATCTCCTAGAACTTATCCTTCAGAAATATATTATCAGGGATAAAAATGCATGGCATAAAGTCCTTTTTTAATTATTAGATTTTTTTTTTCTTTTTTCAATTATCAGAATAGAATGTGAGTGAGCTATGCTGGACCATATGCAAATTTTCTTTTGTCTGGGTTAGAGCAGCCAAATTCAGAAATACAAAGAAAGCAAAATATAAACAACCTGCTTAGACCCTATTCCTTCTAAATCTATGGCTACTTCTTCATTTTATTACTCCAATATCAAGAAAAGGCAATTTTTAATTCTTCTAGACAGTGAAAGTACAAAGAGAGTGCATAAAAGACTGGATTGTACAATAGAATGTTCACTTTAGCTTTTTTGAGAGAGCTGGTACAAGCTGTCCATTCCCCAACCTTCTTAGGCTGGTGAAGTTAACATAGGCGCAGGGCCGGGCTCAGTTCAGCACCCAGGAGTTGTTGAGTGAGTCACAAAGACCAGAATCCTAGGAATGAGCATTGATCAAATGCCCCTAAATCGGGCCAACGTTTGTGGCACAGCACCTTCCTTAAAGTGAACAGTGTCAAAGAGGTCTGTGAACTATTATTAGTGAACAGGAGGCCCATAATAAAGAACAATGTGAGAAATCAATGCGAAATTAATTAATTAATTAATTATCTATCTATTTATTGAGACGGAGTCTCGCTCTGTCGCCCAGGCTAGAGTGTTAAGTGGCACGATCTGGGCTCACTGCAAGCTCCGCCTCCCGGGTTCACGCCATTCTCCTGCCTCAGCCTCCCAAGCAGCTGGAACTACAGCCACTCACCAGCACGCCCAGCTAATTTTTTTGTATTTTTACTAGAGACGGGCTTTCACCGTGTTAGCCAGGATGGTCTCGATCTCCTGACCTCGTGATCCCCCCGCCTCGGCCTCCCAAAGTGCTGGGATTACAGCTGTGAGCCACTGGGCCCGGCCACGAAATTTAATATATAGAGGGGGAACAGTAAAAAGTAAAATGGCAAGAAACATGGAACAGAGAAATTGAGCCCAGATTGCTGCAATACATTGTGCAAAATATAAATAAATAAATAAAAAGAAAAGTTTAGGGTTTTCCGCCTAAACAAAATTCAGAATCCTCAACTCGTCTATATTATTATGAAAATGCAAAGAGATGGAAACAGAAGATTCTAAAGTAAAGGCAACAGAATAACAGCATCTGCAGTAAGGACAGAACATTTTGACTGCCAGGGATTCAATTTAACAAGTGTGGAGGAAATCCCTGGAGGCAAAGCACTTTTTCAGACCAGTCCACTACACAAGCCTGAAATCAAAGAAAGGATGGTACTAATGACAACCTCATTCAGGCCTGACATTCATTCTCGCATGACACAAGATTTTTAATGTGGCAGAAATAGAGAATAAGCAAAACATTTTTTGTGTACTCCTATATATGCCTTAATTACTTAAAATCTATTTATAAACCTACACATGGTTTACCTATAATGTAATTTTGCTGTTTAATTATTAATCATTTTCCTTACATTTAAAAGAATCCAAGTTTTTCAGATACTATTACCACATATACAACTCTGAGGAGAAATAGCTGAATATCCCATCAGAATCTACATCAAGACAGTTTTAAGTATTGATTAAAAGCATAGACTCTGGAGTCAAGCTGTATGTTTGAATCTTGGAACTGTACCTTAGTAGCTACCTGGCCATGGGCAATTGTTTATCCTCTCTAAACTTCAATTTTTTAAAAGTTGGAATAATCATAGTTGCTATCTCGAAAGATTATTGTAAATTTTAATTATAGAAAATTTCCAAAGGACTTAAAACAGTACCTGAAATACTGTGAGCATTTGATAACTATTTATACTTTTTATTATAAAATAAGAGATTCATTACACAACATAGAAATTTATTACACAACAACACAGAACTCTTGCACAGCTGCCTCTGTTACTCTGTTTTGATCATTTAGCTTTTACACAAGAAAACAAGTTATTTCTGATAAAACTAAAAGCAGTCTTTTTTGGGGTACCAATGTGAAGCTACACCACCTTTGACTTACCTGTATTAAAGGTTAATAACCCCAATCAAAGCAAAAAAAAAAAAAAAACCTCAGTATTTTTGGTCATTATTGATGAAGTACAGATAGAAAAAAATGAATCCTTTCTATGAATGTATAATGGAGCACGACAGCTGAAAATCTAGTTGACTAGATGTTAAATGGTTTCCAATATTTAAAAGCCTCTTTACCTCTTGCCTATGCTAGAAAGAACCAAGAAATTTAAACCAAAACAACTTTAGTAGAATACATACATGCACACACATATGTAATCTGCATAGATCACTCCAGTTAATCATTCCAGTAAAACACTTGAGAACACCAAAAGGAAATCAAAAGAAAGAGAAGTGTGAACGTCAGATCATTGTGCCCTCAGTGTTATGGACTATATTCAAGAGCTATATTTGATTCATTGACACATTTAAATTAAACCAAATATATTTCTAATCCAAAAGATTCCATTACACTGAGATGATGATAGGACAATTGTCCAACTTGAGATTTTTATTTTATTTTATTTTTAAAATTTGTTTAGACAGGCTTAGAATATTATGTAAATGAGAATAACAGACTTTCTGGTCACATGTGCTATGGGCATGACTGCATAAAAACATCGCATTTCTTAACTACTTTGCACTTAAGCCACATGCAACAACTTAGAAGCAGTCTAAATCCGAGCTACTACAGAAAACCTGAAAAATTTATGTTCACAAGAAATCCAGAAACATTATTAATGATTTTTTAATAGTAAGTCCTAAGCCTTAATATTTTTATCACTCACAAAATCATGTATATTTGTATAATAGATGGCAGCACCCTTAATATATGTTTATTTTAGTTTTATCTTAATGCAGTGAAGTGCCTTTGGTGATTACAGGTTGACTTTAACTAGAAAATTTTTATTAATTATTTCAGTGAACATGTCAGCCACGAATACCTTATTTATAGCTTGTCTTCACAATTCATTATTGAATATAGATCAAGTTTTACCTCCTTATTCTGTCACCCGTATTTTTACAGTATTTGTGGTCTATTTTGCTTCGAGTTTATCTCTTGTAATAAAACTTGAAGATGAAATTTCACAACACAACAATATGACTCTTTCTTAACAGTTTTAGCTCAACAAGAACATACATGTTTAGCAGGAGAAGCTACATTATTGATTTGGCTTTAGCTATTTAACGACAAGCAAATTACATCAAGTATCAGAGGGCTGACATCAGAGAATAAGCAACTACAATTGGAGAGTCTTCCAACTTTTTTATTACTTTGAAGAAAAACCTTATTGTTAATGACTCTCTTCTATAGTGAAAGTCTTGTGAAAAATGAGAAATAGCCTATAAAATATGGATAATTTGAACAAAAAATGCAAAGTATGGTACTTAAGCTAAATTTCAATAAATACAGTGGTTCCAACTCTGGGTGTGTATGTCTTTCAGAGGATTCTAAATGGAAGGACTGAGAGTCTTTTACCCTGAAAGAATTACTTCCTCCTTTTTGAGGAGCCAAATGTACTGAATATGATGTTTGCTTTATTTTCCCATATAGATAAATTGTGATTGAAAAGAATATTCATAAGAAACATATTTTGCATAGCCTTCATAATATAATAGATTTTTCTTATTTTAAATTGGCAAACAACAACTTTGTTTTTCTTATTTAAGTGTTCTAGCATTACATGTATTAGCAGATACCGATGGCTCATTCCTGTTCAGTAGGCAGAAAGAGATGAAACCCAGGTGGAAAAAAAAAAAATGGTTCATTTCTTTCTTGTTATTCTCACAGCAACATGCAAGTGGGCTTTTTTTTCCAGCCATGCTTTCTAATTACTGATTTGAATGGTTCTCTAGATTAAAAATAAAGTTCTTAATTGAGTATAAATTAGTTTCGAAAATATCCAACAGACAGAGCTTTTCTCTCTAACATTATTAGAATCAAGATGTTTCCTAATTGAAGAAGCTATAACATCACTGTATCTTTTAAAATATTATATGTTCATGTCTTATGGGAAAAAAGCACTGAGGTTTTATTTCGTGTGGTTTGGGAGTTAAATTAGGATGTATAAATATATTAAAATACTCTCAGAACAGATTTTTATCAAATTAACTACTTCATTTCTTGGAGACTCCTGAGAAACTTTGTACCAGCCTGACAACAGCTGCCAGAAGTTTTTTTTTTTTTTTAATGCTTAAATACATTTAAGAATAAAGTATCAAAATACCTTATATAGCTTGAGGCAATGTGTATACATGTTTTAGAGAAGCGATAGCATGACTGAGCAACAGGCATCAGATACAGACCCAACAGCCTTATCATGGAGGCACAGACACCCCCTCTCCCACCTACTCATCCAAATAGGCACATAATGAGTTATTTTCACTTTCTATCCTTTCAGGGCTTTCTTAAGCTGAGCTGACTTTCATCTATCATGCTAAGCACATATTTCCATTAAAAAACTATTAGTGAAAAGGATGTTTTGTTGTCAGATGCATTTTAGTATTTATATTATTTAATTTGAATATATGTGACACAGAATAGAGTTACATGTATACAGATGGCACGTGACTTATGATGGTTCAAGTTATGGTTTTTAATGTTTATGACAGTGTGAAAGCTATATGCATTCAGCTGAAAGTGGTACCATACTCTCTCCTGATGCTAAACAGCTGCAGAAGAGGTGCAGCTCCCACTCAGCCGCGCAATCAAGCAGGTAAACAACAATACTCTACAGCGCACTGTGTTGCCAGATGATTTTGCCCAACTGTAGGCTAACAAAAGTGTTCTGAGTGTGTTTAAGGCAGACTAGACTAAGCTATGATGCTCTCAGTAGGTTAGGTGTATTAAATGCACTTTTGATTTAAAGTATTTTCAACTTATAATGAGTTTATTGGGATATACCCCCATTGTAAGTGAAGGAGCATTTGTATGTATTTTACAGTAACGTAGCAGAATAATATAATATATAGAGGAAGATATATACATTTCAGATATGTATGAGGGATTTGTGTGTATTATATAAATCTGTAATTAGTTGGTGAATATTTATTTTTATAACTGGCAAGATAAGTTTATTTAGATAGGGCTCTTCTAATAAAAGGCAAAATTCCCTTGGGTTCTTTGAAATAATTAGGTAACACATTATTATGAACTGAATATTTCCATTTTTCCTTTCAACATTTTAAAATTTCTTCCATTTTTAAGACATGAGTATAAGAGACTCAAGATAATTTGCTTGGTAACTGGCAGATCTGAGAAAATAACCCAAGGGTTCTGACTTCACATATCTATTTTGACTACCATATCGTGCTTAATACTCAGTTATATTTGGTCTTAAATATCATTGAGTTCTTGCTGTGGAATCTGATTCTTATATAAAATTTGACTCTAAGGTATACAGAGAGCATTCTTCTATCACTGAGTTTCAATTACAGCGTATTGATCCCTTCAAAAAAAAAGTACATATTCATGAAGAAGTTTGCTGTAATTGCTCACCTTAAAGTGAATTCTGTGTTATAGTAAAACAGATATTTCCATTTTAAAATGATTTGTGGTAGTATCATTAGGCATCACTTTTCCAGAATAGCATCCTATTGTTATCATAAAAATAATGTTGTTTATGTAGCCTATCCCCCCATTTTAAGTAAGTAAATCAAGCTTCAAATAAATAAAGTTATTTTTCCAAAGTCGTATATTTGGCTAATGACTAATAACAAAATTAATGACAGAAACTGAACTAAAGTCCAGTTTCTTGAGCACCAATCTAATGCTTATTCGGCTATACTGTGGGTGCCATATCACATTGCAGGGAAGGTAAAAAATGTTTACTTGTTTGCATGATAACTTATTACTGATATAGTTTTTAATTGCAAAATGTGATAAACAATCCCAGGCTGCAAGTGAGACTTAGCTTTTTGTCACTAACTAGATTTTTAAACCACATGTTCTTTCCAGGTATATATTTTACTCATTTTCTGACACTTTTAATGATCACTAGATGAAATCTGAAAATTGATAGTGAAGAATATCTATAAGAAGAGTTACTGTTTTCAGGTAGAAGAAATGTTTCAAAAATTATTTCTAAAAGTGACAAATAATATACATAAAAAAGCTTCACTAATCAGAGTAACCAAAAGACAGAATGGATTAACCAAAGAGAAAATGAGTTCCCTATCAATGAAGGAGTTCAAAAAGAGGCAGAAATACTCATTTGTCAATATATTGTATTATAAATTTATGAATAATATGGAGTTTTCATTACATGATTTGTAAGTTTCCTGGAACTTCTGAATTTCTATCTTTACATATATGTTTGATTTCTCACACTGTGAATTTTTCATTATTATCAATTAAAATGTACAGAAAGCCAGAAGGCATACTTATTTGCTATACCACTTCTGGTATTCTCTTCTGATCTTTCTTACTTAAAAAATTAAAAATAATTTTTGAAATTACTTGTTTTTACTTATAAGCATATGTAAATATAAGCAAAAGAAACATTTTTAAATGTAGCCTTATGACTATGAGGGCAACCTGGCTGTGACATCTGTCACTCCATTAATCTCCAGGGTTAATTCAGCTGGCTAATTTAGCCGAGTAAACTGGTTGGCTAGGCAGTTGTTCCCTTCTTCCCTCACTGCCCCATGTGTGTCCCTCCCAAAGCTGCATGCTTGGTGGAAGAGAACAACATTCCCTGATACAGTAGAACTTTTTTTGGTCAAGAGTATATTTGTAGCTATAGTCCCCAGCTAGAACATCCTCTAAGCAAGCTCTTAAGGTCCATTTGTAGGAGAACATAGGGTACTCAAACCCATGACTCCAGAGACATCCAAGAGAAGTGGATGTGGACAGTCTGCACTAAAAAAAGGAAAAAGAAAAGAAAGAGAAAAAAATATATAGCCTTACATATTGGGTTGATTAGTTGGTGATTTTTTATCATTATTACTTTCCTTTAAATCTTACTGTATTTAAAATAATTACAATTTTGAAATAAAGAAAAACTTATCTGCAGACATTCAATTATAATTAAATACATCATGTAAAATTAACAAAGGCATTATTTGCAAACTTTACAATGCAGGTCCATCTTCTGATTGACTTCATTTGATAGTATTTTGTCAGTTATGCATTTCCAAAGGCCTTTATGCCTTTGGAAACCTTTGTCCTTTGGCAGATGCTCTGCTAAATTCAGGCCAGTTAACTTGCTAAACAGGAGGCAGTGTGCCATGTTCAAAATGAATTGAGCCTCTGAAGAAATTCCACTAAAAACCTCATTCTTTTTCTGAACCTAACCAAAAAATTAGAGTAACAAAAATACTGCCAGGCACTAGGCTGCTTCCACAGAGGAAATTTTGAATAAACATGTCATGCAATTAATTTAACAGTTTTTCATGCTCAAATCAGTTGACAGAGACTTTCTGGAGAGATTCTTGTTTCTCTATTCCTATTTCTGTAATCTTATTAGCATATTGTGACAGTAAAAGCCATCACTAATAATAAATTAGGTCTTAATTGTAAATGATATTCCAGCAAAATTTAGGAAAAAAAGTGTTTCTGGTCTCAACATTTTGGCATGCCTGTCAGCAGTCATACAGGCAAAAATAAATATTAAGTTGTAACTCAGCAATAGGCTTGAAAATCATCTATACCATTATCATTATTATTTTGTTGTCTCTCATGGGGACATCAGACATCTGGTTTCAAAGATAATGGCAGTAACAATTATTTGCATCATAGCCCTAGCTAACTAGATAGCTAAAAACATCTGTTATGATCTTCGGTTTCTTTAACCTGTCCCCGGAGAGACTTTGATCGCTGAAATATTCTTTTTTCAAATTTCTCTCTGCAATAATCATTTTTGCAAAATACAGATTACTTGATACTTAAGGAAATTGACTATAATGCTGCTTTTCTTTTTTTGAATTTAAAACTGGAGAAGGGGTCATTTAAAAAGACTTTATAAGAAAATTATTTTACCAGAGCTGAAATTTTACCATCATAGCTATATCGAATTGCCCTTTTAAACTAGGGTCATTGTTTTTCTGTGATATATTAAACATAAAAAATAAGGGCACAAATATTTGAACAAACACATCAGGTATTTACTAGACCAGTATTATCCATTGCAAGCAAAACTTGCAGGTAATACTATTTCCAAAATAATTCTTTGGTTCTGTAATTAAAAAATTAATTAGGAAGCATATGTGGCCCTACCATGTGTTAGCAGTATACTAGGCTCTGGGCTCTTTTATGCATATAAAAAATGTAAGCCGGCCGGGCGCGGTGGCACATGCCTCTAATCCCAGCATTTTGGGAGGCCGAGGTGGGCGGACCACGAGGTCTAGAGATCGAGGCCATCCTGGCCAACATGGTGAAACCTTGTCTCTACTAAAAATACAAAAATCAGCTGGGCATGGTGGTGCACGCCTGTAGACCCACCTACTCGGGAGACTGAGGCAGAAGAATCGTTTGAACCTGGGAGGTGGAGGTTGCAGTGAGCCAAGATGGTGCCACTGCACTCCAGCTTGGGCGACAGAGAGAGACTACATCTCAAAAAAAAAAAAAAAAAAAAAAAAAAAAAAAAAAAAATGTGAGCTACAGGTTTCTTCCAAACCTACATTCCAAGCTTGTAGGAGAACTTGAAATAATTAATGAGTAAAATAGAAATCCTAAACTATAGAATGCATACAATGGTGTTCAGCAGAAAGAAATTTTTGTGTGCAAAAAAATAAAATAAAAAACTTGGAAAAAGAGGAATTTAACTTTCAATGACCAGCACACTTCGTGACAGCCACATGACAGTCTGGGTTCCTCTAGCTACCTGAATAGAGTTAAGCACTTAGTATTTGTTGACTGCATAAAAAAATGAGTTCATAGTTGAATGAATTAAACAGAGACATCTTTAAGAAAGCATGAGAGGAGTAGTATGGCCAATGGCTTTTATGATGATTGAGGTAGGAATAGAATGAGAAGTGAAGTGGATAAGGGAGGTGGGCCAAGGGTGACCTTGAGGGTGGGGATGGGGCAACATTAGCAAAGAGAAAAACTTGCTCAGGTATAAGGCTCATATGAAATACAATGAGAAAAATATATCATACTAGCATGAGGATTATAGACTTCTATAAGTCTATAAATGATGAGTTGAAAAATTTAATTTAACCCATTTAAAAAATTTTCTTTAGCAGGGAAAATTAAAAAAAAAAACATGAGGAAAACAGTAAAATATGAAGAGCCTGAAAGCACAATAACAAACTTAGTCGGGCATGTAAAAAATTACAATGGCTACACGAGTGTAATTTTACTAGTGTAATTTACACAAGTGCAAAACAAAGATTAAATTAGACTTCATGACTAATTAGATATGCAGAACAAAGAGAAGAAATCTTCAATGCTGAGAAAGGTGAGTAACATTAATGACACTAAAGATTTTGTGTAATAAGAAGATCACTTCCATTCTGAACATCTGAAGTCTGAAGATTCAATTAAGAATTTGAGTTGAAATATTAAATACATAGTTGGAAATACAATACTGGAATTTTATTTAAATATTACATTTGGAGCTATAGGATATAGAGTAATCAACAAAGAAATATGGTGAAAAATTTTTGAAAAAGTTATCTAAGTGAATAGTATTTACTTTTGTTTAAATTAGAAACCAATTTTGAAATGGTTCCAAAAAGATTTGCCTTGCCAAAATGTTTGTTATTGTTAGCAGTGTTCTGGATATCTCATTATTAGTATTCAATGTTTTATATTATCTCCTTCTCATAGAGAAACCCTCTATCTTTGATCAAATTATACATAATTCCAATATTTTATTCGTATTGAATCTATTGGAATTTAAGGATTAATTAGTACTGAAAGACTGTATTTTAATGTATTGGCATGTGATTATTCTTTTAAACATAATGTTTTGATTCTTCAGAATAAAATGAAATTTACAAATAAAGAATTCATCTAGTTTTTTAAAACCTATCTTTTCTTTTTATTTCCCCAACTATATCAGTTATTTCTTGGCTAACTTTTTCATCTTTCAGTGCTGTGGGATTTGGATGAAGCTCATTCTCTTTTTACAAATGTTCTTCAAATTCAACCTGCTGTGAGCCTAGGTGAGTATAATTGAACTCAGGAGAATATTTTAAAGTACAAGAAAAAATAGGGCAGAGAGAAAACATATGGTTTCCTAATTATGCTGAAGGTTTTTTTTTTTTAACTTTTTCTTTCTCTCATGATTTTTTTCCCCAATTCACCGTGCATAGCTGGTTCTGTCATATGACAGACTTCTTAGATGGAGCAACAGCGACATACATTCAACTGTGGAAAACTGGCACTTGAGTTTTTCAATTGTGTTTGTTAGATAACCAGAGTTTTGGGAGTTACAAAGCAATACTTTCTCAGAAATATTGCTGCCAATAGGAGCTCTGGTTTATAACAGGCCAGGCTTTAAAGAATTCAAGAAGTCTCAATATGGAAGGTTGTTTTCAACAAAAATAATTGCACATCAGTAATATGCTTTCATAGGAAAATTTTAGTTTAGTAATACAAAACTATAGTTGGTTTTTATTTACTTTTAATAACATTTAGATTTTATATGGTATTATACATCTATCATTTTACTGGCAGTTACACATGCCCTGAATGTATATTACTCCAAAAGCATCAATAATAGAATTGGATTTGAAATAGTCATCCACACACTGTGTATTAAACATAGGTCATGTACAGGTTTGTGCAGGTTCCACAGGGTCTTTTTTCTCCAGATTTCAAGCATAAATTTGAGATAAGGTTACTTTAAAAAATTAAAACAAAGAAAACTACTCATTTAATGCTTGAGGTGAGCTGTCTGTATAAGTGATTTATTTTTAAAGCATTTTCAAAATATAGTGTTACTGAGACCATTATATTATTTCAGTCAATGTGCTTGGATGTATCATAACCTTGAGTAATCTTTCTTAAAATTTATTTATTTTAATTGGCAAATAATAATTGTATATATTTATGGGATATCATGATGTTTTGATATATGTATACATTGTACAATAATTAAATCCAGATAATTAACATATTTGCCACCTTAATACTTATTTTTTTGTGTTGAGAACATTTAAATTCTACTCTATTAGCAGTTTTCAAATATGCAATACATAATGATTAACTGTAGTCACTATGCTAATAAGAGACCTCCAGAAATTATTCCCCCTAACAGAAGCTTTATAACCTTAAAATATTCTTGTGCTATTTTGTGCATGAGTGATATATTCAATTCTGTTAATTCTCAAATACGAATCAAGAGAATTTGTGGATTTTTTTCAAACAAAGGTAAAGAAGGAATATATCTCATAGATTTAAGTATTATTTTCTTTGCTAGAGTTCTATTCCCTTCTCTAAAGAAGAAATTAATGAATCAGACATTTTATATGATGGCTATTCTTCAATACATGAAGTATCTTTTGCCACAGTTTTTGTTTACAAAGGCATCTGGTGAATTCTAATGTACTTTCTGTGGCACAGGTACACTGATAATGAGAACAAAGTGTCTTTAACACTTCCTAGGGGTATTTAGATTGCTGTTAAAGTAGCTTCTATTTTAAGTTAATAAATTGGTATTATGACTTGCCAGTCAGATATTATGGGTTTGATTTTTATCTCTTAGTCCCCTAGAGACTGATCAACTGAGTTTCTGATTTGCAAAGGTGAGTACCAGACTCAGATGACTTTAAGGACCAATTTACTGTTTCTCTCTTGAATGCCTCTGTAATGGAAGACCAAATGAGCACTTAAACTTGGATTTAAAAAACAATAGAATAAGAAGTATATTCAAGAACTATTAATTATGAAGACACAGTTATCAAAAAACATGTTTTCACAGAGAAAACAATATAATATGGTTAACTCTACTAACATGAGACAAACTATGAAGGCAACTTTAAAATTATCAGCAAACTTCTTGAACATCATTGAGTTAATCGTTTATCTTCCTTTTGCCTATCTTCCAGTAGAAATGATGAAGAGAAATTAAATCACTACAACATTAGTATCAGGAAAAACACTGGTAGCTAATAGGTATTAGTGATCAACCATGATATCATCTATCACCTACTATTGCAAAACTGAATGTTTATAAACATATTCCATTGTTTAATAATCCAGGTAAATATTGTATATTTTGTCAATCAAAAGTCAGGGTTCTCTTAAGGTTTTGCCATATATGCCCACACTTCCCCCTCTCCTCTCCGTAATATAAAATGTATTTTATTGTTTTCCTTATAATATTAACTTTATACTATAGTGGTATTATAATGCTCATTTTTAATCTCCACAATGATAAGACAGAAATGTGAAATTTAAGTTCTATGCACAAATATTCTTGATTGTTTCTGCTGTTTAAATGTTGCTATATAAGGTAAGAATGTATCAATATATTCTTATTAATTATGTACTTTTTTCATTTTGATTCTCTCTTCTACATTCATGTACTTGATTATTTATGACTAATCAAAATGTCAAAAGAAGGATTAATTAAATTTATAATTTCTCTATACTTTATACTGTTCCCTGTCTATTCAAACTGTTTTACATTATATTGATTCATCCAAGTGAACCAATGAAAGCACATTCATTCCTATCTAATCTGGGAGAGAAAGCTGACATTTTTCAGCACCTCCAAACTCCAGATTACCTTACATCTAATTTTGTCCCCGTTGACAACACTGGAAAACTGATATCATCATCTGTGAGTTACTGAGAAAACTGAAGGTTAGAAAGTTTCAACAACTTGGTCAAGTTTATCTGCAGTGAAAGAAGAGAGAAGCTTTACTGTAGGTCTCCTTTATTTTAAAGTTTGTGACTTTTCATAAAATTAGTAGTTCACAAACTTATGTTTTATATGTAACAAAACCAAATATTTTTTCTATCTCCGTGTAAGAACTCTATTGTTGACTATTTCCATACACACTTTATGTTCTACTGTATTTTAATATCTTTATAAAATGTATTTATTTTTAATTTTTTATTATTCCCATAAAATGAATACCTTTTTACATAAATAGACTATAATAATAGCAAAAATGTAATGACAACAAAATATTGCTGACTGCCAAATGTTGTGAGCCCAAGAGAAGCTTTGTTAGAAAGGGAGATTAACACATAGTAGAGAAATATTAAAAAATATATTAGCTCCAAATGAGATTTCACACTTGAATCCTTCAGAAGAAAATAAAGGGAATTAATAAAGATGCATGTGTCTCTTTATATCTTATTTTCTTTCTCTTTTTTCAATTATATTTAATGGATGTCCATGTGCTCTTTAACATAATCCAAAATCACAATATTTATGTTCCATAATTGGGACATGTAGCACTAAACTTCTAAACTTCAGGAGGAAGCAAAGACCTTTTTCAGTGCTATCTTCTGGAGACCAGAATCATTAATTGCCACCTCTGCTGGTGAACATATTTGCTACATATCTATAACAGAGTCATTCGACAATATGACTTTGAGATCATAAAGAATTCATATATAGAAGATATTTATATTCATTAGCAATTGAGAGAAAGTGTTGTACTGTATTTTATTGATTTGACACATTAATCCAGAATCAGTAAGTTTTCCAACAGCAGATAAAATAAGAATTCATCTGAAATGTCACTTCTAATGAAATGTCACTTCTAGTGAAATGTCTCTTCTGTTGCCCTTCTTAGCTCTATAATAATATGCTTTCCAGCCCCCAAATTAAGATATCAAATAAAATAATACAATCAAGTGTAAAAATGTATTCCTAGCAATTTAAAACTGGAGACAACCTTATAGAATAGCTTGCATAATCTCCCCTTAAGAAAGATGTGGAAACTAAGATATAAGTAAATGAAATGATTGTCCAAGGTCATACATTAATTAACATTATAGCAGTAACAGATAATGTCTTATTTTATAATCTAGGCCTCTTCCCAGTACACTTCAGGGCTATGTTTATTCATTGTATAAAGAATGGAGACAAGCAACAACAATAAACAAAATAGATTGAGTTTTCCTAATCTCAAATTTTCTGATGAAACTTAAATAGAGAAAGATGGGCGATCTATCAAATTCCCTTTACATAAATAAATATGTTGCTTCCAAACTCCAATTTTCAACTTTAAGATATATTTGAATGTCAGCATGAGATTCAATATTCTACTGTTAAGGCTAGATCATTAAATGGCATGTACTGTTTGTTAAATGCAGGCCCTAGACTGATTAAAGTAACCCACAGATTTATAATTGCTAAGCCTAAAAGAGTAACAAATAATAACCGAGTAAAGCTTTCCTATTAGAGGGTATAAACCATAAGAATATAGCACGCATTATTGAAACTGCTGTCCAGCACCATTTTGAGCCATAACTCCTACTTTAAATGTCACCTGATACTCTGAAGATTACTTTTTCAAATGCAGCATCTTAATTAAGTCATATTTTACATAGAAAGTAAAAAGACATAGGCTAAGTATATACAAAAGTGCTGAGTTGACTTCCTGGTTACTCTGTGTGGAGGGAGTCTGCACTGTATTGACTAAATCTTCTGCACTTTATCAGACTGGCTACATGTCATATTAATTCAAACACTAAAACAACCAACTACTCTGTTGTTACCAGTCGCTTATCTGGTCCAGGCATATCTATATCCATGTGACAACTGGTTGTAGTAATTTTTTATAACGTGATAAGTTTACCAATATAAAGTTGAGTAAATTCTTCTGTAAGCAAATTACAAATGTGGGTGGGAATATCTTACTAAACTATTGGTTCTGCCTTTTGTTCTTGCACATATTTGGAATAATTTATTGGATAAAAGTTTCTTCATTAGCTTTCATTATACCAGATTATTATTTCACTTTTAAAATAATCTCCAGTTAAGTGAAAAAAGGTAGATTCAGTGTAGGGAGACTGATAATATGTACTTGATAAGTATGTGTAGAGAAAAAAAATAGGCAGTATTTCGAAAGCCAGTATTTGTTCATTTTTTTCTTTTCATCAATAGAATCGTTCTGGTTTTTCCATACAATGCTATAATCAAATAACTATATGTAAATATTAAGTAATTTTAACATAATTTATATAAATGAAGAATATAAAAGAAGAAATATGAAGATTTATCTGTGAATTTTTTTAACCTAAATTGATTCTACTCAATCTGGAAAGACCCTTCATAATGGATATGCATTTAACCTTTTTAAAATATGACTTTATTAGATTAGTGCAAAAGTAATTGTGGTTTCTAATGGCAAAAACCGCAATTACTTTTGCACCAGCCTAATACTACAATGTATGCATAGAAACATATAGTCGATAATATGCAACTATATAAGTATACACAATAAAACAAAAACCCATGTCTAACGTCCCAATGAAAAATGTAAAACACTTTATTGTGAATGATGATTAATCTTTATTTATACAAATCTTCCCTATTTTAATACTTTCTATCTCCTTTTGTACTTTTCTCTCCTTATTTTCAAATTCTGAAGCACAGTTCTTAGATCAGATCAAGGCCAAGAGCAAGGAATGAGGGCAGAAAGCAATCTGTTTGGTATGAAAGACAGTCATAAGTGTGAGCATACTCCCATATACTTTATTTTTTTCACTTAAGATATATCTTCATAAAAGAGAAAAACAAGTTGTATTGAGGTTAGCATACTGTAATAACAAATTTTTAGAGGAATTAGCCAGTAAGTTTTGCTTTAGTCTCCGCATATTAACTTGTTTTAGTCACTTAAGTTAGTTAAATGGAGACCATGATTTATTTTGACTGAATGTTTTCATACTGCTTTGAAAAAAAGTAATAATGTTTTTACTGCTTTTTTAATGACAATACAGTGATCAATCCCAAAACCAGATATGATGCTTATGCTTTATTTTTTTAAATCTGAGATCTACTTTTCTATCATTTTTAAGACACCTCTGATTGACAACGTGTTTAATTATCAAAACTCCAAATGTTTCTAATTATCTTATAAAGAGTACTGAGTAAAGATTTAGATTATTAATACCTAAATTCACTGGGGGGAAAAGTAATTGTATCTAATGTTAAATTCTACTTGTTTCAGGCTAATAATACTATGTAAGCTTGTACAAACCAGTAAAATAATTTCATATCATTTTTATGAAGTATAAGAACATAAGAGCTTCTGCACAACAAAAGAAACTATCATCAGAGTGAACAGGCAACCTATAGAATGGGAGAAAATTTTTGCAATCTATCCCTCTGACAAAGGGCTAATATCCAGAATCTACAAAGAACTTAAACAAATTTACAAGAAAAAAGCAAACAACCCCATCAAAAAATGGGCAAAGGATATGAACAGACACTTCTCAAACGAAGACATTTATGCAGCCAACAGGCATAGGAAGAAAAGCTCATCGTCACTGGTCATTAGAGAAATGCAAATCAAAACCACAATGAGATACCATCTCAGGCCAGTTAGAATGGCTATCATTAAAAACTTAGGAAACAACGGATGCTGCAGAGGATGTGGAGAAATAAGAACGCTTTTACGTTGTTGGTGGGAGTGTAAATTAGTTCAACCATTGTGGAAGACAGTGTGGCGATTCCTCAAGGATCTACAACCAGAAATACCATGTGACCCAGCAATTCCATTAATGGGTATATACTCAAAGGATTATAAATCATTCTATTATAAAGACACATGCACACGTATGTTAATTGCAGCACTATTCACAATAGCAAAGACTTGGAACCAACCCAAATGCCCATCAATGATAGACTGGATAAAGAAAATGTGGCACAAATACACCATGGAATACTATTCAGCCATAAAAAAGGATGAGTTCATGTCCTTTGCAGGAACATGGATGAAGCTGGAAACCATCATTCTCAGCAAACTAACCCAGGAACAGAAAACCAAACACCGCATGTTCTCACTCATAAGTGGGAGTTTAACAATGAAAACACATGGACACAGGAATGGGAACATCACACACTTGGGCCTGTTGGGGGTTGGGGTCTAGGGGAGGGATAGCATTAGGAGAAATACCTAATTTAGATGACGGGTTGATGGGTGCAGCAAACCACCATGGCATGGGTATATCTCTGTAACAGACCCACACGTTCTGCACATGTATCCCAGAACTTAAAGTATAATAATAAAAAAAGAACAGAAGAAATAATTGCAAAATGTTTATATGGTACAGAATATAAGAGTATTATACCAAGCAAATTGTTCTCATTTGTAGTGTACTGGATTAAGCTATCATTAACTCTTGTATCTAATGCAGCAGCCACCCAAATGATATCAATAGGGCCAGTCTTTGGGTTACACCTAAAACGAAGATGTAATTATGTCATGCCCCTGATTTCAAAGCAAGATCAAGACCCCCCAAGTGCTAATTGATTAATTTTCAACTATATCTCCTTTCCAATATTATTCCTAAAATATCTTAATCTTATAGCATATGCCTTTCACTGAGCAGCTGTTGCACTTTCATACTTCAGAATTACAACTACTCCTTCATGCTAATTTCTGCCTCTGCTGCAGTTACCTGCATCTCTGCTGCCACCTTCTTCAACCTCTATAGGATCACTCAAAAGACTTAGTGTATACTTGGAGTGTTTTCCTCAAGTGAAATCAACCATGTTGTGGCTGGATATATTATGCAGACCGCATCTTAACAAGTACCAACATATTATATTACCTGATGTGTAAACATAATCAACATTGAAGAAGTTTTCAGAAATCAATATTTATTTTACTGCATCTTCTTCAGGCATTTTGGATTATGCCATACAAACCATTTGTCCAGAACATAATGTTTTGCTTAGTTCTTTGTTCAGTGAGTAAAAAAATTATTGTGTTTAAAATTAGAATATCCGATTGACAATATAAGAATATAAGAATACTTGTTAAACACATCATTGATAATACAGTTTCAACCAAGTTTCATTGATTTCATGCTACTTTTATTGTTTTTAGCTTCTCCTTATATTAATTTACAAATTTACTTTTGTTTATAACTACATATTAAAAACTAAGATTATAAGAGTTTTATATTTTGAGGTCCACAGACATATTTATGTGATATTATAATAAAATAATCCATTAATACTAAAGAGCTGAAAAGAATTCCATGTATCTCAGCAAAACCAAAACTTAAGCTGTATTTATTTTCCCTAGAAGGATTTCTAGAAGGGTTTCTAGAGAAAATACATTAAGTTATAGTCAACAATTCTTCCATCTTTCAAACTGCAATGCCATAAATTTTCAACAAAACTAAATCACAATAGGTGTACTGCACTGAGAAATAAATACCAACATGCTAGAAAATTAAAATAAAAGCAAAGTAACTTTTATCCAATGATCTACTAGGTTTAAGAGAAACATTCAATAACAGAAAGACAAGTAGAGAAATAAAAAGCAGAAATAACAAGATTGATAATCTGTCAAATGTTACCTCATTCTTTGACTTTCTTAGTTTTTTCTAAATGTTTTTTTTTCTAAGTAGTTTATTAAAAGAGAAAGAAAAATCACAATATCCCACTTCCCTACCCAAATTTAGAAAACTTTTTATTTTCCTTGCCAATTTCTTTCTGTTTTACACAAACTCATTTAAAACATTGTTAATGACTACATAGGTTAAAAATTCCATTTTATCTTTAGTGTAGGTATATTATGTGTCTTCTATGAGAAAGAATGCTAGAAAGCAATTTATTCCACACAAATGCATTTTGAACTTTTACTTACTCACCAAAGTTGCCTTCTACAGTGAACTCAGGTGGTATCGAAGAAAGCTTCTAGTAGATGTCTTTTGATCTGAAAGAAAAAGGGTAGGAGTGAGCCAAGCAAATTTTGTGTTTATTACGCCTGAAAGAATTGAGGACGGCCTGAGTAATGGTGTTAGAGAAAGGGAGTAACAAGAGCAAATCTTCAATAAGGTTTGAAGTATAACAGTGGTGTCTTCAGAATCAAGTGAAGAAAGAAAAATGAGAGACAGAGCTAGACATACTGGTAGAGGGAGAGTCATACAAAAACAGAGATGCAGATAGGCTTTGAGAGAGAAAGAATTAGAGAGGAACAAAAGGAGAAAGAAGTGAGATGAGACAAGAAAGAAGAGAGGAAATATAACAGGAAAATAAAGAGCAGAGGGAAAATTCAAAAAGAGAATGGAAGTGAAAAGGGTAATTAATAAATTTTAATTAATAAACAAATAAATTAATTAAAATTTTAGGAATTAGGAAAAGACTTTTTTATTTTTCTATTTTCTTCAGCATATTTTTATGTGCTGAATATATATATATTTTTGTAATATCTTTTTTTTTTGAGACGGAGTCTCGCTCTGTCACCCAGGCTGGGGTGCAGTGGCGCCATCTCAGCTCACTGTTAAGCTCTGCCTCCTGGGTTCATGCCATTCTCCTGCCTCAGCCTCCCAAGCAGCTGAGACTACAGGCGTCTGCCACCACGCCCGGCTAATTTTTTTTTTTTTTTTGTATTTTTTGTATTTTTAGTAGAGACGGGGTTTCACCGTATTAGCCAGGATGGTCTTGATCTCCTGACTTCATGATCCACCCGCCTCGGCCTCCCAAAGTGCTGGGATTACAGGCGTGAGCCACCGGGGCCGGCATTTTTTTTTTTTTTTTTCCTTAGCTCGCTAAGATTTTCTGCTGTCTTTTCTTTCTTTTTTTTTTTTGTTTTTTTTTTTTGAGACGGAGTCTTGCTGTGTTGCCCAGGCTGGAATGCAGTGGCGCGATCTCGGCTCACTGCAAGCTCCGCCTCCTGGGTTGACGCCATTCTCCTGCCTCAGCCTCCCAAGTAGCCACCACCACGCCTGGCTAATTTTTTTGTATTTTCATTATTTTTAAAGCAAATTATTATTTATTGTGCCCTGAAAGAGTCCATCATGGCTGGTTTAGTTGAATCCTTTTGTCTGGGTTTCTTAATTACTCAAAGACCACTTGAATCAGAATTGCTTGTGATATTAAAATAAATTTAGTTTCCTGGATATCACCCCATTCTGCAGATTCTGAAACTCTGTGGTTCACCTGCAAATATACACGTTTACCCGGCAGGCTAGATGATACATATGCACACCTAAATTTGATATTTATGGTCTAATATTTACAGAAGCATCATATGAAGATGGACTTCAGGTAGACCAGAGCACATACCTCCCAATCTGCCACACTTATTTTTTGTGTGGAATCTGCATGCCATTTTTCAACTGTTTTTCACAATTACAGTTTTGTGTAATGATATTTTATAGAAGGACAAACCAAAGGTAGAATTCCTTCCTCTTCAAGAGTCCTCAGTCCTTTTTCTTACAGTATTCATTGTGACTTTTAAATATTACCTTCTTATGGTAATTGTGCATCTGAAACACCATAGCTGCTTTTGCAACTCACATGCCTAGGTCTCACCCCAGAAATCAGGCTACAATGGTATGGGATGGGTCCTGTCACTGCTATTTTATAAGGCTTTCCAATTGAGTCTAATGAGCAGCCAGAGTCACCACCCTTGAATTTGGCATCATAAAACCATGATCCTCCATTGGGAAGATTATCTCCCTTCATTCACTCAAGTTCAGTTTGAGTAACATATTCCCACTTATGTTCACATAACTGTAACTCTTTTTAAAGGTGTGTTATTAACTGGTGATTGGGTAATTAAACCACAAAGATTAAGCAGTCAGGGCCTGGTAATGCTCTGATCTCCCACAGATCACAGACAGATCCCACAACAGAGGAGTTGCTGGTCTCCTCTAGTTATAGGGAACTGGGCACATGGCTGTTGGGTGTGGTACTTTATAGACACTGAAGAACAAAGGAAAGATTGAATCCCTTATGATTAGTTACTTAAAAATAAATGGATAACTACTACCTGCTAAAAGCATTTCTGAATATAGAAGTCTCAGAGAACTGAATCACAAAAATGGGTGATTAAAAAAAAATGCCTCATTTTCCACCTTTACAATTGGCCTCAGTTGTACTAAAGCTCCCCCGACCAAAAAAAAGAAAAAAAAAGAATACGGTTGTTATTTACATGCATGGATCTAAGGTAAGCTCTTTCCATATCCAGTTCTTTCAGCAGTTGTAAATAATCTTTGAATTAAAATTAACCAAAACATTCTTGAAATCTGCTGGATGTAAGGTACTTTGTGTGACAGAGTAGTTCACTTTTTATCTTTATTTGTTGACATAAATTGAACCAAAAATTCCACTTTTTTTTTTCAAAATTTTACTTAAAGTCTAAGTTTCAAGCATATCAGAACACTAAGAGACACTTAGTTGTACGTTACACTAAAGCATTACAGCAATGCAAAAACATAGCTTTAAAGAAAAACTAGAGAAAAAGAAACCACTTATTTTTCCCTAAGTGAGTAAAATATCCTTTTTAACCTTCTTAATAGCACCTTCCCCTGTTTTAAATTGAGTCATTCTGAGTACCTGAGTTTCATGTTTTATAGTTTTATAATTTGTAACGTCTGGCAAGATCAAGGATTCTCACTTTCCACCTCACAGATGTCCTTGTAAACTGGAACACGATTTAAATGGTTTACATACATATATTACTCCATTAGTGCCTAATTAAAAACACATCTGACAGCTGGCAGACAATGAGGTGCTTCAGATAATCCAAGTGAACTGATCAAGGATGGAAAATTGTGCTTGTACTATTTATATGAACTCATGGCACTTGTTTGTCATTTTTAGGAATGTCTTTATTTCCCCCAGATTGTGTACATTTTGTGTACATGTGGTTACTGGCATATTCATGTTGCATTTAGATTAAGTGTCATATTTTATGCATATATAGTCTATTTTTCTATAAGAAATTTTCTTTAGATATAAATGAAAATAAACGGTCTTTTTAAACAAGTCATGAATTTGTTTCTGATTCCCTGAGAGCTAGTATTTGCTCCTTGTACATGGGTTTGTCTTCTATATACGTTAACGTTTTACTTGGTCCTTGCCTTTGAGTATTTGTATAGTTGTTTTGCTCATGAAATAGACAAGAAGTAACTACAAACACTGTATTAGTAAGGGATCTTCAGAGAAACAGAACAATAGGCTGTGTAAGTATATATATTTTGAGATGTAAAGAACCAGCTCACGTAATTGTGGGTGCTGGCAAATCTGAAGTCTGCAGGCAGACTGACAGGAAAAGGGCCCAAGAGTTGATGTTGCAGCTGTATGGTAAACATGCCCGATAGCAATAACTTAATCACACCCTGAGAATCGCCCTGTATGACAGACTCACCTGAATATGTGTTCCAAGCTAGAGAATCCAGGAGTGGCCAACCAGGAGATTCGTTCATTGTCTGTAAAGGACAACTGAGACCCAGGTCCATTCCATGGAACACAAGTTCTATAGGGGCTCGAGGCCCGAGTTCTGGATTGAATGAAGGTGGAAGTTGTTACGGGGAGTATACCAAGTGAAAATGCTATATAAGCTCCATGCTTTTTGCAAGCAGTTGTGGTTCTCCTGCCCAGACTGCTGCCACTGGACTCTAAGCCCCTGATTAAACTCCATGTATTGTTTGCTGGCTCTAGGTCTTTGGCCTCTTGAACCTGGCGCCAAACCCACTGGAGTCTATAGGGGTTCAGCATGACAGCAGCTCAGGTACAAAAGCAATGTGGAGCCAGACTTCGTTTTTCCTCAGTGACCTCAGTCTTTGCTCTTAAGACCTTCAAGTGACTAATGAGGCCTACCCACATTATGGGGGGGGGGGATAATTCACTTCACTCAAAATCTATTAATTTAAATATCAATCACATTCAAAAAATATCTTCACACCAACATTTATAGTGGTGTTTGACCAAAAACCTGGGTACAACGGCCTAGACAAGTTGACACCTAAAATTAACCATCACAGACACATAGAATAAAAACAGACAAAATCCGAATAAATGATGTAGACAGTAAAGGTTATTTTAGGGGGATAAAAGTAGATTTTCTTGGAAGAGAGAAACAGTATCGAAGGAACAGTAATAACAATATAGTGATCTGGAAAGCAAAAACATTTGAATAGTTGCTAGGAAGTTAAGTCAGGAATGTTCTACTGATTTATCATGTCTTCCTACTCTTTGTTTCACTATCCACTTTAAAAACCTTAAGCTAGACATATCTAATTTCCCAGGAGAAATCATTTGTAGGTAAAATGCCACCACTGCATTATTCCACTGCAATACCAAGAAAAACGCAAATACTATAGTTGGCACAGAAAAAAGTCAGTGTTATGTAGCAGCACAAACAATAGAGAGCTCTGTGTTATTAGAGCTGTAATACAGCAATAAGTTTTTAGTATTCCAGGAAAAAGGAGCTTAATCAATTGTATGGATACTGTCTTCCAGCTCAATTATTGGGAAGGAGTATCTGAAACATTAACTTATATAACTGGTTAAAATCCAGCTGGATCATGAACTGTTATTTGGGAAGCAAACTGCTGAGTTAAAACACATATGAATTATTATCTATTCTTACATTCATTTAAAGTTAAAACATTGAAATATGTCATAATGAATAAATCAATTCTGGAATTATATAGTGCTTTCAGTCAGTGATATGCTGGATATAGCTCTGGCAAGTTGGCAAGAACCAGTACATCTCTTCCCAACTCCACATTAGAAATGGCAAGTTGGTAACTTAATACTTGTGCTACAGGAAGTGACAAATGTGTTTTAACCATAGATTTATTGTTTGAGTGAAAAAATATCCATAATAGTTTAGCATTACACAATGTAATTCACACTATTTCATTATCCCTCAAGTAAATTGCTAGCAAGTAGATTCTAACAAAATGTATGCAGATATAGTTAGATCAAATTATTATTTTTAATCTGTTGTATAATTATTTGTCTGGTCTTTTTCTTTGGTTCCAAAAACTCTCAAAAGTTTCCAAGCGATAGGAATTTTTTTGTTATTTATGGTAGGCTACTTTGGCCATGCCTGAGTTTATGTTAACTACACAACTCAGAATGGGAAGTGGGCACATCAAAAAGACCAACCATGTGATTACAGGGGTAGAGCTTTGAGCAAGGTGATATCTGCCTGACCTTTGGGGAGGGAAGTGGGGATATAGATTGAGTTTAATCACAAGACCAATGATTCAATCATGCCTTTGTAATGAAATTCCAGTAAAAACTGTGGACATAGATGTTCAGGAGAGCTGTCCTGGTTAGCAATATCATGTGCATATAGCTGTACATTGATGTGCCAGGAGGGTGATTCATCTGAACTCCGTGAGCAGAGGACAAAAGGAAGGTTCAAATTTAGGACCCTTCTAGACCTTGCCCTATACATCTATTCTTTTGTCTGGTCTTGATTTTTTGCTATAATAAAACTATAATAATTAAGTATAATGATTCATTGAGTTCTGAGTCATTAGAGTGAGTTATCAAACTAGAGGGGATAATGAAAACTCCCTCCCTGAATTGGAGTCAGTTGGTCAAAAGTGTAGGTAGTCTAAAAACTCCAAGTTTGAGGCTGGTGTCTGGAGTGAGAGCAGTCTTTTGAGGGTCTCTGCCCTAAAGTAACTCATAAAGTTTGGCTTAACTTCAGGTAGTTTGTGTCAGAATTGCATTGTACATCATAGATCCAAACAAATAAAACAAAAGTTAGGAACATAATTTTAAATGAAAAGACATGTACTGTAACTTATTGCTTTTAAAACATTTTCTTTAAAGTTTTAATCGATTCACCCTATTGCAGTCTTTTTCTCTTTATTGTCTTCTATCTGACTTCAAACACCAAATATATAAAAAGGTAATAACATAAACACGTGATACGACATATAATTATCAAAGACACTCTATCTTTGGGTTACATTCATCCTTGGGTTACTGTCTCAAAGAGGAAGAAAAATTGTATTTTGTTCATGACTAATGACTAAATAGAGATTATTTATGAAATAACAGATGGAATATAGCAGAGACTACAAGATAAAGTGTACCCTCTTTTATTTTTATTTTTATATTTCTCCCTCTCCCTCACACTTCTATTTTGAATTTTTGTCTTTCCTATTTTTTTCTATGCATCTCCAAGAAACAAACCACATTACTAAAAATCACTATATATTAATTAAATAATTATTCCATTAAATTTAAAAATGTTATCTTAAAAAGTTAGAGGTAGGATAGTAATAGATATTTTTAAGCAAAATGATATTAAAGGCAAACATAACCAATTCTTATACCTTAAATATAATTTAATTCATCTGCAATTACCATTCATTTATAGATAAAACAGTAATGCTGGATGCTAAAAGACTTGCCCAAAATCGCAACACAATGGCTGAGTCAGCTTATAAAACAATGAGGTGATGGTGTTTAGATTTTAGTCTTTGTGTATTATCAAATTGAAACTGAGGAATGGGAAAACAATGACAAGGAACATCAGAAATCACGAAACAATAAATAGTAGCTGGGTAGTGTATTTACTGAAAACTTTAAGAGAAAGAGAAATCTCAGAAGGGGTTGGTTATGCTATGCTTGTGTTTTTGGCATCATTCCCTACAAAATATTAGCACAAGTCATCTCAAATCCTTGGCAACTTTTTCTTCTTTAAAAACAATAAAAACTGTCAGAATACTAACCCATACCCAGATAGTCTGGCTCACTGGGTTTGGGGTGAAACACAGACATCTACGTTTTTAAATTCTGATTTTTAATTGAAACAAGATTCTAAACCATAATCTAGAATAGATTTGTGCAATAGAAATTTTCTATGATAATAAAATATTCTATGTCTGTGCTGTCCAAAACAGTAGTTACCAGTTCCATGTGATTATTGAGCACTTGACATAGGACTAGTGAAGCTAATGAATTGATTTTTAAATTGAATTTAATTTTTTAATTAATTTAGACTTAAATTATGCAGTACTCTTCGTACTCTATTACACAGAGCACTATAAAAGATAGAAGACTTTTTATTATCAGGAAAAGCACGTGCAAAGGAACAGAGATGCAAACAAGCACAGCCTAAGTGTATGAGAAAGATTCAAATATGTCAAGCAAAATGTAAAGGCTAAGGTGTTGTCTGATTAAAAATGGAATAAAACTCAGTCTGTATCTAATGTATATTGAACAAACACTTGGGAAGAACCCAACAGAAGAATGTTTGCAGTATACACCAAAGAGTAATTAAAGAGAACTTATCCAAAGGAAGGAATGCCCACCATGTTGAATTTGTCCTAGAACTTCTCTGTCAGTTCATAGAAGGGAATATAAATTCTCTAGCCCATGGATACATATCTGGGTCCCTGATACAAAAGGCACCAAAAAGTACTTTATCTGCGTCTATATAAACTTAGAATACAAACAGTACTCTGAGAATTAAATAATATGGAAACTACTGTGATTTTTATCGCCTTTCCTGGAGATACGCTCAGAAAAGATAAATGGTTGAACTATGGCAATATAGTTTGGGGATAATTTAGGATTATTTCATTTGTAAGACACACACACACATGCACACACAAATCCTACTTTAATTTAGTATTAAAAACAAAATTGATTTACATAATTAAAAATATTTTAGTTGAAAAACTTTCATACATAATTTATTAGGAAGAATAAAACAATATTATAAAAAATTTATCTTTCGCTGTGGCTTGTCTCTGCTTTCTTCAGAATTACCTTCACTCTCTGCCACCAGCAGTAGATTCAGGCTATTGTTTCACCATGTTCTCACTCAGCTGAAATGAGAATGTATCTATTCACAATTTCTAGCAAAAGCCCCAGGATTAGAACTTAATTAACTCTGATTAGGTCATATGACTATATGGATAAACGGATTTAAAAATCAAGTGCATATATACATATACACAACATAATATTATCCAGCCTTTAAAAATAAGGAAATCCTGCCATTTGCAACAACATGGTTGAAGCTGGAGGCTGTTATGCTAAGTCAAATAAGCCAGACATAGACAAATACTATTTGATCTTGCTTATATGTGGAATCCTTAAAAAGTCAAATATATAGAAACAGTAGAAATGTGGTTATCAGAGGCAAGGAAGGGGAGAGAGTGGAAAGATGTAGGTCAAAAGGTACAAACTTGCAGATGTGTAGAATAAAGGAGTCTAAAGATCCAATGTACAGCAGGAGGACTATAGTTAATAATATATTATCCTCCAAAAACTTGCCGAAAGAATAGATTTTAGATGCTCTTACCATGCACATGGACAAAATACAACTATATGAAATGACTAATATTTGAATTTCTTGACTATAATAAATATTTCTTCATGTATATGTATACCAGATCATGTTGTGCACCTTACATATATACAATAAAAAATAAAAATACATATATATGCTTATAAATAAATCTATCACTTTGGCACTGGTGTTTGTTGTCCTGAGGTGCTCACCTCTAAAGGTACAAATGAAATCAGCCCCTCCAAAATCATATGGACTTAGAGTTAGAGAAGGGTGGTTCCTCAAGAAAACTAAAGAGAGAATAATAGACAGCACTGAATTCTGTCATTGGAGAGCCCAATGCAATAAAAAAGAATGAAATCCAGGTGGGTTGGAAGAATGGCAGGAAAAGCTGTGATGTCAATCAGAACTGCATACATTATTGGTGGCCTCTGGTAGAAATACTTGTTCATGAACACTGACGAAACATACTGCTGAACATACTGATGAACAGTTGTGAAACAATGGGAGAGTTGAAGATTTTGCATTAGTATTATAACAAATGGAAGCAAAGAGCCAGTAAAACTTGGTTCTTACTATTAATGAGATCTCATTACACTATGTATCAGCAAGTAGTAGCAAATTTCAGATGATAAAAGCAAGTGGTAGTATGTAGGGAATATGCTTGGGGCAATTTTCAACACATGGCTAGACCATGAAGGAAGATAATAAATAACATATTGACAATATAGGAGGTAAATATTGTTAGCCAAGTTGAGGTTGTTTCTTTGATTACTACATATGTATGTGCATACATTTTTCATTTGAATTTTTAAAAATAATTATATATATTCATATTTAATTAATTTTAAAACTGTTAGAGGTAGGGCTTATTCTCCCTAATGTAAAGAAAAGGAAACTTATAAATGTTAAGTCTCTTACAGCAGCGTGGTCTTGTAATTCAAAATCCTATCTATATTTTAGTTAGCATCACTAATGTTATAGGTTACTATAGGATTTAAATGATTTGTAGAACAGAAATTAATAAATTTTATCACCAATTTATGTAAAATAGATTAAAATAGAAACACTCTGGCATAAGTTATTTATGAAGAGTTTTGTAACAGTACAGATTTTTAGGAAATATATTCTAAGGCATAAAAAATGTGATGAGAGACAGGTAGATAGATATAGAGAGGAGAGAGAGAGAGAAATAGATGGTGAGAGAGCTCAACTCTTATAGGAAATAAGTAAAAAAGGAGGAATACATGAGTTATGAAAGGAAATATCCCAAGAATGGTGATTGTATTTATCATCAGAGATGAAGAAAGAAAGGGTCTATTAATAATACATAGACACCAAAGAGAGATAGGGTGGACAGATATCTATACATTTGTATTTGTTATTGAGTGTGTGAAAGTGTGTGAGTAGTGTGTGTGTTGGGTGTGTATGTGCGTGTGTGTGTGTAGATGCACAGATATATATTTATTTTCCATTTGGTTAATAGTAAATGAATTACATACTATCCTAATATTTTAGACCAAGAAACTGAGTCAGAGATATTAAGTAATGACCCATTGTCACAGTGGGTTATAGATCTGAGATTAGAATTTGAATAGTCTGATTTTCAAATATACAAATATTTTCTAACATAAAAACTAGAGTATGAATTTGATATATCTATAATAATTTTGATTAATGTGGAGCCAGCACCAAATTTAATTTAAATAATACGTTTCATGATCATACCATATTCTTCAAGTCCTGGACAATATGTGACTGATAGATTATTTAACGAATATCTAACAGGAAACTACGTTTTAAATATAATTTTAACTTTTATTTTAGATTCAGGGGACACGTGTGCAGATTTGTTACGTGATATATTATGTGCTACTGACATTTGGGATATGAATGATACTGTCACCCAGGTAGTGAGCATAATACTCAACAGTTAGGTTTTATTCATTTATTTATTTTTATTTTATTTTAGTTTTTTTTTAGATGAAATGTTGCTCTGTCACCCAGGCTAGAGTACAGTGGCAACATCTAGGCTCACTGCAACCACTGCCTACCAGGTTCAAGCAATTCTCTTGCCTCAGCCTCCTGAGTAGGTGGATTACAGGCACATACCACCATGGCCGGCTAATTTTTGTATTTTCAGTAGAGATGGGGTTTTGCCATGTTGGCCAGGGTGGTCTCAAACTCCTGACCTCAGTGATCCATCTGCCTCGGCCTCCCAAAGTGCTGGTACTACAGGCATGAGCCACTATGGCTGACCAACAGTTAGTTTTTAAATCTTTGCCCACTTACTTCTTCCCCCTTTTAATAGTCGTCAGTGTCTATTGTTCCCATCTTTATATCCATTTGTACCAAATATTTAGCTCCCACTTATGAGTGACAACATGGAATGTATGGTTTTCTGTTCCTGCATTAATTCATTTAGGATAAAGGCCTCCAGCTGCATCCATGTTGCTGCAAAGATATTATTTCATTCTTTTTGATGGTTGCATAGTATTCTGTGGTGTATATGTAGCACATTTTCTTTATCCAATCCACCCATTGATGGGCACCTAGGTTGGTTCCATGTCTTTACTATTGTGAATAGCACAGGGATGAACATACAAATACATGGGTCTTTTAAGTAGAATGGTTTATTTTTTTGTGGGCATATATATTGAGTAATGGGATTGATGGGTCAAATGGTAATTCTATTTTTAGTTCTTTGAAATATCTCTGCACTGCTTACCATAGTGGCTGAGATAATTTACTTTCCACCAACAGTGTATAAAGCATAACTTTTTTCTATGCAACCTCACTAGCATCTGTTATTTTGTGTGTTTTTAATAATAGCTATTCTGACTGGTATGAGATTGTGTCTCACTGTGGTTTTGATTTGGATTTCTCTGATGATTAGTGATGTGGAGCATTTTTTCATATGTTTGTTGGCTGCCTGCAGGTCTTTGAGGAGTGTTTAATGGGGTTGTTTTTGCTGGTTGAATTGTTTAATTTCCTTATGGATATGTATATTACATCTTTGTCAGATGGATAGTTTGCAAATGTTTTTCCCATTCTGTAGGTTGTCTGCTTACTTTGTTGATAGTTTATTTTGCTGTACAGAAGTTCTTTAGTCTATTTAGGTCCCACTTGTCAATTTTTGCTTTTGCTGCAATTGCTTTTGAGGACTTAGTCAAAAAATCTTTCCTAAGACCAATGTCCCAAAGAATATTTTCTAGGTTTTCTTCTCAGATTCTTGTAGTTTGTGTTCTTACCTTTCAACTCTTAATTCATCTTGAGTTAATGTTCGTTATGGTGAAAAGTAGTAGTCCATTTTCAATCTTCTGCATATGGTTCGCCAGATATCTCAGCATCATTTATTCAATAAGGAATCGATTTCCCATTGCTTGCTATTATCAACTTTGTCAAAGATCAGATGGTTGTAGATGTCAAAGATCAGATGGTTGTAGATGTGAGGCTTTATTTCTGGGTTCTCTGTTCTGCTCCATTGGTCTATGTGTCTGTTTCTGTACAAACACCATGTTGTTTTGGTTACTGTAGCCTTAGAGCATAGTTTAAAGTCAGGTAATGTGATATGTCTAGCTTTGTTCTTTTGCTTAGGATTGTTTGGGCTACTTGGGGTGTTTGTTCCATATGAACCTTAGAGTAGTATTTTTCTAATTCTGTGAAAAATGACATTGGTACTTTGATAGGAATAGCATTGTATCAGTAGACTGCTTTTGGAAGTATGGCCATTTTAGCAATATTGATTTTTTCAATCCATGAGCATGAAATCCTTTTTCATTTGTTTGTGCCCTCTATGATTTCTCTTTTTTAGTTATCGTTGTAGGGATCTGTCATCTCCTTGGTTATATGTATTCCTACATAATTTCTTGTGTGTGTGTTTGCATATTGTGAATGGTATTGCACTCTTGATTTGACTCTCAGCTTGAATAATGTTGGTGTATAAAAATCTGACCGGGCGCGGTGGCTCACGCCTGTATTCCCAGCACTTTGGAAGGCCAAGGTGGGTGGATCACCTGAGGTCAGGAATTTGAGACCAGCCTGACCAACATGGAGAAAACCCATCTCTACAAAATACAAAATTAGCTGGGTGTGGTGGCACATGCCTGTAATCCCAGCTATTCTGGAATCTGAGGCAGGAGAATCGCTTGAACCCAGGAGAGCTGACATAGCGCCATTGCACTCCAGCCTGGGCAACAAGAGTGAAACTCTGCCTCAAAAAAAAAAAAAAAAAACCTACTTATTTTTGTAAATTGATTTTGTATCCTGAAACTTTACTGAGGTTCTTTATCATTTCAGGAGACTTTTAGTGAACGTTTTCAAGATTTCTAGTTATTGAGTTACGTCATCTGCTAGAGGAGATAGTTTATAAATCTTGGTGTTCCAATATTGGGTGCTTATTTATTTAGGATAGTTAATTCTTCTTGTTGAATTGAATTCTTTATCATTATGTAATGCCTTTTGACATTTTTCACTGTTGTTGGTTTAAAGCAAGTTTTTCCAACCTGTGGCCCACAGGCTGCATGTAGCCCAGGACAGCTTGAATGTAACCAAATACAAATTTGTAAATTTTCCTAAAACCTGAGGGGTTTTTTTTTTTGCAATTTTTTTTAGTTTATTAGCTATTGTTAGTGTTAATGTATTTTATGTGTGACCCAAGACAATTATTATCCCAATTGTCTTGGCAGAAGATTTACAAAACAACTATTTTTAGGCCTACAATAGGACTTAGTTGGCCACACAATACTAGTTGGGGATGTCAACACCCCACTGACATTATTAACCAGATCACTGAGGCAGAAAACTAACAAATTTTGGACTTAAACACTTGACCAATTAAATTTAATAGACATCTACAGAATACTCCACTCATTAACCACATAATATACATTCTTCTCATCTGCACAGAGAATACACTCCCAAGATCAACCACTTGCTTAACCATAAATCAAGTCCCAAAAGATCGGGCACCCCTCGTTTAAAGTCTGTTTTATCAGATGTAAGAATAGCAACCTCTGCTCTTTTTTGGTTTCTATTTTCATGACAGATCTTTCTCCAACCCTTTACTTTGATCCTATGGTTGTCGTTACATGTGAGATGGGTGTCTCGAAGAGAGCAGATACATGGGTCTTGTTTTTTATCAAACTTGCAACTCTGTATCTTTTAAGTGGGGTGTTTAGAGTGCTAACATTCGAGGTTAATATTGATATGTGAGGTTTTGACACTATCATGAAGTTGTTAACTGGTTGCTTTGTAGTTTCTATTATGTGGTTGCTTTATAGGGTTTGTGGGTTATGTACTTAAGTGTGTTCTGTGGTAGCATGTATAGTCCTTTTTTCCACGTTTATAACTCTCTTAATGAGAGTGTAATCTTCTTAATGAAGACTGGTCTAGTGGTCACTCATTCCCCTAGTTTTTGTTTGTCTGGGAAATATTTTATTTCTCCTTCACTAATGAGGCTTAGTTTGGTTGGATATGAAAATCTTGGTTGGAATTTGTTTTCTTTAAGAATGCTAAAAATAGGCTCCCAGCCTCTCTTGGCTTGTAAAGTTTCTGCCAAGAAGTCCACTCTTAGCCTGATAGGGTTTCCTTTGTACATTATCTGACGTTTTTCTCTAGTTTCCTTTAAGATTTTTTTTCTTTAGCATTAACTGTTGCTTTGGTGCTATTCATTTTGTATAGTATCTCGTAGGTGTACTCTGGATTTCTTGTATCCGGAAGTCCACATCTCCAGCAAGATTAGGAAAGTTTACTTGAATTATTCCCTCAAATATATTTTCTAGGTGGTTTACTTTTCCTTCTCTCTCAGAAATGCCAGTAATTCATAGATTTGATCTCTTTACCTTATCCCACATTTCTCACTTTGTTCATTTCTTAAATTCTTCATTATTATTATTATTTTTATCAGGCTCGATTAGTTTGAAAGACTAGTTTTCCAGGTCTAAAATCTTTTCTTCTGCTTGGTCCAGTATATTGGCAAAGATTTCAGTTGTATTTAGAAATTTAAGTGAGTTTTTCAACTCTAGAAAATCAGATTTATTATTTGTTTATCTCTTCTTTCATTTCCTGGATTAATTTACAATTGTCTTTGTGTTTATTTTCAACCTTGCCTTCAGTCTCATTGAAATTCCTTGCAATCCATGGTTTGATTTCCTTATCAGTCATTTTTGGGTTTCCATTATAGTTAGGGACCATTGCTGGAGAGCTAGTCTGATCCTTTGGTGGTGTCACTATATTCAGATCTTTCAAAGTGCCAGAATATATGTACCGTTTCCTTATCATGTAGAGATACTGATTCTTCTGATTTTTGTAATTATTTTTGTGCAGGTAGATTTTTTTCTTTTTTCTTTCCCTACAATATTATTGTTTTTTCTTCTCCTTTTCTTTTCCTCTCCTCTCTAGGGCATATGACTGTGTAGAATGTTGTGTAGGGTATTTTGGCTTCACTTCTATAACCCTAGGTACATTTTTCAGCAGGTTTTATATTGAGCTGTGCTGTTTGACCTATAAGCCAGTAGATGGTGTTTATGGGTTAGAGTTAGCTGTGGCTAGAGTGACTGGGTGTATACTTTATACTTGTTTATCAGAAGACACTGTCTGTTGCCTCAGGCAATGGGCTGATCCCTGGAGTGCACATTGGTCTGAACTCCCTGGTTAGGCCTGTGGGAGAGCAGGCGGCAAGGTGAGCAGGGCCAGACCGGGCAGGCCCACCGACAGATCCCCTGATGGCATGCACAAACACCAACCCTGAGGGAAATCCAGTAGGTGACCACTAAGCACTCAGAGGTGTGCCTAGGCATGGAACTGGGAAACCTCCTCAGCCCCAAGTTCTCTGCATGGGCAGAGAAGCTCACAGAGTTGATACTCATAGCCTAAACTCCTAATGCAGGAGAGTGGGTACTCCGGATCCCTGGAGATCTGCCAGGGAATTGAGTGTAGAAAGCCCTGCTGCACCACAGTTTCCTCACAGGAAGGGTGGGACACCGAAGGCTGCTGTTACAGGCAAGCAGGTACTCCAACTGTCTAGAAATCTACTTGGGTGCAAAGTTGAGAAAGCCCTGCTCCACCATAATCTCTGCACAAGTAGGACGGGGCAGCTCAGGCTGGTAATCCAGGTGAGCATGTCCTCTGACTGCCTGGGGATATGCCTGATTGTGGAATAGAGAGGGCCCTGTTGCACCACAATCTATGCTCAGGAAGGGTGGGACAGCTCAGGCTGCTCCATCAGGTGAGCAGGTAATTTGAATGCCTGGAGATCTACCTGAATGTGAAGCAGAGAGGGCTTCCTTATACCAGCTACTCTGCACGTGAAAGGTGGGGCACCTCAGATTGCTCGTTCATGTAAGTGGGTACTCTGAATACCTGGAGTTCTTCCTCGGGATGGTGCATAGAGGGGCCGTTGCATCATCATCTCAGGGGAGCAGGCTGAGATACCCAGCACTGACACATGCAGACCAGTTCCAGGTCACCAAACTGTCCCTGACTGCAAGCCTTGTCACCCAGGAGAAACTGTACCTATAGCAGCTCTCCTGCTGCCCCAGGCTGCAATGGAGGAGAGTGCTACTTAGGCAGTTTCCAAAATTTTGGCTGTGGAGGGCCCTACCCCTCCAGAGCAAGCCCTCCAGTCTCTGGCCTGAGAAAAAATCCGTGCATGGTCATGCTGCTGGGTTGCCAAACAATGGCTTACTTTGTGCCTGGATGAAAAATGGCATCCTGCTCTTGATCTCAGGTCTGGGAAAATGCCTGTAACTTTTCCCAGTGTCTTTCCCTCTCAGAGCCTCCAAGCCCCTCCCCAGGTGAGCTCCAGGGGTTAGGAGAAATATAGTGCTCTTCTCAGCCCAGGTTGCTCATATCCTCATAGAAAAGGTGAGTCACAGAGAGAGGCTCTTTGCCTTTCTTATGTCCTGGGGATTCCCTCACTTTTATTAGCTGGATGCCATCATGGGGGCTATTTGCCCGTGTTCTCCTCCCTGGAATCTGGAGTGTCCTTCACAAATTCAGTGGATTCACATTTTGTTTCTTGAACTCACAGAGTTGATACTTATGCACTCTTTTGCTATTTCCAAATGACTGGGGCATGATAAAACCCTCTAATCTTCCATCTTAGAGGAAAAAAAAAAGAAATAATTTTAAATTATCACTGTGTTGGTTTTTATTTGTTTAAAAAATTACATTTTAGAGCAATTCATTTTCTATTTTGAGTTTACCATTTTAAAAAATATCTACAGCATGTAGGAATAAATGGAATAAAACTCCCCAATGCTTTTACCATTAATTTCTGTTTTTAGAACTTCTGAGAAAAATCCAGTTTTCTAGGTCTATGATACACAATGCTGATTTTCATCTAAAGTATTGTCACCTAGCTATTTTGAGCTACTTTCTTTTTGTGCTGTTGGTAGCAACAAAGAAATACTAAAGTAAGCATGCCAAGGAAAGGAACTGGGAGATAGTAATGGAGACTGGAAGCAGAGAATTTCCTTAAGAGGATCAGAAAAATATGAAAAAACGTTTCTCTCAAATTACTTTAGCTTAGGGAAATCTTGAAGGCAAGTATCAGTAAAACCTTTAACATATAAAAGGCAAGTTGAAAAAGAAACATCTTTATCACTAACATACTCTAAATGAACTTTAGATGCATCTCCTTACTCTCTGCTACGGTTTAAATGTTTATGTTCACGCCAAAATTCATGTTGAAACTTAATCTTCATTGTGGTGGTATTAAGAATAGAGTCTTTTGGGAAGTGATTAAGCCATGAGGGCTCTGCCCTCATTGATAGAGTAGTGACTTATAAAAGAACTAGAAGAAACTAGTTTAGGCCCTTTGTCCCTCTACCTTCTGCCATGTGAGGATGAAGACACCTTCAATGGAGCAGGCCCTCACCAGGCACACCGAACCTGATGATGCCTTGATCTTGGACTTCCCAGTTTCCAGAACTGTGAGAAATGTCTGTTCTTTATAAATTACTGCCTTAGGTATTTTGTTATAGCAGTATAAACAGACTACAACACCCTCATTGAAGGTACTTTTGCTTCAGTCTGTTTCTTACAAAGCAAGATATAATACCTTTCATTTATATGGAATTTTTAAAGTAGTTTGATTCACAGTATAGCTATGTTTTACTCATTTGTTCTTCTAAATCATTCCATTATATTCTGCTTTTTATAGAAATTAAGCAGAAGAGTAAAATTTGTGTTTATATAGACAAACTGAATATGGAAGACAGGGGATGCGAATACTGCACGAGAGAAACAAATGGACAAGCACTTTTTGCATTTTATTTGTGGTAAATGTTCTGATTTCACAAATTACTTTTACTTTTGCAAGTCCTTCTCTGTACACTAGATGTGACATCTACTCATTTAAAATGCATTTTAAAAGCACCTTTATCACTTATATAATTTAAGTCATATATTTTATGACTTATAAAATCTGTAAAGCTATACAACAAATTTAAGTGTTATGGGGAAATGCCATATATGTACACCAATAGCTCTGATACAAGGCACTGTGAAATGTCATACGTGTGTTACTAAACAAAAACATAAGTAAAATCATCACCAGCTAGTTATAATATGGAAGGTGTCATATAATGGTTGACTTCTCAATAGGACTTGAAATATTGGTAGAATTTAAAAAGACAAAGATACATTTTAATTCAGGTAATGAAGAGATACCATTCTATCCGGAATTTAGTGTGCACCCTACTATGGTTTAAAAATGACTCTAGCCTTCTGCTTTCAAAGCCTAACTAGTAGCTGTGCATTTAATTTATATCCTAACAGACAAAATTAATTGCTGTGCTTTGCCAAGTTCAAAAAGATTTTCCTTTTATTTAGCTCTCAAGTGGAAATATTAACCTACTGTAGGAATCACTACCTTTCTTTGTAAATGGGGATAAAAATGTGCAATTAACTTCAGACATTTTCTTAGAAACCTGGAATCCTACTGGGCAATTTCAAGGCAGCAATTGCTTGATGATATATTTCTTCTCACCTGACTTTTAGCTCCTAAAAACATTATTGGAGCTTTTCATGTCTGTAAGTGGAAAGGCATGTCTCTGTTAGAAAGACTATTAATGCAGGCCCTAAGTAGAGAGGTTATTTAACGTTCAAGGAATTGGAGATGTTCATAAGCCAGTTCAGAAGATCATCCTACTATTGAGATGGCCCCACAGATTTTGAGTTAATAGGAAGTACTGGATCAAAGTTTAGAGAGCTGATTAAGAGCAGGACTGAAGCAAGATCACTCTCGAGAAAGTTCCCAGAAAAATAATTTAAAAAGAAAATGCACACTTTTTATAGTCTCAAATTCTGCCTTAAATTTCAGTTTAGAAACACTAGCTACTATTATTTTTAATATTTGTTTATAATATGTGTTTTCTCAGTGAAGTTATTAAAATGTACGTTTGAATTCAGGATAATTAAGATTGTATTGATTTAGTTCATCTGCTAATTGACTGAAAAACTGATTACTGCTGCCAATACTTTGAGGTGATACCTGTGCCCCATTTCCTTGAATCTGAACTGATTGGCTTGTAACCATTAGAATGCAGCAAAAGTGACACTATTTAACTATCAATGATAGGTCAGAAAAGTCTATATAACTTTCATCTTGGATTAAAATTATGAATTTTGGGTGAAAATATCACAACTTTTTGGAATCATTGCTCTCTGTTTGCCCTCAGAGTCAGTCACCATCCTGTGAGAAGCCCAAGCTATGTGGAAAAACCATGTATATAAGCACTCCAGTCTACATCCCAGGTTGAACACAGCATTCGATCATTCCAGCCCAGTTGCCACATATGTGAGTGAAGGAGTGTTCAGATAATTTCAGCCCACAGGCTATAAGTGAACCCCAGGCTTCAATGTTCTTGCCTGAGTCCTCAGACATCTTAAAGTACAGACAACCATTCCTGCCATGACTATACCATTCTGTTCAAATTCCTGAACATCATTTTTAAGTATAACACCATGGATATCTTATGCCACAAAATTTTGGTGTGTTTGCAACACAGCAATCATGACTGAGACAATCTTTGTCCAATATTCTTTCAATAAGAGTAGGAGAAACCTATTTATACACAGTCTAAGCTCTGTTACATTACAATTGTGGTTTAATGCTATCGCTGTTTAACTTTTATCCTGTTTCTTTAGTCAGAGTGTTAAGTTCTAGCTATATTAGTTTCTTCTTGTATTGATATAAAGAAGTAACTGAGACTGGGTAATTTATAAAGAAAAGATGTTTAATTGGCTCACAATTTTGCAGGCTGTACAGAAGGCATAACAGCATCTGCTCAGCTTCGATTGAGGCCAGGGAACTTTCAATCATGGCAGAAGGCAAAGTGGGAAAAGCATTTCATGTGGTCAGAGCAGGAAGAAGGGAGAGGACTGAGATGCTGCATACTTTTAAACAACCAAATCTCGTAAGAACTCGCTCACTATTGTGATGACAATACCATGTGGGATGGTGCAAAACCATTCATGAGAAACTGCCCCTATGATCCAATCACTTCCCACCAGGCCCCACTGCCAACACTGGGAATTACAATTCAACATGAGATTTGGTGGGGACACAAGTCCAAAACGTATCATAAACTTCACCATACTTTTATTCACACAAATTGAACAATGTGAAATGTTTCTTTTTCCTAGGATCTGAGATACTCAGCTATATATTGTGTCTTACCCATTCTTTCCTGTGGTGAAAGCAGGCCAACAAACATGACTTTATCCCAATAAATTTTCTGATTATTATAGAACCCTGTGCCAGTGCACAGGCAATCTCAGGGGTTTTAGTAAGATAAGGTTCTCCAAAATCAAGAGGTTGGTTTTGGGGAGCTAGGTCCACCTTTGATTTGCATAGCCATCGTTCTCCTACTTTACTAATTATACCAGCCTTAAGGAACACATGTATGTATATCAGAACTGTTTTTTACATTTGGATTCATATAAATACGTATTTCTATGTATTACAATGCATTGGCATTATATATTTGTTTTGAAATATTTAAATGAAGAAAATATCTGGTGCCCAGAGCATCTGCAATGATAATCTGCCTGACAGAGAGGAGAGAAAAGTGATACAAAAGGGAGAACTGGGGTGATGTGACTCAGAGTCCTAGCTCTCTTTCAGTTTAGGGATGATGCTACATTTCCAGAGATAAAGACCACATGGAATTGGTTCCTGAGGATCATTTTGCTAAACTGTAAAAAGAAAGTTTTCCTTTGCTGACTTCTTGGTTTCAATTGATCTCAGATCTAACAAAGTGTCTTCATCTCTAACTATGTGGTAGGCACAGAACTTGAGCTTAGAAGTAAAATGATATAAAATAATGAGAGCTGTGTCTTAACTTTGCAAGGCAGTAAGAGACAGAGTGGACTAATTGTACAATTTTAGTATAGGATGGTAAGTAATTTGAAGTGTGTGTGTGTGTGGTGTGTGTGTGTGTGTGTGTGTGTGTGTGTGTGTGTGATTATGTACCTGTGTCTGTGTGTGTTCTCACCTCCAGCAATAGAGTAGAATAATCTACCCGTAAGGATCAAAATTATTTGCAGGAGTACGTTTCTCCTTGTCAAAATTGTTGGCTCAGACAAGTATAGTATGCTTAACTGTTTTTTCTTCCTAATGAGTAGTTGTAGACACTATAATCTTCTAACAGGTGGTATTTGCAAATTCTTGTCCACACTTGTTCCTGCTCCTGGTGAGATGTCTCTGTTCTCACTTTTCTTCCCTGGCCTGCCCATATTGCGATAAGGCTTTGGTTACCCAATTCTTTTACATGTTACAGGAACTAATGCAGTAAATAGGCTGACAGAAAGTTCACTGTATTTACTAAAATCAGCTCTGTCCTGCTGTTAATGAACATCGATGCAGGAAATAAACTGATTAAAATTGTTTTGCTGGTGAATCAAGAAATAAGCTATTTAAAGACAGACATTACTTTAGCACCAAGAGCTTGCAAATTTGGAGTTTGGGTTTTTCACATTAACATAATGTAAACAGCTAGCTGGATTAAAAATGACCTGTCACACTCACAAACTATTCAGAGGAACAGCATGATTACATGAAATTATGATGACTTGTTTTCTCCATTACCAAACAACTCTGAAATGTAGTATTTTTAAAAGAATATTATATGAACATAATGGGAATAGTTTCTGTGAAAGATCCTTGCCTTGTGTTCATTACGTTTCCATATTATTAGCAGTTGTTTCTAGTTAGAAGGCAAATTGAAATTAGTTTATTCTGTTTGAGGGTGGGAGCAACCTACTGTTCTAAATAATTGACTGTAAAATAGTATGTGGCTATACGTACAAAATGATAAATCTATATAGCAAGCACTAACTGGAGTGCTTGAAACCATTACTGTTATTTGCCAATCTGAAAATAATTTTCTTTGTTCTATTCATTGGGGAAAATCTAGAAATAAACATAAGCACAATTTGAAAACCATCAAAAAAAAAGCTATGACTTTCATTAGTGTCATCATTCTAGGGGAAGATAAATGTTCTTCACACAACTTAACTGGATGTATACATTTTTACAACACTTGAATGTATTCCAGGTGATTAAAAACAAAATACAAAATAAGAATGCAAATTTGGCCGGGCACGGTGGCTCCTGCCTGTAATCCCAGCACTTTGGGAGGCCGAGGCAGGTTGGATCACGAGATCAGGAGATCGAGACCATCCTTGCTAACATGGTGAAACCCCGTCTTTACTAAAAACATACCAAAAAAAAAAATTGGCCAGGCATGGTGGCAGATGCCTGTAGTCCCAGCTACTCAGGAGGCTGAGGCAGGAGAATGGTGTGAACCTGGGGGGCGGAGCTTGCAGTGAGCAGAGATTGCACCACTGCACTCCAGCCTGGGCAACACAGTGAGACTCCGTCTCAAAAAAAAAAAAAAGGGAATGCAAATTTAATGAACAATATTGCATAATCTCCATTATGTGCAATATACTGCATTGTACATAAGCATAAAGATGAATACAATACAAAGCAAAATATAGAATGACTTACAAAGGAAACACATTGTTAACAATAGTCAGGAAAGGATGAATAAATGTCTGAGAGAACAAAGTCAGAAAGTCTCAATGATGAAAATAGCATGTATTTGAGATGGGGGCTTGTGGGACATTGGAAGTTAACAAATAATGGTGTGAGACGTTCCATTATTGAATTTATTCTATTTACAATTGTATTTAATTAATCAAAAAATATATACTGGGCCTCTGTTGGGTTAATGCAGTCATGCTATTTCTAAAGGATATCAATGAAATATATAACATGTTTCACAATCTAGCAGAGAAAATAAGTCATATGCAGAAATAACACATGCTAAAGAACACAAAATAAAAACTATAAGAATTCAGAACAGGAAAGTTTACTTTCTATTGCAGATGCCAGAGAAATATTGTGGAGGAAGTGGAACTTGACCTACACTTCAAAGGAGGATTTGAATTTGAGCAATTTGAGCAAGTGCTTTGCTTCTTGGTCTTCTTCTTCTCCTTCTCCCCTCCTCCTCTTCCTCTTTCCCAATTTTTGGAGAAGTATAGAATGAGGAAAATATCATATACAATTATCTACCATCAAACAAGTATTTTCCACTGAATATCATATATCTATTTCTCTGTCATTTTTCACTACTTGTCAGTGGTATCTTTGAAGGTAGAAAAATATTTTATTCACCTATAGATTCTTCGTGCTAAACAAAATGCCAACACATGGTAGACCCTCAAAAAAGACTGTGCAGTCAATGAAGGACAAAATAATTAATGCCAAGGGGCAGCAAAGTGGGAGATGTGTTTATGCACTTGGATAAAAACTGTTTGAAATTGGCAAAGAATGCTATTTTGCCATAAGATTTAAAATAAAGCATGCTCTATTTATAATAATTCTGACAGGCAACAAGGAACATTGAGATTTCCTCCCTACATAATGATGGATTATACAGTATTGACATTATTTCCTCCAATCTGCTTCATTTCACCTATTTATAGACCATATGTTATTGTATAACATAGGTGTGCTACCAAAGTATGTGCTTGTATAGCATACCATATGTACATATGTGCATTTTACCATATAACATAGGTATGTGCATATACATAGCATTATAAAGTCATGTCAATAAAGTCATGAGATACAAGAAAATGAACTCATTTGGATAAGTCCCAATTTATTATTGCATGATAGAAAAGGACTAAAAGTAATGGTTAAGACTTAAGCACACAGAGTTTAAAATTAGACAGAATCGTGAATTATCCTTGTTCTATCACTGTTTGCTACTTAAGCTCTCTAAACCTCAATTTTCTCACCTGTAAAATGGGGTTCAAAAAGTACCTACTTCATAATTTTGTTATAATCATTAAATGAGATAACCCATTTAAATGCATAACACAGTATAAAGGGCATACTCGATAGTCAGATATAGGAATGGGATTTCTTCATCACTGTAATTTATAAGGTGCTTTCTGTATACCAGTTCCATCACCATTGACTAAGCATTACCTTAGATGTAAATTATTTTAGGAAAAAATCTGAGTCTAAGTGTAGAATAAATGATTATACAGAAATAAAATTAAAATGAGGGAATGCTATTGATATGATTGACAAAATATCGTCCTTTGCAGCTGTCCTTTAAAACTCTTTCAGTGGAAAGAAGTGCAGAAGAAGAAAAGAATGTTCATTGCTAAGTTAATGCTGTTTTAGGTTCTTTCTGTTGCTGCTACCCTCAATAGATACAATAAACTTAGAAAAGGTTTTTAACTCAGAGGCTAATACAGTAGGAGATTATCAGAACAGGAACTGAGTCTGTGGTTGTTGAACCCTGTACTGAGGACCCAGATAAATACCTTATGAAGATTACCTGTTGTTTGACATTACCTATTTTAAGATTTTTGCATTACTACATCACAACATCAACTTTTCAAAAAGTGGTCCTCTTAGCAGGGAGACTAGCAGAGCAACAAATGTGGCCCCAAATAGTTTTTCATTAATCATCTTTTATTACTATACTTTCTCTATATCTTGTTATTAGGGAAATGTGGAAAACCTATAGACATTTAGGATTTTGTGAAAAGAAGAATGGCAGGTAACAATAATCAGGAACCTCATTCATAACACAGCTAATCTAACTAGCCCTACAGAATCTGTCAACGAGGAGCTCAGAATTTAATGGGGAACAAACATTAAAAGACAATAAAAATATAAATATTTATTTGAAATTTGAATTTTAAACTGATTACTTTGCAGGGAATATGCAGTCTCTAATAAGATGTGATGTGATAGTTGTATGCGCTTTTTAAAATAAAAGCTCTCACATCAATTTACAGGATGCCAAACAACTTAATAAAAATCTGACAAAACAAAATCTAATAGTCATGTCAATTTTACCTAATCTCAAAACATTTAATGAAAACACAAGCTCTAAAATTCAAAATTATACTTTGATATGACCTGGCTCTGTGTCCCCACCCAAATTTCATCTTGAATTGTAACTCGAATTGTAATCTCCACATGTTGAGGGAGGGACCTTGTGGGAGATGATTAAGTCATGGGGGGCAGTCCACCCATGCTGTTCGCATGACAGGTGAATGAGTTCTTACAAGATCTGATGGTTTTATAAGGGGCTTTTGCCCCTTTGCTTGGCACTTCTCTCTCCTGCCACCATGTGAAGAATCACGTGTTTGCTTCCCTTCCATCAGGATTGTAAGTTTCCTAATACCTCCCAAGCCATGTGAAACTGTGAGTCAATTAAACCTCTTTTCTTTATAAATTAGCCAGTCTTGGGCAGTTCTTTATAGCTGTAGAGAACAGACTAATACATACTTTAAAGAGTCGTTCACAGTAAAATAAATAAATAAATAATAATAGCTTGATATAAGTATATCAAGTGTAAGAATTAACATTTGACATGCAGGAAAATACAGAGAAGACCCAGAACTTATGTTTTATGGCTATTAAAACTGAGTTTTTGTTAAAAGATTTTAACTCAAGTAATCTCAGTCTTAAAAATACTTTTATATCTCAACAAAATCTGCAGTAACCATGAACACAACAGCTTTACAGATAATATCTCACTTCATTATCTGGAATAAGATTTTTAGCTGTGTGACTTTGGAAAAGCCACTTAACTCTATTAGATTCAGTCTTCTCAATCTAAAAAATGGGAACTGTGTTAATGTTTAACTTTTAGGGTTATTGATTTAGCTAAACAATAGGGTTTATTCAAATCCCTATTAGAATATTATACACATATTGAACATTAAATAAATGTTATTTGTCATTTTATACGTAATTTAATATTAATATTAAGAACATTCTATAAAATGTGTACTAATCAGAATAAAGAATCAGGCTCAAAATAGCTAAGTGAGTAGTCCAAGGACAAAAGTAAATTAAGTGGGACTAGAAATGAGATCTCTATGATTCTAAATTGTGTATTATTAACAGTTATGCTATGCAGCCACAAAATTCAAGCAAGCAGCAGGTATTTACAGAGTACCTATGACATCATAATACCCTATGAGCTTCCAGAATGAAATGAGGCATAAAATAGGTAAATATTTTCATTCATGGAATTTATATTCTAAATGAGATTAAGACCATATACAAGGAACTAAGTTGAATTGGTTATAGATTATGTTGAGTACTACCAAAAAATTCAAAGGGTGATGAGAAGAGAGAAAATGGAAGAGTCTTTAGGATAATCAGGGAAGGCTTCTGTGAAGAGGTGACATTTGAGCTGAGATCTGAAAGTTAAGAATGAGCCTTCCAAGAAAACAGCTGAGGGAAGAATATATCAGGTGGAGGTTTTAGGATATTCATATGCCTGGAAGTGGTACTATAATAGAGTTGCAAGAATAGAGAGCCAGGAAGTCGGTTGTTGTTGCAAGAGAGTGAGGATGAAAGATTGCAAACAAGCTAGAGCATGCAAAGACATGTAGGTCATTGTAAGAAGTTTGGATTTTATTTTAAAAGCCCTAAGAAATCATTGATGGATTTAAGCAGAAAAGTGGAGTAATCTAAATTGCTTCTCTGACAATAGGTTGGAGGAAAACAAATACGAAGAAGTTAGACCAACTACAAAAGCTTATTATAATAGTAACATCATGAACTAGAAACTTTCAGTGGAGTAAGAAAGAAATGAATGAATTTGAGAAATACTTGGAGTAGGGTGGAACTGACAACACATTGTGAGGGATTGCAACTGGGTGGTAAAAAAATGCACTGAAGCTGTTCCTAAGTTGAACAACTGGGTGAATGATAGTTTTACTGTGAGAAGATTATGTTGAGTTGGGAGAGTTAAGACCTCCATTTCAATCCTATTAAATTTGAGTCACTTCTTACACATTCAAGAGGAGATAAGCAAATGCAGGTGAAATAACTCCAAATATGTCATCTTAAATATGAAGTAAAGAGATAGACTATACTAGTCTGTTACAAAAAGGGAAGGTGTAACAGTAGAAGGTGATGGGAAATCTGGGGCCACTTCCTACTACAAAGACTGTTTTCTTATGAATGGAGGAGGAAATATTATTTGTTTTGGAACAGTACTTCTGGAATTGAGTTGTTTCTTCAAAAGCCAATTCCTGTCACACTATGAAATCAGCTTGCACTATCTCATGTTGAAAACAAATTCCAAATTTTAGCTGCTTAAATAGGAGAGAATAAGGAAAAAAAAGGGTCTTTTAAATACTGTTTTAAATTAGTATTAATATATCAATAGTTACTAAAAACTGTTTTAATCACTACTAATATTCTTTAATTCCTAAAAGTGGACCTTTAGAATACACATAATTACTCTATTATATTTCTTTTATGTTGAATATAATTAAAATTTGGAAACAAGTGACTGATTTCTGTAGTAAGCTTTGTTACAATGAGGCTAGCAAGAACATAGAAGATCAAATGAGTTTTGTGGACAATTAGATGTCGATATTCTAGGTCTAAAGGTGACCTACATTTTCCTATGGAGTTAAAGAAAAATATATTTCTGTTTTGCCTTTTATATGTCTTGTCAAACATAATAATAACATGTTAAATAAGCTCTGTTAAATTAGCATATAAACTTATGGAATTCATAGGAACTATAAAACTTAAATATAGATGTGATACTTTTGCCCTTCAGACTAGAAACATTCATTTATTAGGGGGTACAGATAAATGAATCATTTTGTGCCTGTTTTGTATGTTTTAATAATAGTGTAAAATTGAGACATTAGAATAACCCATGAGCTATATTTGAGTGTGTAAAAAACAAATGTTTGAACATTTTGATCATGGCTTCATGTTATTTAGAAGCTAACAATGTTTTCATGTTACACATCATGAATATATACAATTTTTGTCAATTGTACTTTAATAAATCTGAAAAAAAATTAAAAAATAAAAAAGCCAAGAATGTTTTATTTAAAAGAGGCTTAAAATGTTAATTCATTTCTTCAAAACAGAAATTCCTCATTATGATCCCCATTCTTTTCACCTCAGTCAGTGCGTAGAGGTATAAATAAGTCCTTCCCATCAGGTACTATTCAAGGGTATATGGCATCTGTTTAGTGGGTAAGTGAAAGATTTGGGAAAGCTTTATAGTGACATATCCATTCCTTACAAAATACAAATCAGAGGGTAAATAGTTATCATAAAATTGAGGAATTAGAGTATATCCCTAATATTCTCAATCCCTAAATAATTTATGAATAAAAACACCTTCTATTAAAAATTGAACTCCAGACTTTTAGCCAGATGGCTTAGGGAATTAATGTTCTGGTAGATTCCTCTGCTAAAAAAAAAAAAAAAGAAAAGAAAAGAAAGAAAGAAAAAAAGCAATGAAAGAAAAAAATATAAAGCATGATAGTCAATTTCAATAATAAAATTTACATTTTCATGGCTGAAAAATTGAGCAGAAATACAAAGAAAACAGCAGGAATTGAGCCATAGGCCTGCTAGGCTCTAATTGTAGAAGATGGAAGGGCCAAATGTCTGGTTCTGGCAAGGGATCATTTTTTCTGCTATTATTTACTTTTTGCTAAGAGGTAGGGTAGGCTCCTTTGTAGATTAAAACAAAACAAAAAAAAACAGAAATATAGTACAACAGTGTCTGAATCTGTCTATTATTGCTGTCAAACTATGGAAAAGACCATGTAAAGAACAAATTAAATTGTGGGTTGGTGACTACCAGGTCCAGGATAGGGCCTAGGAACAGAGGAAGGGAGTAATAAAACTATTATAATTTATAAATAAAACCTTCTATTCAAAATGATGTTGGAAACTAAAATTCTGAAACACTAATAAAAACTAATGCTAATAGCAATATTCCAACAAATCAACAATAGGTACATTCATTCTCTCCAAATAAATAATTTTATGGCAAAGACTGATTAGAATTTTTAAATAATGTGAGATGTTCAAATCAATAAATAAAGAATATCATTTAATAAAGTGCAAGAAAATATAACCAAAAAGTGATCAAATTTAAGCCAGGATAATTGGATATAAAAGGAACTTAGAACTCTTGGAAATTATATATTTACATACATGTGCATATACCAGTATATTATTTCCAAGAGGTCTAAGTTCTTAGATATGCACATATATATGTATATATGTTTAAAGAAATGTGTGGGGCCGGGCGCGGTGGCTCACACCTGTAATCCCAGCACTTTGGGAGGCCGAGGCGGGTGGATCATGAGGTCAGGAGATCGAGACCATCCTGGCTAACAAGGAGAAACCCCGTCTCTACTAAAAATACAAAAAATTAGCCGGGCGCGGTGGCGGGCGCCTGTAGTCCCAGCTACTCGGGAGGCTGAGGCAGGAGAATGGCGTGAACCCGGGAAGCGGAGCTTGCAGTGAGCCGAGATTGCGCCACTGCAGTCCGCAGTCCGGCCTGGGCGACAGAGCGAGACTCCGTCTCAAAAAAAAAAAAAAAAAAAAAAGACATGTGTACATTACATGTATCTATTACATGTATATATTTATAATAGACTTTACCTTACAACATGCAAAAAATCAACTGCACATGATTTATGAATTATAGGCCTAAACATTAAACATAATATTTTATATTTTTAGAGAATATAGGAAAGTATATTAAAAACTTTAAAGCAAAAAAAAATTAAAATTTACATAGGGAAATGACTGATAAATTTAACTCCTAAAACTAAAACTGTTTTTTTAATCTAAAGAGAGGTGAAAACATAAATCACAGAGTAAAGAATTTTTTTAAACATCTATAGGTAATAAAGAACCAGTATCTAATATATATAAAAAGCAAATCATCAAGGGGAAAAACTAGACAATCAAATTAAAAAATAGCCAAAACACCTAAAAAGCATAACTTAAAGGGCATTTCAAAATATGTAATCAATGTAAAAAAGTGGTCAAAATTATCATTAGGAAAATATGAATGCAAACTGCAAAAAGATAAAAATATTGACTGCATCTTTGCCCTTTAAAAAGATGGACTGGGGAGTTGCAGTAGCTGCTAATAATAATTACGTTGAGAAAACAGATATAAACCGTGACTATACAACCTACCACATATCCACCAGATTAGCAAAAATAAAAATCTGACAGTTTGGAAGGCTAAGGCGGGGGGATCAGGAGGTCAGGAGATTGAGCCCATCCTGGCTAACACGGTGAAACCCCATCTCTACTAAAAATACAAAAAATTAGCCAGACGTGCTGGCACGCTCCTGTAATCCCAGTTACTCGGGAGGCTGAGGCAGCAGAATAGCTTGAATCCAGGAGGTGGAGGTTGCAGTGAGCCAAGATTGCGCCACTGCACTCCAGCCTGGGAGACAGAGCGAGACTCTGTCTCAAATAATAATAACAATAATAATAACCAGACAGTACTAAGAGTTAGAGAGAGTAGAGCATCTGGAGCTCTCATCTATAGCCTTAAGATTATAAATTAATACCACCCACTTTGGAACATTAATTGATACAATCTAAAAATTTGAAGATAAAAATGTAAAGGTACCCAAGCCTTTAGTGTACAAAGTGGACTCCTCTACATATAACCTAGAGAAGCACATACTTTTGCAACAGAATAATTATAAATGATTGTTCATAGCAGCATTATCTGAAATAGCTAAATATAAGTAATTTATTATAGTATATTGATATAAAATATCTAATAGTAATCAAATCAAGAATGTGACAACAAAATGTTGAATGAAAGAAGCAAGAGATAAAATCATGTTTACCATATGATTATGTCTTAACCTGAGTTCTCTAAAAAATAAAGCCTGAAACTTGGCTTAACTTTTGGATTAATGTAGTTAAATCTCAGTATATTGTCAACTTGAATGCAGCATTTCTTTTTGTTATTTTTTTATTTCTTTTTTAATCCACTAATATAATCTTCCATAAGTTTCAGAGAGAATATCTGTGCTTCAAAAGTTTCTTTGTAATGACCATAAGAATCTTGTTATAGATATATCTGGACTACATAATATTTAGAAATAAAATTTACCTTTGAGTTAGTTTGATAATTCCGCTCAAGAAACATGCATCTTTTGGGCCTTAATCCATTATCAGTGACTAAATATCCATTTTGTCAGTTTCTATATTTATTTGTTCATAGCTCTGCATTAAATATGAAATTTTAAAAAATGACCAATTATTTTGCAACTTTTTATGTATTCTCTCACTAGATGCTATCCTAGTAGTGAATTAAAATTTGAACTTGGAAATCAGCTGGCATTGTTTAAATCATGGCTCTTCTACATTATCTTTACAATTGACAGAAAGCATGACTGAAGAAGAGTGTGGCAGAAGTCATTCATTCTGAATGAGGCAATGACGACCTAAAATGAGGGCAGGAAGATGAACTGCATGTACAAGAAGCATTATTCCATTCTTTATTTCTGGTTCTTAAAATCATTTGGCTAATTTCCCTTGTTTTAGACAATTGTTTAAAGCAGACTTCTTTGCTGTATTACAAATAATAGAATTTCACTGTTTTTAGTTAATATTTCGATTAAGACAAAAGAGAAAGATTGCCATAACAAAAACATAATTTGTTAATTTTTAATATGTAGATGTGTTATCTTTATGCTTCAACACAAAGCATCCGAAAGTTTTGACTGCGTGGTCATTTTAACAGTACCATAATTTGGCCATAGAAGTAGTTGAGCTTTAAACAACCTATCACCAACAAAGTATTATTTTGTTTTTTATTTCATTATGTATGTTTATTTATCTGTTTAAAATATAAATATAGGTGTTAATGATGATCACTTCTAGGTGTAGTAGACTAACAGTATGTCTAATTTTGCTGATCGTTTGAAAAAAGAATTAAGCTGAAACTGACAACACATCTTTACCTCATAGAAAGGCCAAATTAATAATGAAGAAAACTTTTGTGTTAATAATTAAGAATGTAAGAAATAAACCCCAGGCAACATGAGCACTTCAAAAGCACATAGTGCATATAACCATAAAAAGCCCAATTATAATTTATTCTGAAATAGTCATTAAATTAACTTCTCTAGAGGTCTTCACAAAGTTTAACACTTGTTTTTTGTTTCTACTATAAATATACCAGGCAGCTTTTATTTTAAAATAATTATAATCTTAACCATTTTACTAATTTAGAATGATACACAACTATTTTATGAGTGATTCAACTAAATGAATGTTTCTGTACATCTAGTTTACCTCTGGGCTGTACAATGTCATGCCCTTTGGTAATGCTTACTTAGTGCTTGCCAAATTTGTTAACACACACATACACACACAGAGTACCGTGTCTGTACAAACGTGATTAATGTCTATCTGCTCCTCTAGAATAAATCTTCCTGAGGGCAGGGACCATATCTATTTTACTGTTCCTGTATCCCCAATCTATACAAAAGTGACCTGTATTGATAACGTGCTTAAAATTTTTAATAAATTAAGGTTTCACTAATGAAACACGTAATAGGACTAGAATTACTTTCCATCAGATATATTTCTTTTGAATTTGAAATTAGCATGCTTGCCTTGAACTCTTCACCAGGCTCTCTCTAGACTTGTAAGACCAGAATCTTCTATAAAATTAATTAATACGGATGGTTCCTGACTTAGGATGATTTACGTTTTTTCGACTTTATGATGATATTAAAGTGATATGCATTCAGTAGAAAGAGGTACTGTGCTGCCATGCTGGGCAGCTCCTAGTCAGCCATGCAACCACAAGGGTAAAGAACTGATTCTCCACAGTGTACTGTGTTGGCCAGATGATTTTACACAAATGTTGGCTGATGCAAATTCTCTAAGCATATTTAATGTTGGTTAGACTAAGCTCTGATGCTTGGTAGGTTAGATGTATTAAATACATCTTTTTTGACTTACGATATTTTCAACTTATGACTGGTTCATTGTGACACAACCCTATTGTAAGTTATGGAGCATCCATACTCACAAGAGCCCTATAAGGCATATGAGTTAAGTTCACAGTTAGTAAGTAGAAAGGTAAAGACTGAAGACCAATTTCTTCTTACTAGTGTTCTTCTTTCTTTTATAATATACAATGCTGATTTTCACTGGGAATTGAAAGCATATTGAAATGTTACTTTAAGTACTGAGTCAACATTTTCAGTGCAAAGGTATTAAGTAATAGGCCATTAGAATTTTTTATAGAGGATAATCTAATTTGTAAAGCTAAGATACCATAATATAGTATAGTTTCCGAAAGATTTCCTAACTGAATTCTTGAGGGATTCTGAGTTTATAAATCAGACAAAAGAAAACACTTTGGTTGACGAGGATACAAATGTGGAGCCTACATAGCTGATTTCCCTTCATCCCTCTCCTTATCTTTGAGACATTTTCAAAGAACAGAAGGAGTCTGTGGAACACATTGTTTGAAAATGGTGACTTTTGTCTAAATTCTAGAAGGTTCAAGGGAGTTACATATCATTTAACCCTAGGTTTCTATTTTCATGTTGTTTCTCAAGTGGATAGCAAGCTTTAAATTTATGTTAAAAGAGTAACACAAGTATTCTCTTAGATTACATGTAATTAACATTATTTCGCTTTAGAGAAGATGGCCCTAGAAATTTCTACACCCTAACAATAGGTTACTATTATGCTGAACAGTGCTTTATGAAATATCTCACTTCATTTTATTACAATATTTATTTTGCCTTTTTGTGTCTTAAGAAATTTGCTTAATCTGAGGTTGAAAAGATTTTTTTTTCTATGTTATGTTGTAGAAGTTTTTCATTTATTATTTAGGTTTATGATCGCTTATGAGTTACTTATTGTAATGATGTAAAGTTATTGTAGATGCTTAGTTGTTTGCATATAAATGTCCAAGTTCTCTTCACAATTTGTTAAAAAAAAAATTTAACAAATCCTTTCCCCCCTGAATTACCTGGGGCCATTTTTTAAAAATTAGCTGAGATTTCAATCATGTTCCATTTACCCAAATATCTTTCATTATTCCAATACCACCCTGTGTAGATAACTATAGCTTTATGAAAATGAGGCAATATAAGTCCTCCATCTTTGTTATTTTTCAAATTAGTTTAACTATACAAGGACCTTTGCATTTACATATAAATTTTAGAATCAGCTTGTCAATTTCTATTAAAGAAAAGAGCCTGCTGAGAATATGAGAAAGATTATGTTCAATCTACAAATCAATTTGGACAGAATTGGCAACTTAAAGCATTTCTCAGGTATGAACTTACTCTATTTCCACACCTATTTTGTTCTTCTTTAATCTCTTTCAACAATGTTTTATAGTTTTCAGTGCACATATCTTAAATGTATTAACATTGTAATTATTTAATGTTTTGATACAATTGAAAATGTTTAATATCATTTTAAAATTTTGTTACTAATATATATGAATGGAAATTATTTTTATCTTATTTCTGGAAAACATTTATTAGTTTTAGTAGCTTTTTATAAATTCTTCTAAGATTTTTACATAAATGATCATGCTGTCTGTGAATAAATTAGAATTCATCAAAATTTTTAAAATTCTACTTTTCAAAAACACTAAATAAAGTGAAAAAATGCTACAAGCTGAAAGACATATTTGAAGAACATATTTCTTCAAAGGAGCCTGTATGCATAATAAGGTACTCTTGTTACTCAATATCACAAAGAAAGAAATAAAGCAAATTTTAAAATGATTTGCACAGGCACTAAAGAAGGTATCAATTTGCAGATAAGCACAGGAAAAAATATGTGACACAAGTAGCAACTGGGAAATAGAAACTAAAATTACAATGAGTTACCATGGAATGCCTATTAGAATGGCTAAACTTAAAAAGAATGAGAACACTTGGTGCTGATGAGGATGTGAGAGAAGTAGAACTATCTTACAATGTTTTGGGGGACGCAAAACGGTACAATCACTTCGGAAAACTTGTTGGCTGTTAAGTATCTACTTGCTATTTGATGCAGCAATTTCACTTTTAGCTATTTACCTACTCAAAATTAAAACATATGACAACATAAAAGCTTGTACATAAATGTTTACAAGAAATTTATAATAATTTCAAACTACTAAGCACTAAAAAAATTCATCATCTGTTAAATAAGTGAACAAAATTTGGGGCATATCCATGAATGCACTACCACTCACAAATAAAAAGGAAGCCGCTATCAATCTATGCAGCAATAAAAATGAATGTCAAACACTTTGTGCTATGTTAAAAATGTCAAACACAGAAGACTACATACTCTATTATTCCAACAGTATAGCACACTAAAAAAGGTAAAAATTAATCAGGTCTGTAGTTTCCAAAGGCTGGAATAAGGGAAGAAGATGACAAAGAGGCATAATATAACTTCCTGAGTGATGCAAATATTTTGTCTTTATTTTGTTGTTATATGGCAGTATACATTTATAAAGCTTATCAAACTGTATATTGATTTTGCCATTTACTGAAACAAGAAGACTGAGGATGGGAAACCCTTGAGGGTTAGGAAAAAGAAAAACCAATGGTTCTATTTTTGACATCTCAAGTTGAGATTAGTATTTATTATGAAAATAGATCTGCAAATTAGACAGTTGGGTACACCAGACTGGAGCTCAGAGAAGAGGATGAGTCTATAAATAGAAACAAAAGAGACCACTGATGGTATTTCAATAATGACCAGTAGGAGATATTCTTTAATGGGTGAAGATAGAAAAGAAGATAAGGCCAGAGCCAATTACTCAGTCCTGGGGAACTAGTATATTTAGGGGTTGGGCAGAAAATAAGAAGCTAGAGAAGGAGACTTGAAAAAGGTAGTCAGAATGTAGGAGGTAAAACAGGAATATATTGTCACAAAACAAAGTGAAGAAAATATTTTTTAAATAAGGGAGTAGGCCGGGCATGGTGGCTCATGCCTGTAATCCTAGAACTGTGGGAGGCCAAGGCAGGTGGATCACCTGAGGTCAGGAGTTTGAAACTAGCCTGACCAACATGGTGAAACCCCATCTCTACTAAAAATAAAGAAAATTAAAAAATAAAAATTAGCCAGACTTGGCAGCCGGCGCCTGCAATCCCAGCTACTAGGGAGACTGAGGCAGGGAATCGCTTCAACCTGGGAGGCGGAGGTTGCAGTGAGCCAAAATCACGTCATTGCATTCCAGGCTGGGCAACAAGAGCAAAACTCCAACTAAAAAAAATGAAATAACATAAAGGGAGATTAGAAGCCTGTATGTAAAAAAAAGGAACCCATATGAAGTGTAGTCAAGCTGAGGCTATCTTGGTCATATGAAACCTGAGCTAAATACAGAGGAAGGTATCTAGCAAGAATGGAATAATGCATAAGGAAATGTGTCAGGATTAATGGATTAAAGACCATAATAAAACTGAGTATTAGTAATTTAGGGTTATAGTTAATAATGAGCAGGAAAGATAAGTAATTGGTGGTTTAGTAAGCAGAGTGCTTAAAATTGAGATTTTCAAAAATGGAATATGCAGCAATAGGTAGTAAGAGATTCCAGGTTATAAGGATGAAAGTGGTAAGCTAAGGTGAGATGGAGAAAAAGTCATCTGAAGATGAGAGATTCAGTTACCATTAAAATTGAATGTTTTGTCAACATGGTTGTTTAAATAACCAAGAGTAAAAACGGGCAGTCACTGAAAGATATATAAAAAGCCTGCCATAAATGCCTTAAAATAGTCAGTGTTTAAGAAAGACTGCAAATTTTATCAATGTTAGTAACACGGAAGTGCTATGTTCTGAGAGCCATCGTCAAGAGCAGTTTTCTTTTTGTTGGTTTGTTTGAGAATAGAAGGAGAATAAGGTGTCTGGAAGCAGAAAATAAGACAGAACCCCTCCAAGGCTTATGGTACACGATGTGTGGGGAAGAAAACAGCCACCAACAAGTTTTGATTTTGTTTTTGCATTTGCCCCACGTTTCAGTTGAATCGAGAAGGTCAAAGGAATATTTGGAGAAGTTTTTGGAGATATAGATTTGGCTTTGCGTTCTGGAAAATATAATGCTAGTATTTGTGGGATTAAGAAGTGACAGGAGATTAGGTCAGATTAGGGAGTATATATGACGAAGGGTCACCTTAAAGTTTTAGATGTAGGGTAAGAAATGAATAAATAGGGGTTGCCAACAAATGGTGGAATTAGTACTGTTGTTCTCTTAGGGTAATGGGAGTAATCCATTGTAATCATTGCCTTTTTCTAGTAATTAATCTCTTGGGCAGTGTAAATCATTGGACAGATGGTGTAGTGGCAGAGGGAAATAACTTGCCAAAAATGCGGAATAGGCTCTCTAGGCTTCCCTTAAATCTCTCAGTGGGCAATGTCATGATCTGGGCAAGGCACTTTTACCAAGGTCTCTTGATGATTGTTATGATGGTGATAGTTCCCATTAAAATGAAAACTTTGAGCATTGCAATTAAATGATTCATGATGTTATTATGGCAGCATTAAAAACACATAAATGCTTAGTCCTTCACTTACTATTTAACTAGAAAAATTGACCATTTGTGGATAATTGCCACTGGGTAAAACACTAATGCTGACATTTATTTTATGAATCCATTTAAATTGTATTTCAGAGTACTCATTTCTTCTCCCACTAGAAGGTGAAAGAAAGTAACTCTATTAAAACATGCCTTTGTGATATTTACCTGCAATCCTAAAGATGCAGAGAGTTCTTTATGAACTCTCATGGACAATATGCTAAGATTGAGGTGAGTTTTCAGAATGGCAAAAAAAAGCTTGTTTTATTTTTTTCACAGGCTCTCACTTACCCCTGCTTTTCAACTATAATCCATGTCAGATACCCCCAACCACTACAGATACAACCTACTGTGGGACACCCTGTAAAGAAATGGATTCTAGGAGTTTATTCTGCTGTAAACAGGCTTACTATTAAGTCAGTACTGACAGATTTCTGTAGCTAACAAGGCACTGTGTCAAAATGACATTTCTTTGTAACTTGTATTAATGTTTTAAAATCTGAACTAGTGAGGTATAGACTTCTTAGTCGATTTTATAGAGACCATGCACATTTCTATAAAAATAATGCTGAATGTGACCTTGTTCTTGTCTGGTCTGCACAGAAAGAAATGGAATTTTAAAGCAATCTGGTAGAGTGTGTGTGTGTGTGTGTGTGTGTGTGTGTGGTGTGTGTGCACGCATGTGCATGTGTATGGCATTTACTCTGCACAAAGAGACATGGGAGGTGGTGTGGGAGACAAAAAGGTAAGTTAGAGAAATAACTAAATAACCATACCCATAACATGGTATCAAAGCACAGGAAAGGATGCTTTAGAGGTACTAATTTCTCACAATTACACCATGAAACACAATAAATAGACATCACTATTTTTTTTTTTTTTTACAAAGAAGTTAGCTGAATTTCAAGGAGGGTTGAGTGGATAAGCATCTTATCCACAATCACACAGCTGTTACATATTCTACTGGATCACAAGACCAATGCTTTTCCATTGCATTATATGCCCTTCTCATAAGAAATATTCCACATCCATTTAATGGGGGAAGATAAGTTACCTCAAAATCTTTTCACAAGAAAATACATGAGGAAAATTATAATATATGACATGGAAAATGAAACTGTTCAAAGTTTTATACAAGGAGGATATGACATTTTATACAAGGAGGATAACAGGAATTTTATTTTAAAAGTGCTGTATTATTTGAATCAGGTAGGAGAGAAAATAATTTGAGCAATTTGAATAGATGTCTATGTCATTTAAAACAGAGAAAATTGAGTTGCCCAGTTCATCTGAGCCGAAGCTTACAGTTTCTTTGCACTGTTTGGTTTTATACTGAAAAGAACAATAGAGTATAGACAGAAAAGAATGATCCGGGCAAATCACAAAGATTGAAGCTGCAAATGATAGAGAACATAAGTGGTGAAGCACTCTTCTGGATGTAATAGGGCACATGATCATAACCACCATTTGTCTTCATTTTTACATCTTAACACCTCTGAAATCAGAATGGGTTTTACAACTGATATTATAAGAAAGCATCGTTAACAAATTTTAATGGCAGCATTTCTCCTTTCTTAGTAATACATAGAGTAATTGAGATTTATGCAAAGATTGGGTCTTCTAGTTGATGAAATAAGTAAATATTGAAGGTTTATTTATTTGTGATTCTTAGACTCATACTTTATATTTTTATCCTTTTAAAAAATCTCTTCACCATTTTCTCACTTAGAGTGTAATGCATCTAACATTTTTCATGTTCGTAAAAGCCTTTATACTCGCTATCATGTACAGGTTGATGAGTCCCAGAGCTATGCTCCTGACCCTGTCCTCCCCTTACCCACTGCACTATCTCTGAGCTATCTCCTAGACGCTCTCACTCTCATGTTGCTATGATTTGAGTATTTATTCCCTCCAAAACTCATGTTGACAATTAATCCCCAACATGTCCGTATTGAGAGGTGGGTTCTTCAAGGGGTGATTGGGTCATGAGGCTCTATCGTCATGAATGAATAAATCCACTAGGATTAATAGGTCAATTGATTAATGAGTTATTATAAAAGTGAGACTATTGGCTTCATAAAGAGAGGAAAAATGACATTTGCCAGCATGCTCAATCCCCTCACTATATGAAACCTTGCCCCTCCTTGGGGCTCTGCAGTCTCCATCAGCAAGAAGGCTCTTATCAGATGTGTTCCCTTGGCCTTGGACTTCTCTGCCTCCATAACTGTAAGAAATAAGTTATTTTGCTTCATAAATTACATAGCTTTATGTATTCTGTTATGAACATCAAGAAATGAACAAAGACAGAAAATTGGTACTGAGAAGCTGAGAATAATTACCTAAAAATGTGGAAGTGGCTTTGGAACTAGGTAATGGACAGAAACTGGAAGAATTTGGAGGAGCAGGCTATAAAAAGCCTAGATGCTGATGAGGGCTTAGAAGACAAGAAGGCCATGAAAAGTTTGGAACTCTTCAGAGATTGGATAAATGGTTGTGACCAGAATGCTATTAGTAATATGGACAGTAAAAGCCACTCTAATGAGGTCTCAGATGGAACTGAGAAACAAGGTATTGAAATTTGGAGTAAAGGCCATCTTTGTTAAAAATTGTTAAAAAAAAAAAAAAAAAGTTGGCTAAACTATATTCATGCCTGAGGGCTTTGGTGAAAGCCAACTTGAGAGTGGTGAACTAGGTTATCTGATAAAATAAATGCCCAAGTAGCAAAGCATTCAGGCTGATGCATAGCTACTTATAACTGCATACATTAAGCTGTGAAAGGTAAAAATGACTTGAAGATGAAATGTATTATCAAAAATGAAACAAAACTCATAGATTTGGAAAAGTCTCACATAAAGAGTGAAAAAGCACATTTGGGAGAGAAAACCAAGGGTATAGTTCAGCAACCACTTGCCAAACGGTTTAGCATAAACAGAAGGGAGCCAGGTGCTATTCCTCAAAACAATGAAAGCAAGACCATAAAGGCATTTCAGATATTTGAGGCGGCCTCCCCCATTGAAGGCCCAAAGGCCTAAGAGGGCAAATTTTTTTTCAGGGATGGGCACAAGGCATCCTTCATAGACTTGCTGCACAGAATGATGGAACCACCACTCAAAAAGATACAAGCCATAAGTCTTGGAAGCATCTACTGATTCTGCAGGCTTGCAGAGAGCAAGAGCCATATTCAAAGAATATTGCTGAAAGCCTAGGGGCCTAGGCAGAGACTTGTCACAGGGGTGGAAAAACTGCAGAGATCCCTCAGTAAAGCAATTCTGAGAAAAAATGTGGGGTCAGAGCTGCCACAGAGGGAGTTCACTGGGGTAATACCTAATGGAGTCATGAGAGTGGGACTGTCACTGGGACCCCAGAACTGTGGAGTCACCAGAAGCTTTAAATGCTTCCCTGCAAAAGTTTCAAGCAACAATCTCCAACCTGTCCAAGCAGCCATGCGGACTGCACCCAGAAAAAGCTATGGGGCTTCCTGAGGCATTGAGGGCCCAGCCACTGCCCCATTGTCTCCCGGGGGTGGTAGATAGATTCAAAAGAGATTATTCTCCAGCTTTAAGATTTGAGGTTTGCCCTAATAGGTTTGCTGAACGTCTTTCACTCCTTTTATTTTTGCCATTTTTTCTCTTGTGGAATGGGAGTGTTTGTTTTGTGCCTATACTCCCATTGTATCTGGGAAATTGACAACTTGTTTTGATTTTACAGGGTCGATGAGACTCTGGATTTTGGACTTTTCAGTTAGTACTGGAACAAGTTAAGACTTTGGAGTTATGAGATTGGATTGAATGTATTAGCATACGAGAAGGACATGAGTTTTGAAGTCATGGTCAGAATGTCAAGGTTTGAATATTTGTCTCCTCCAACCTCATGTGGAAATGTAATCCCCAATGTGGCAGCATGGAGAGGTGGGGATTGCTTTTTTTTTTTCAGATGGAGTCTCGCTCTGTCACCCAGGCTGGAGTGCAGTGGCATGATCTTGGCTCACTGCAACTGCAACATCCCGGGTTCAAGCGATTCTCCTGCCTCAGCCTCCTGAGTAGCTGGCATTACAGGCACACGCCACCATGCCAGGCTAATTTTTGTATTTTTAGTAGAGGCTGGGTTTGACCACGTTTGTCAGGCTGGTCTTAAACTGCTGACCTCATGATCTGCCCACCTTGGCCTCCCAAAGTGCTGGGATTACAGGCAAGAGCCACCACGCCCCATCGAGGTGGAGTCTTTAAGAGGTGGCCCACTTAGGGTCTCTGCAGGCTCTCACCAGAGGCACTCTCTTGACCTTGGATTTCTCAGTCTCCATAATTGTAAAAATATATAATTTCTTTATAAGTTACCCAGATACAGCTATTCTTTTATGAGCAACAGAAAATTAAAACACGTCTTCAACTACTGCTAATGATTCCCCTTTATGCATCTCCAATCCTCATAACTCTTTAAAATTGCAAACAAACATTTCTGACCACCCCCTGAACATATCTAATTCTTCTAAATCTGAAGCCTTTGAAGGCTTAGAAACCAAACCAAAAACTCACCTATTCAATAAGATAAATTGCTTTCTTCAGAAGGTCCCCAAAGTATCTTGAAGTTCCTAGTCCTGTCAGAAAGTGACATTCTTTTTTGGTTTTAAATGTACTTTTAAGTTCTGGGACACACGTGCATGTAACAAACATGCATGTCCTGCACAGAAAGTGACATTCTGCTTACTACAAGGCCTGGAACTTTGTAAGGGAACCACGTAGACTAAGTATCAGGCCAGTCTTTTTCCAAATCTCTTGTCTTTATAAAGTCAACCTCAATCCCTCAAAATAATCTGGTCATATCTGAAAATATAACTCTTCAATCTTGGTAAGATAAGTATTGTCTTCAATTGTACCCTGTTACAGAGAAAACAGATTAAAACAATTACATTGCCATAAAATAATAATACTCATAGTTTCCAAATTTTGGAGGGATCAAGTAGAGACAAGGGTAAATGTGTTAATGTTGCTCACAGTGGTATACTTTACCAAATTGCTATAAAGCTATAGATAGCTTAAGAAAAAAGAGTTTTCTTAACTTTAGAAGTCAAAACATTAAAAAAAATTAGGAAGGTTTTAAACAAAAATATCATAAAAATATTTCAGTCCATAATTTCAGCCCCATGTATTATAATATTTTTCTGGTTGATGTTAGGTTAGCAATTTTATAAGTCTTTTTGTGGTTGTTTTTATTTTTCATTAGAGTTCCAGAAATTCTACTAAGTCCAAAGGTTTGGTCTCAAGGTTGTCAGAAACCTGTATTTGACAGTCCTTTTCATAACGCCCATTAATCTATTTGAAGACATAACACTTTAATATTTGCAAACAGAAAAAAATCAGAAATAAAAAATCATAATAAAGCAATTCAGGAAAAATCAGAATAAAACAATTAACTGTAAATAACATGAATTAAAATAGCCATGGTTAAACACAACTGACAAAGAAATTTGTTTTTTTCTGTGGCCTATATTTAATAAATTGCCATAATCATAACTAAAAACATATACAAAGACATATACGATTTTTAGAAATATCATGCCATCTTGGAACATATATTAATAACATACACATACGAATCTAATTTAATAAAGTTTAAACATCATTACTTATTTGGCAATGCTTCCCATATAATTTAATATATCAAATAAACCTGTTTATTATCTCTCTTTTGGATGCTTCAGAGCCATGTGGAACATCCCAAAGTTAGTTTGGGGTAAAAAATTATAGTAATTTCGATTTTGGGAAAATTTGTCCAAAATAAAGTTTCGAAACACTTGATCCAAATAGAATCACAAACCACTGCAAAATAATAGTGATTCATTTAGCTGAATTGTTAATTAATATATTTTAGAAAGCAAACATCTTTACTCTGAGAGAAAACTCAATTTTCTGAATAACTAAAAGATATAATAAATACACCGTGAGATTCACAGAATCTGTTTTTCTCCCTCCTACCAACCCTTTTTTAGTTTTGTTTTAGCGTACCTTTGATATTAAGAAGAAAAATGTAATAAATCCATTGAATTCGTATTCAAAAATAAAATTTTTAATAAGATTTATTTTTCATAATCCTTTTACAACATTTAATCCATTCAGTTTTATATATATTATTTCTTCCTTTATTCCTTCATTGGCAAACAACCTTTAAACAACCTTGAAATTAGACAAAATTACATTTAAAATAAATAAAACAAATTATAAGCCTTATAACATCTTACTTTCCTTGTACACTATGTATACAGAATTGTTTATCTTATATCTAGTAGTTTTAATTATAACTTTAAGTCTTTGTAACTGTAATTTCTAATGAAAAACATAGGAAATAGACAATTTTAAATTGTTATATACTAAAACATTTTATGAATAAATATTTTATAATTTCTAGAAAGTTAGGCTTCTTCATAGTCCAATTTTTCAGTGTGTAACAGAACATATTTACTAACAAACCTAAATATCTTCTGTTTCTCTGAAGAAAGACACCTAAAATATATAACCTTAAACTTATATTTAGTAATTAACATTTTAACATTAAAGCTTACATGGAAATGACCTAGATAGTCGATGAATATTCATCATTTAACTTAGCAAAATTCTAAGGGTGTAGTTACCAAAGAGACTAGAAACCTTTAAGTAAACACATTATAAAACATAGTTATTATTAAATAGTTCTTTTCTAAAATTTTATTTTATTTATGTTTTATTTAATTTATTCATTATTAACAAGTATGTTTGGAAGATTTCAGGAGACATTAGATAATATTAGTCCTAATAAGCAGGGAAATTGCTTGATTCAAAAGTCACTGTAACTACCAGGCTATCAATCCAGAAGCCTCTTCCCCACTATATTGGCTAGAATGTCAAGAAAAACAGCACTTTTACGTGGACCTTGAAAAAAATAACAAATTTATTTTTTCTTTGTTTGCAAGTCTAGCTAATTAACCAATCTGTGGGGGTAGGAAATACCTTAGGAATGGCTTTTTAAAGGTTATTTTCCTATTTAACCATTTTTATTATACTATATATTAGGAAAGCGTCATTAAAACAAAAATCTCAAAGATAGATATATGAAGCATTTTGTTTTATTTTCATGGCTGATATACATGAGGCAATAGACACTGTATTGTACTTTCATTAATACCTTTGTTCCTGGGTTAGACTCACACTTTTGTTCTCTTAAATACCTAACAGAGATAAAAGTTGTATGTCATAATTATATTTAATGTTTATAGATATTTAGTTTTAATTAGATCAATAATATTTATATCTGCCAAAGTTCATTAGTCATGTGCACTTAGAAATCATCTAGGTTAATTGTATTTTTCTGAGAAAATAATGTTTATAAATGCTTATTTTCTAAGCCAATGAAAATACAGCTTTTCTTAATTCATAGTAGAAAAATATCACACATTTACAATACACACACATATATAAATATTTACAAACATACAGAGAGAAGCAGATTTTGCAGTTTGCATGTATTAACAGGAATTCAAGAAGTGTGCGGTGGGAGGTCAGGATCAGGGTAGGGGGCAGGCGTCAAATGCGATTGACTAAGGAAATTTCCTTAGAAGAAAACAGGATCCAAAAGAGAGAAAATCTTAAAACAAGATACAATCTGAATATCAACTTGTAGTTAATCTGATTTCTAGCCATAGAGCTCTTTAGGAAAATAAAATATTTTAAATATATAATTAGCAAACTTTCTGTCATGCAAGCAGTTGGCCTTTTGCCAGAGCCTGGTAGAGCCAGCCTTGACTGTTTCAAGGGAAACCTGTGTGCTTCAACTGTGTGTCAAGATCAGTATGCCTTTTTATGGCTTACAACCAAACACAAGAATTACATCCCCATAGAGGGTACAAAAATGCAGTCTCCTTCAAGATCTAAAGTTCTTTCCAAAGATAACCTAAGAAAGCAGAGATCTCTTTATTAGCAAGGCAATGAAGCTCGAGACAATTAAGACAAATTCACTTGAGAGCTGACACATTCAAGTGAGCAGACATTTCAAACCCCCAGCCAATTTTCTCTCTGCCCTTACATAAGCCCAACTATGTCGTCTGTGGTGTCAGAAGCCAGATATTAAATTTACTACTTATAAAACTAGCTTGAAATAGTTTGGATTTGTGTCCCCTCCCAAATCACAAGTACAATTGTATTCCCCCATGTTGAATGAGGGGCCTGGTGGGAGGTGACTGACAGAGAGGAGGCAGTTACAGAGGTTGGTTAGGCAGATAGAGAGGGAGGGTCTTGGGAGTGGAAAAATACCCGCAGGACTGCACCTGCACAGCTCCTGCAGCTAACAGAAAGAAACTGAGTTAAAAATTTCCTCTTATGCCAGGACATCTGCTCAGAAAGGACTGTCCCAACTTAGGCACAGGTGCAATAAATCAACCTAAATGTCCTTAACTTGATCTAACTCATTATAATGTTATTAACACGACATTAGCATTGTGGTTTTCATACCCCACCCCCACCCCATGCGTTTCACTTAGGCATCCATGGGTAATAACCAAGATGGAGTCACTATGGTCAACCCCAGGCATGTGCAGATGCAATACCCCGAAGGGGAAACTTTACCGCTCCATTTAGGTGGAGCTCATAGAAGACTTCCTTGTCTTTGCCACATAAGAGACCCAGAACTGAGCTCCATTTCTGGCAACATGCTTTCAGATTCCCTTTCTTTGCTGAGAGCTTTCCTTTTGCTTAATAAATTCTACTCTACTCATTTTCTGGTGTCCACATACCTTATTCTTCTTGGTGTGGGACAAGAACTTGGACCTAGCTGAACTTGAGACTAAGCAGACTGCAACAACTGGATCATAGGGGTGGACTCTCCCTTGTTGCTCTCATGATAGTGAGTTCTCACAGGATCTGGTTGTTTAAAAGTATGTAGCACCTCCCTGTTCGCGGCCTCTTCCTCCTGCCCTGGTCATGTAAGACATACCTGCTTCCCCATCCGCCATGAATGAAAGCTTCCTGAGGCCTCCCCATTCATGTTTCCTGTACAGCCTGTGGAACCATGAGCCAATTAAACCTCTTTTCTTTATAAATTACCCAGTTTCAGGTATCTCTTTACAGCAGTGTAAGAAGAGACTAATACACTTCTCAAGACATAAAAACAAGCTAAAAGTAAAAGCTTATCATGATTTTTCTCCTTATGACAAACCAGACAAGAGACGGAGACTAGAAAGACAGAGACCATCTCTGGGAGTCTAAAGATCAATAACCAGTTGACACCTGAAACATCCACAAAAGTCACAAATTCAAAAACATTTATAAATGTTTTTCTCTTGCTAGTCTGAGCCTGAAAAATAAAGGAACAAGGAAAAATTTTTACCTTTCTCTGTCAACGAGATACCACAGATAGAAATCTGGGAGAAACTGACATTGGTACAAAATTTTACCTTTTTCTGGTGGCTCCTCTTAAGACTCTGGGGATTCCATCTTCAGGTCCTGGAGGAAGGGGAGTCCTATAATCTTCTGGCTGTTTCACAAAATGAAGAAAAAAAAAATATATATATATATATAGAATATCTTTTCCCAATCCTCACATATTCTTACCTGTGGCACCTCTATAATAAAAGATAAACAAGAAATAAAGGTGTACAAATTTAATGTGTATATGGACATGGGAATCATACACAAAGTATGAGACTCAAGGAGCCAGATGACTGAAGTTTTTCCACTACCCTCAGATAACAGAAAGAATGAGATCCTGGGGATTCTAGGGGTGGGGAGGGTAGGTGGCATCACTGGTCATGGGAGAGTGAAGGGAGGAAAATATGTCAGGCAAAAACTGCCTTATTTTGCATATCAAAATATCTCAGGTAGTCTCAGAGTTGCCCTCAGAAAGAACAGATGGTAGCCTGTGGTGAAGGTTCTCTTTCAGATCTTTAGTCTCTTTTCCTGTGAATTAATCTTACCTAGATCTGGCCAAGAGGAGCCTCAGAGTAAGCCTATTTGCATCTGTTATTTACTTCATGTTACTAATGTAGGTTCCTACTACAAATGTAAATCACCCCCATAGAAGACAGCTTCTCAGGGCTATTCTTGTGTTTGCAGCCCTTCTGAATAGTCATTTCAAAATGTGCTAAAGAAGCACATTTAGGAATAAAATATTCTGGTTTCCTTTACAACAAGAAAACATCCCTAACCTTGCATTCATAATCGCAGTTAAAGAAATCAAGATCAACATACTTGTCCAAGTGAGAAATCAAAGTTTAGTAATAATATTTTGCTTTTCACACTTATCACACATCAAAAATTGCTCTCAATGTCCTGTTGATTGTATTTACTAAGTATTCCTTGTCAGCTACTTGTTTACATTCAAGAAATTTTTTTTCAAATAATTCAGATGAAAGAAAAATTTGCTCAATACTAAAGCGTTCAATTCAAGATTGATACTCATCCCTCAATCTTCAATGTGAATAATTATTAACAATTTATTGTGTGTCATTCCATCATTAGTCTTTGTTTATACAAACATAAGAACTTTTGTAATTTTTTCAGTCCATCTTATTACTACTGTCACTAATTAGTATCTAATAATTTTTCCTTTGATCTATTAAATAGTGTAAGGTCCAAGCAGAAAGTTCCCCTTTGCCCCCGAAGATTAGCAGACAAATCACCTCACAAAAGGCAAGTTAATTAGTGAAAAGACAAAATGTATTTAATGTGTTCATAAGAGTCTTTACAATGAAGACACAAAGACAAAGGGGAAATTATCCATTTTTATGCTTAGCTTCAACAAAATATGGACAGCTATGTAGAACTAAGTTTGGACAAAAGGAGTGTGGTCTAATCTTAATAGACTAAGTGGGAAAACTCAACAAAGCTCATCTAGATTCTTCTTGGCCTCTCTGAGCACGCATCCCTCCCTTCGGGCTGTGGGGCAGGACTCTCTCTGGAACAGGGTTCTTACAACATACAGTCAAGCAAGGTAGGTCAGATCATTTTTTATGGCCGGTTTTTACACAAAGAGGCAGAGGCAATGTTAAAACAATTGTTTTTGGTCTTGTGGCTGGCTTTGGGGAAATGGAGTTCTTGTTCCTGTGACACAACTTGAGGAAGAGGGGTTCTGGTTTCTTTGGCTAACCTCAGGGACTGCGAGACAGGAGAGCAGGGGAATGTCCAAGAAAAACTTTGTTTCTAAGGTTGCCTCTGCCTTAATTTTCAGTGTACTGTTTTCTGAGACCCAACAATAGTTGGCTAACACTCTTCCAAAAAAAATTTTTTTTTTTTGAGACAGTCTTTCTTTGTTGCCCAGGATGGAGTGCAGTGGTACAATCTTGGCTGACTGCAACCTGCACCTCCTGGGTTTCAAGCAATTCTCGTGCCTCAATCTCCCAAGAAGCTAGGATTACAGGCTCACACCACTATGTTCGGCTAATTTTTTTATTTTTAGTAGAGACGGGGTTTCACCATGTTGGCCAGGTTGGTCTCGAACTCCTGACTTCAAGTGATCCTCCCTCCTCGGCCCCCCAAAGTGTGGGGATCACAAGCTTGAGGCATTGTGCCCATCCCCCAAAAACTTTTAATATTCTCCACTTACTATAGGATAAAAATGAATTTATCAGAAGACAGAAAGCTCATGGCTAAAGAAGATTTTATCATCAGATACTTTCTTTAGCATACATTTTTGAATGCTTGCTTCCTGGATTTTGGGTGAGAAACCAGATATTAAATGTTGGCTTATGTATATGGCATATGTGAATTTCTAGCTTCTAGAGAAAATGGTACATAATGAAAAAAATAGCATATAAGTGTTTTTGGATGTCTTGAATTGTTTTTTGGATATGTGACAATAAACCTATATGAGTTTTTTCTCTCATTAGTATAGATGTTACCAATAAAATATAATTGCTAAAATATAATTTTATGTTTTTTCTGCATCAATTTAATACACTATAACTTTAAATTATATTTCATCTGTTATCTTTAGTAAATTTGACTAGTTACATTAGACTTTCATTGTTGTCTCTGGGTTATTATTTCAGGAATGGCTAAAAAAATTAAATAGCATTTTCAAATATACATTTCTCATTCAGATGAGATGTACACTCACTTCTTTAAACTTACCAAAGGTGACAGATTATGCATTATTTTTCTGTTTTTTTACTCTAAAGTTGATATTTTATATATGTAATAGCCATCAAAATAAGATGAATGCCCTGCAATAATATTCAAAGGTTAAAAACGTAGACTAGAAAGTAAAAGGAAAAAAGAATATTATAAAAATAATATAATAATAATAAACCTGGAGGTGTAGTGATGACTGTGATATGCTACCTAGCTACCTAGATGTGCTTTCAGTGGAGGTCTTGTCCTTGGTTAAGAGGTCGAGAGTATTATAGATACATAACCTTTAGGTGTTTGCTTCCTTAGGGGCTGCTGCAACCATAGAGAGTCATCTAGCCCAAGTCACACATTGCCATATCCAATGACTGACAGTTACGAGAGTATAAATGACTTGCCATCTCAGCCCAACTTAGAATAACTATGGAGGACCACTATAGTTCCAGAGCTCCTGGAGTCATCAGTCTAGGCTGTTTGGGGGCTTACATTCTACCTCAGTTTCTCCTTCTACCCAATCCTGCTTCCTATCTCTCCCTTACACAAATGTTGATCCTAAGTACACTTTTAAATAAATATCTTGCACGTTAAGTTAGCCTCCGAATCTGCTTTCTAGAACCCAATCTATAGCAGGAGGTATAGGTGAAAGAAGGTGCCTTAGTTTGGGTTCCCTCAAAAGCAAACAGTAAGAAAAATATTTGAGTAAATACTTTATTTAGGAGGTGAACTGACACAAAGCCTCAGACCTTAAACTTAGACTCACAAAAATCAGAGGTCTTACCCATTATCAAGCTTTATGAAGAAGTTAAAGAATAAGCAATCAAAATCCAGGAGTGAACTAGTGGGAGGTCTGGGAAACTGAGACCTGCTCCCTAGAACCTTCTTTCCCATATATAAACATGCTGTCTAGACTAAAGTAATAAAGGAGGCCTCTGGGGAGATATATGAATTACAGCTATAATACCCTAGATTATTATACAGCTTATGAGATTTTCCAGAGTCATAGCTCACAAAATATTTAGTTTTTAGTTTCTTGGACAATAAGCAAGTTTAAACTAGGAACATTCTGTTACTAGAAAGGGGTCCCGATCCAGACCCTAAGAGAGGGTTCTTGGATCTTGCTCAAGAAAGAATTTAGGGCGAGTCCACAGTGCAAAGCAAAAGCAAGTTTATTAAGAAAGTTAAGGGGTGAAAGGAGAGCTACTCCATAGGTAGAGTAGGGTGTTCTCAAAAGTAAGAGGAGCAATGTGTCCACACTAGGTACAATGTTGTTTATATATAGGATTAAAAAAATTCATGGGAGATGTGCTCTGCTACAAAGATTTGTTAATAAAGGATTATTTTATGAATTACTATCTTGTGCAAGAATCCATATTATTATTAGGAATGCTTCTATTCTCAAGATACCAGGCTATCAGCATACCCTTTATTCAGGATCTGTTTAGTAAATATTATCAATCTGTTCCCTTAACCATAAACATCTAGAAGCTAGAAATACGTAACTTTCTGGGAATGCAGCCCAGCAAGTCCTAGCCTCATTCTTCCTAGCCCTCACTCAAGATGGAGTCACTCTGGTTCAAACACCTCCAACAATTCTGCTTAAAGTGTTTGATACGTAAAAAACTCTTCTCCCAGCAAATAGCTTTAGTATAGTTTTCCAGGGCAGGATTTCTTGTTATCATGTTTATAAGAAGGTAGGACTGGGGCAATTGCCTTCCTTCTTTCCCTGGTAGCATCTCCCCTCAAAGATCGGCTGTTTTAATTTCTCCCCAGAAGAAATAACAAGAAGTATAGTGAAGGAGTAGAAAAGTAAGCAAGAAAGTTAAGAAAGCCGATAAAGTGCTTGCTAATTAGGGGAGTACTGCTGAGCCAACTAAGAATTTATTTATCTGGGAACCCTCTGAGAAACCATATCAAACAAACCTAACAATTGTTCTAAAAAGGAACTAGGAAATTAGAGTATTTTTTCCACCAATTCTTGTTGTCTCTCAAATAATTTATTTTCATTGCAGAACATCAATGTAAAACTTTTTTAAATTAAAAAAAAGGCTAATATGCTATCAGCGAAAGAAAAAAATGAAATCTTCCTAAATATTAGAAGAACCAATTGCATAAAGCAAAACACAGAGACTAGAATTACTAAAAGGGAAACAAACCTTAAAATAGTGTAGAAGAACTAAAAGTAAAAATGTATCTGCCATATCAATCAATGTAAAAAGATTGCAGACATAATCATAGGCTATATATAGGAAACACAAAAAACAAAATAATTGTCAGTTTAGATATAAAGTATGACTAGAATTAATAAGAAAAAGTAGAGGGTCAAATTTTAATATCAGACAGGTATATTTTAGGATGAGAAGCATTAAATGAGATAAAAAGGGAAATTCATAACAATCAATAGTTAATTCCTCAAATGAAAATCTAACAATTATCCACATTTTTTACAAATACACAAAGTACACACTATTTTTTTTATTATTATACTTTAAGTTTTAGGGTACATGTGCACAGTGTACAGGTTTGTTACATATGTATACATGTGCCATGTTGGTGTGCTGCACCCATTAACTCATCATTTAACATTAGGTATATCTCCTAATGCTATCCCTTCCCCCTCCCCCCACCTCACAACAGGCCCCAGTGTGTGATGTTCCCCTTCCTGTGCACAAAGTACACATTCTTTACAAATGCACATGAAAGTCCATAAAGCAATTCTTTAACACATGTAAGTCCATAAAGCAATTCTCAATTTCAAAAGAATTCGATAATTCAAAGTGTATTCCCTGGCCACAGTAGAATTAAGTTAGAAATCAATAACAAAGAGATAAAAAGAAAAATCCCAACTTCTTTTAAGTCAAGTAATGCAATGTTAAATAATTCTTGAGTCAAATAAAAAAATCTCAATGGACATTTTTAAATGTTTTGAATTTAATGATAATGAAAATATTCATAACACAACTCAAAATTGGTGTACTTAAGCTGATCTGTGGGCTTAATGTAATCCAAATAAAACTCTCAGCAGATATTTTTGTGGTTGAATTGAACGTGTTTATTTTTCAAATTCAATAGATATTTAAAGGGCAGACTACTAGTCAGGGCAATTTTTAAAATACAATCAAATTTGGAAGACTTATACTTCCAGATATTAAAACTGTTATAAAGCTACAGTTGTTGACAGTCCTATATTCATACAAGGACAAATAGAGCAATGGAATGGAATAGAGAACATAATATATTTGGAACCCATAGGTTTACGATCATGTAACTTAGTTCTTTGCTATATAGTAATGAAAATATAGTTTCTTTAGTAAATTGTTTAAATAAAAATCATAAGAAAATAATTTTGCTATTGTGAGATCAGTAAAGATTTTATAAACAAAGATACAAAATAAATAATTACAAAAGGATTGATAAATTGAATTTCATTATAATTAAGGAAACCCTGTTGATAATAATACACTATGAAAAAATATAGTTCAGAATAATTTTATTATTCAGCCATCAGATTTGTTGGGGTGTTCAGCATCTATACTTTGTTGTATTTTTTACTGTAGGCCATAAAGAGCTATACTACAAAATACATATTGTTTTGTTATTTTTAGTACAGGTGAAAACTCTTGCATCCTACAGCAAAAATTCAATGTCTTAGGCTCTCCTGATAAATTACCATGTTAAGCTCCTAATAAAATGTAAATAATTGAGGGTTTTTATTTGAATACATGGAAAGTAATTTTAAAAATTAACTATTGGAAAGACAAACGGAGCAAAAAGGATGTTCTGAAAAAGAGGAAAAAATAAGAGGAATCTCAATCATGCATCTTGATCTTAAGGTTTTAGGAAAAAATTCCACAGAATTGATGTCATCTTCCTGATTCATAAGATTTTGGAAGAAAGTATCCTGTTTTTAAATATTGTTTGCTTTTAGAACCTTTAAAAATGAGCCTCAGGGTCAGACCCCACATACCACAGGGAATACAGTCATAATTTAGTATCCTAGAGCTCACTGAATATATGGTTAAGGGTAACTGACTTATTCTTTTTTTTTTTTTTTAATGGGACAGAGTCTCACTCTGTCGCCCAGGCTGGAGTGCAGTGGCGCAATCTTGGCTCACTGCAATCTCCACCTCCCAGGTTCAAGCAATTCTCTGCATCAGCCTCCTGAGTAGCTGGGATTATGGGTGCCCGCCACCATGCCCGGCAAATTTTTTTTGTATTTTTTGTAGAGACGGGGTTTCACCATGTTGGCCAGGATAGTCTTGATATCTTGATCTCATGATCTGCCCGCCTCGGCCTCCCAATTACAGGCGTAAGCCTCTGCACCCAGCCTCCTTCTCTTCTTAATAGTAAGTCAGTGTTGTTATTGAGTTAACTGAAATATGGTGAATACGAAACATCCCTAATTACTTTATTGTCAATACCTTCCTCAAGATAAATTAATAAATCTTTGTGATTATTAGAGAACATTTAGTTAACCTCAAAGATAGGTGTAATATATATAGTATATATATATTAGTATATATAGTATATATAATATACTATATATTTATATATATTATATAAACAAGCAATTAAAAAACATCAGAAATCTAACTGTTCTTCAAATCACTTGAAAAGGAAAAACAATGCACTTTTGCTGTTTTTGTTCTTTTTTAATCTCATTCCTAATCTATTCTTTCTCATGGAATGCATATAATAATAGGGAAAAAAAGGCACACAGAAGTTTAAGGATTTTAAGAAACTTTTTCTGGCTAGAACTGTAGCACACAAAGATATTTAAGCTAATTTACATGAAAACAAACTCAAAACCAAACAAACAGAAAAACACAGCAGGACTTAAATGAAACAGCTGAAGTGTGACTGAATAGATGCAGGAAGTCAGTGAATAAATGTGATTGGATAGATGCAGTCAGATGTTTTCAAGGTTATGCAAGTCCTGTGGGGTTCAAACTAAAACACATGTAAATACCTCAGGTTCTCACTAGAAATATCAATTCTTAGGCCACATTCTCAGAGATTCTGTTCCAGGAGATCTGTTGTATTTCCCCAGAATCTGCCCTTATGATAAAGCACTCCTAAGTAATTTAAACTGCAGGCAATTCAAGAAGCACACTTTAGCTAAACACATATAGATACTGGCATCTTCCTGAAATTGGTGAGTCTGCATATCTTAAGCTTATGCAAAGAGCTTAGCATACTGTTAGGTACAACAAATGTTATCAGAAGTCTTACATGTTTTAATCCCAATATTTAAAAGTAGAAAACAGGGTGAAATTTTGACATTGCAAAGACTGCTATCTATGCTGTGGGTGACATGCAGAGGGCAGGATCAGTCCCCCGCTGGTTTAGATGTTGATATGATGGTGCCACACATGCACCAAGAAGGTATGAAAAGATTATTATTCGGAGGGAAGTTTTCTGAGGTGAGTCGGCTTCACTTTCTGAGGAGGGCAGGTTCTCAAGCAGGTTTGAAAATAGTTTGAGAGAGAGGGAGTAGCTAGTGTCTTGGTGTTTTTTGTAGCTTGAAAAAGAAAAAAATGCACTTTTGTTATTTTTGTTCTTCTTTATCCCATGCCTAATCTATTGTTTCTCTTAAATGTATATATTTTTTATGAAAACATAGTGAGGGTTTCTGCCTACCCTCTGGGGCTTACATGGTTTGAATTTTAGCTGGAATGAAAGGAAGGAATATTTGAGGGGATATGTTGTTGTTACTTGTTTTGTTATCACATGTGAGTCTAGATGGGAAGAGGGAGAGGTGAGGCTTGATAGTTGTCAGCAAACATCAAAAATGGAGTAAAACTCTTATTAAAATACCTGGCAATATTTAGTCATTAAGACATTGCTGAAAATTTTGAGATATTATTATAGCTACCTGCAATCAGTGGAAATATCTATCTGTATATATTTTAAGCTACCTGTATTTTTAAATAAAAGACTCAGTAATTGCTGAAATATAATGCAGTCCATGGTATTATTGCAAACATTTTGCAAAATATAGCATGTTTATTTTAACACGAAAACATTCTTTGCAAGTGTTGTTCTATCTAAATCTACTTTAATTGTACTGTTTGAGTTTTGTGAGCTTAATCAAATAAATTTAAAATAAACATTATACACGAGAGTCCATTGATTTACTAAATCACACAACAAAATAATCCAACACTCATAACCACTGAATATGTATAAATCTTGTAGGTCTTACTAATAAAATAATTCAAAAGCAGTTTCTACAATGGGGATTTTATATTATGGAAATACCCCATATAGCTGAATTCCTTCAGATAGTGGATTCCACAGCAAGATTTTAGAAATTGACTAAAAATAAAAAGCCAATTGATGACTTTCACTCACATATATCTTCGTATTTTGAAAGTATTAGGATAACATGCAGAAAAAGGGGAAAAATGTTGGCATATAAATATCCAGCCAAATGCTAAACTTTAACAAAACCAAAGAAAACCCTCAGATAAATACATAAATTAATCTTGAAAATACTATGTGAAGATTATAATTCTAAATATGGGGAAAATCAAAGTGATTTCTTTTAAAGAATAAAAAGTTATAACTGGCTCTGAAGAAAGCCTTACCACCTACCTATGAAAACAAGTTTTAGCTGCAGGTGAGTAAGTAAACAAGTCTTAAAAGCTTTCAGAGGAATAAAACAACAAGGAGTAGAAACGGAAAAAAATTCTCACAGGGAACAAAGAAGCCAATCATTTCTATAACTCTGCAGGGACGGTTTATAACTGTGTCTGTGAATACCATGTCCAGGAAAAAGTTAGAACTTCTCTTCAGCTCTCCATTTTTCAGGTAAGAAGAATGTTTGGATAAGTGCTCTGACCAATGCTTGCTTTTTCGTTTTCTAAAATAATGATTGTGGCATATTATCTTTTTAACGGAAAATTCTAGGTTAATGAAGAATTTGGGGTGGTACACTATAACACTAAATAGGCAATGAAGTATTGATTTTTTTTTTTTTTTTTTTTTTTTTTTTGAGACGGAGTCTTGCTCTGTCGCCCAGGCTGGAGTGCAGTGGCGGGATCTCGGCTCACTGCAAGCTCCGCCTCCCGGGTTCACGCCATTCTCCTGCCTCAGCCTCCCAAGTAGCTGGGACTACAGGCGCCCGCCACTACGCCCGGCTAATTTTTTGTATTTTTAGTAGAGACGGGGTTTCACCGTTTTAGCCGGGATGGTCTCGATCTCCTGACCTCGTGATCCGCCTGCCTCGGCCTCCCAAAGTGCTGGGGAAGTATTGATATTTAAATCACATTTTGGAAAGAAGAAATTTATCTACTGAGCAATGGTGAAACCGTTTATCTTCTGAGCTATTAACAACTCTGTCACCTGATATAATTGTATTCATTTGGATATGATTGTACTGATTTTAATTTATAGGTGTATAGCATGGTGCCCATGAACAATGCCTACCATGTAACCTTAGCATTTATATTATATAAAAGTATTTAGTTACCATGCTGAAAAACATTAGAAATGCTAAAGAAACATGAACAAAAAGTTTTAAAAAGTCAATCACAATAACAACCAAGATAAGCAAAATAAAACCAACATTAACTGTAGTCCTATTATATAAAATGTCATCCAGAATGAATTATAAGTCAAAATAATTTGCTGGGCACAATGGCATCCACCTGTTGTCCCAGATACTCAGGAGACTGAGGCAGGAGGATACCTCAAGCCCAAGATTTCGAGGCCAACCTGTGCAACATAATGAGGCCCTTTCTCAAAATAAATAAACAACAACAAAAACAAAAACAAAAGAATCAATTCTCAAGAAGAATTAGGATCCCTATGGTAGTGTGGCCAAATGAATGGACAAAGTCTCAGAATATCTAATATGGTTTGGCTGTGTCCCCACCCAAATCTAATCTAGAATTGTAGTTGCCATAATCCCCATGTGTTGTGGGAGGGATCCAGTGGGAGGTAACTGAATCACGGAATAGTTTCCACCATGCTGTTCCTGTGATAATAAATGAATTCTTATGAAATCTGATGGTTTTATAAGGGGCTTTCCCCTCTTTGCTCAGCACTTCTCCTTCCTGCTGTCATGTGAAGAAGGACATGCTTCCCCTTCTGCCATGATTATAAGTTTCCTGAGGCCTTCCTGGCCATGCAGAACTGTGAGTCAATTAAACCTCTTCTTTTTATAAATTACCCAGTCTTCTTAGCAGCATGAGAACAGACTAAAACAAGATCATTTATTAAATGTATCAAATAAAATACTTAAGACCAAACCAAATCAACTATATTTAACTGAAGTTATATCCATGGATCTCTTTGTGGCCTTTGAACCCCATATAGAAAACCACTGGTAATATGAATGTAGTAGAAACAAAAAGATATATAAGTAGGATAGAGATATATTTAAGCAGCAGAAATTATCAAACTTTCCGATGGAATATATTGGGTACCCGGAAGTGATTGAGAGTGAGGGAGTAATCAAAGGGACACCAACTTTTCAAAGTTACTTGATAGGGAGATAGATGGTGATGCCCTTTCCACAGATAGTGATAACCAGCTGGTTGACTTGGATATATGTCTACAACATAGTGATAATAGTGGTGGGAGACATACAAAAGTTCCACTTTGGCCCTGTGGTTTTTGGAATGCCTTTTAGATTCTACAAACAAGATGTCAAATGGGCAGCTGGAAGCTTAAGTTACATGCCAGATGAGAGTCTGTGTTACAGAAATAAATATATACGCTAACAGCATATTAATATATGTTTTAAAGCCATGGACTTGAATAAGATCATGTGGAAGTGGATGTAAAAAGAGAAGAGGCTCAAGCACTGAATACTGCAGTAATCCATCCTTTAGGTGTTGAGCAGAGGAGGAACCATCAAAGTAAACAGTAGGAGAAAAAAAACCTTAAAAAGCACTTTATGGTGGAGTGAGTTGGGTAGAAATTGAAATGTTTTAGGGTGAGGTGTAAATTGAAATTGAGACAGAATAAGCAACTCTTAGAAATTTTGGCTGTGAAAGAAATTAGAGAAGAGAATAATAGCTGATGGACATAAGGAAAAAGCATGTATGTTTTGGGTTGGGAGATACTAGAGGATATTTATAATCAACCAAAAATGATCCACTGGAGAGGGAAAGATTGATCATATCATTCAGTAAACAGAATCAAAAAGATAACATATGTCTTAAAAAATATATTCAAAATGAACACTTTACAGAAGCTCCAAAATGACTTAAAAGTAGGGGTAAATAATGAGATACTTAGTTACAGCACTGTAAAAATATTTACTACTTTTATTAATTTCTACCATTTATTAAGAGTTTATCATGGTCACAGAGTGAGATGTCTTATGCATATTATCTTTAAATTTCACAGTGGCCATAAAGTTATTTTCATTTTTACATGAACAATATGAGGCACATACAAGTTAAGTGTGTGTGTGTGTGTATATATATATATATTTTATATATATGTAATTTTATATATAATATAAAATTTATGCTATATAATATAATATATATAATTTTATAAATATAATATTTTATAATATATATAATATATTATCTATATTTTTATATAATATATAGTTTTATATATATAATTTATCTCTTGTTCCCCATAGCTGTTTTTATACAAAGACAGATAAAACCTACCTTCTTCAGTGCATCTGGTGATTATGTAAATGTTTTGCATTTTTGCTAAAACTTGATTTAAGGAAAACTAGTTCTGTAAGATGTACCTATGTATAGCGCACACACGCACATACCCACACACGCACAATTCGATTGTTCAATATGTTTGGGAAATCTTATTGCTGTTGTGGTTTTCAGATAAATTCTTACAAGCTTTCTTCTGATAGGCTGTCATTTTGAATTTCCAAAGTGGCACCAGCAAAGATGATTGCCATGTACTGTGGCATAGACTGTGCACAAATCTAATCTATGATGACATTCCTAGATATGTTTAATTCATAACCCACAGAATAATACCTGAGTGTTCAGTTCCTAAACCCTGGTATTCAATCTTATTTTAATATGGAAAACTTTATCTTTTCTTATAAATCGCAAGAGGCTAGAACTCAGCAGGTTTACTTTAGGAATTCTCAGTGTTTTATTAATTGCTCCTATTATTACAAAATATGTACTAATTTATTTAAATCAGGATATAGGAATAGTATATTATAACAATACTTTTGCTATGCCTTCCGAATTTAGGGGAGGAATATGTGCCCCAGGTTTGCCATTAGAATTGTTTATACAAGGTGTTCTGTGATATGCAAGAGGTTCAACATATTCTGTGTGACAAGCTTTTTGTACTAGGAATTACATCCTCACTTAAGAATTATTCAACTCAATCTCTGTGCCATCTATGCTCTTAAGACAAATTCAGATTCTACAAGACCATTTATTCATCAGAGTAAGAAAACAGAGTCACAGACAAAAATCTGAGGCTAAGCTGTCATTGGAAACAAACAATATGCTTATTTCTTGATTACTGGAGTCATGGATGCAGGCATAGAGACAAATTTATTGTAAAACTACTGGTTATATATTATCTAAATTTATAATGTATGTATGTGTGCATGTATGTGTATGTGTGCTGCAAATAGTACTTCTTTATAGGTGGATTAAAACATATATGATAAAAGCAGTAGATGTTTAATGTTAATCAGTTTAAAATCTAAAGTGCTCTTCCTCAAAAGCCATGTATGTTTGCTTCAGTCCCCACAGATCTCCACCATTCTCCCACTGACTTGATACTGGACAAAGTGCAACAAAAGAGGATTCCAATGGCAGTGGTTTGAAGTTGATAATTAATTACATAAAGTCACATTTGGAATGAATAGCACCAATGATCCTCGTCCAAAGGAACAGCTATTATTCCCTCAATTTCCTATCAGGACAACCTGCAAAATATTTTTGATAAAGTGAGAAGAGATTTAGTAAGAATTTTATTTATTTTCTAAACTTAAGAATAGAAAGTATGGGTATAACATCTGAGAAGGCACCTCACAATGTTTTGATCTGATTCCTAATTTTTACCTTTATAAAAATAGACTAACTTTGTGACTTGTTAACTCAATAATTGTGTAAATCAAAATTTATGATCATTAAAATTTATGGTCTATAAGTCAACTATAAATGTTTAAGTGTCACTTAAAATAGTAGGTCCCTATTATAACACTTGGGTAAGAAATGTATAATGTCTGAATATCCATTAGTTATAACTTTTAAATTTCTGTTTCAATTATTTAACTCAAGCTTAAGGATTTGGCTGAATAATATAGGTTTCACTTACTGAAAAAAAAATTCAAGTTTAAATAACGTATTTTTTACTCCAACGTAGAAAAGATGTCCCTCAAGAAATCTTGCTTAAAGTAAAAAGAAATGCTAATGAAGCAACCCAATGTTTGTGTGCCAAGTGTTCTTCTATTTCTCTATACCAATGTATCTATATTCATACAAAACAACTTTGATATTGGCTATTTTGTACTTATAACTAGGCTGGTATGACTGTAAGCCCTATGTTAGATGTATCTCTTATTAAAAGTTGATGGTTTTTAGAACAGGATTGATTCCAGCTCAGGGTGGTCTTAGGAATGTGGATTTTGCTTCCTGATATTTAATGAGGCAGGTCATTAGTTGGTGGAAGCTTCATTCCAGATGGTAGGTGATAATAGTGTATTTAGGGAGATGTGCTGAATTAAGGGAAAAGCTTATTTACTTCCTGGCCAAGACTTTCCTTTTACCAAAGAAGATATTTTTAGACTCTGAATTCCCATTTGGTATCAGTTACGAGAGCAAGCCCTAAAGAAGCCAATGCCCTTAACAACATATTTATAATTTCTTGCTAGCCTTTTATTGTTGTTTTTAACACTGCATTTTCCTGGTTATTATGAAGCTCCATAATTTTATCACTGAATCAAAACATTGGTAAGAGTTGCATGATATTTAAAAAGAACTATTTTATATGCTGTAACATCAGTTTCTGGTACTCGTTACCAATGATGAGGACAGAAGTTCTTAAAATTGGATGTCTTGATTTTAGGGAGAAGTATGATCTGAAACTTTATTTATATGAATATAAGGCTCTACTATGGCCTATATATCAGTATTTACATGTGTGGTGGTAGATTTACTTTCCATTCTTGTGTTGATCATTTTACACTTGAAGCAAAACTCTCTCCAGGATTAGCTTATTTAGGATGGAATAGGTCAAGCTGAGTATGGAAGCCAGAACAATAAAATTCCTTATCATCTGTGGCACAGAAGCCACAAATCCTTCTGAAAAATAGGTGCTTAGAGATACTACGTGAGCATCTTCCATAGCCTTAAAATGAGTGCTTTTTAATGCATGGCAAACAGTAAAATTCAAACAAGAACCTTATGTTATACTGCAGTATGTGAATTTTAAATTAAACTATTTATTTACCCTCACTTTCAATAATTTCTGGGTGAAAGAAGATCTAAATAAATGAAATACCAAATACTTTATTTCTTCAATTTTGTAGGAAATAATGAGAAGAAATTATATAGAGAGATGTTAATCTTTATGCCAAGACAAATACCTAAATTATGAATATAAGCATTATTGTGTAGCTTTTGAAAAATTGTCTTAAAAATGTTTCTGATATTTTTAAATGTCACCCGCTTATTTTATTGGATTTCAACTCACAGATCAATGGTAACTTTTACAGCAATATATGCCTATATAAATGCATTTCTTAAAAATATTATGTACATGTCAACGTACAATTTGTCAAATGCAGAAGTATTCCAATGGATATTTAATAATATTTTATTCTCATACATTAAGGAAGTTATATCATATATGTAAACAAATTATAAGATAAATATATTTATATTTGTTTTAAATTATCTTGAAGTATATTAATGTATATTAATCATGTTCCTTAAACATGATTCTTAAAAATAAATAAATAAAATTTTTAAATTACCTTCTTTCTTTTGAGGAGTGTTGTTTGATAAAATGAGTACCTGTAGGTATATTTTCAACTTACATGATTTGGATATTTTTCTTTTTTTGCCAAGTAAAGTCTAATAGCAATTTTTATAAAATTACTTCAGGTAAATTTTCAGTTTTAAAAAATCCAGGCACAAAAAATAGAATGAATAAGACCTAATATTTTATAGAACAACAGGGGGACTATAGTGAATAATAATTTAACTGTACATTTTAAAATAGAAGAGTAGAATTGGACTGTTTGTAACACAAAGGATAAATGCTTGAGGGGGTGCACACCCAAGTTTCCATGATGTGATTATTATGCTTTGCATGCCTGTATCAAAACATCTCATATACCCTCATAAGTATATACTCCTACTATGTACCAAAACAAATTTAAAAATTTAGAAAATAATAGAATAAAAAATCAAGGCACTGTATTTAAATAGACACTTTAAAGCTTGCCCAACCGCCAGCCTGTGGTTTACTTACAGCCTAGGATGGCTTTGAATGTGGCCCAACACAAATTCATAAACTTTCTTAAAATATTATGAGATTCTTTTGCATTTTTTTAGCTCATCAGCTATCATTTGTATTAGTGTATTCTATGTGTGGCCCAAGACAATTTTTCTTCCAATGTGACCCAGGGAAGCCCAAAGACTGGACACTACTGCATATGCAGGAATGCATATTTAAGGAATGCATATGCTGTTATACCAGTTTTCCAGTAGTTTTCAAAGCCTTTAGAGGGAAAACAAATCTAACAACATTGCAATAATTACAGACCAATATAACATAATAAAACCAATGGATACGAAAAGACAGTATTAAAAAAATCCCTGAACTGGAAATATGAAAACTTGAGAATTATTATTTATTTAGAAAATTACTTTACTGATATATAATAGTCGTGTTTTAAAAAGTAGGTAGCTAATCACAGTCGCTCCAGTCCTTGATTTTCACATTTAAAAATTAAGCAGTAGGATAAAAATTCAACAACTACTTTTAGTTCTAAAATTCTATGATTTGGTAAGTAAGAAGGAGCATTCTGATTTGAAGTTTTTTAAAAAAAACTTCATAATAGAGGTATGACTTCATAGGAACTAGAGTATTGGTATACAACTTGGTTAGGCAAATAGAAGAAAGGAACATTTCTCCCGGAAATGCAATTAGCAGTGGAGGAAATTAAAATAGAGGGGAAATAGTGGATAAGAAGGGGCTCTGCCTCAATGGAAAAAAAGGGACATACATTCTAGGTTTAAGTGCTAGGCTTTGAGAGACTAACATAATGAAAAGCCTTGAATTTTAGGATGAGACATTTGGAATACCTGCTGTGAAATAAAAAGCTATGGAGCAGCCTGGAGCACAGGAATGGCATACTGAAATGTGCCTTCAGGATTTGCAATTCAGGATGAACTGTAAAGTGAAGATAAGAAAGAGTGCCCATCCGGCAGTCACTGCCTTATCCAAGTACAAAGCAATGAGAGCTTAGGGTGTTGGCAGTTAGAAGCATAGAAGAGGGAATATTCAAGTCACTTCAAAGAACACTGAAAATTGAAGAAACATTGCTTTAAAAAAATCTCTACTGGCCGGGCGCAGTGGCTCACGCCTGTAATCCCAGCACTTTGGGAGGCCAAGGTGGGCAGATCGCCCTGAGGTCAGGAGTTCAAGACCAGCCTGGCCAACGTGGTGAAACGCCTGTCTCTACTAAAAATACAAAAAATGAGCCAGGCGTGGTGGCGGGTGCCTGTAGTCTCAGCTACATGGGAGGCTGAGGAGGGAGAATGGCCTGAACCCGGGAGACAGAGCTTGCAGTGAGCAGAGATGGCACCACTGCACTCCAGCCTTGGCACAGAGTGAGACTCCATCTCAAAAAAAATGAATAAATAAATAAAATAAAATAAAATAAAATAAATCTCTACTAAGCATGATTCTCTGCCTAGTCATCTGCTATTGAGGCCAGACTGAGGTATAAAACTTTGAAGTAATACCCATGTGAGCTTGATTTGAGCCCATAAATTACTCGTGATTCCTTGTATTACTAACCTATTTCCAATTATACATGTTCCCTAGGAAGTTTTCTAGCACCAAGTAGGTACTCAATAAATACTGATTGAATGACTAAGGAATAGAATAAACTTAGCAATTTAAGCTTAAGTTTCCACATCCATAATATGGTATTAATAACAACTAGATTTTAGAAGGCAATATAAATAAATCATATAGCCTAATGAGTACTTTACAAATGTTATTTATATCCCAAGATGAAAATTACAGATGCAAATTTCAAGTTTTTGATTCGGTGACTGTTTGTTTAAATATTTAAACATTTCTTTCAGAAATGCTCCCTGTATATATGTTTGCATTTTGTGACAGCTATAATTGATTTGCATATTTCATATAAAAGATATTGAAGCACTCAGAGGTTAAATAATCTGCCTAACATCACATAGTTTATTAATGGAAACCCTCTAGTTAATCCTTGTGGTTGCAATTCCCATTTTACTACTCATTGATTACTATTAAATGACATTTTACTAAATGTGTGTTTTTATATTTATGTCAAGCATTTTTGTAGGGCTAAAGCATGAATTATAACAGAAGCAAAGAGAGATGTCTCAGATCTGATAAATTACATGGCAAGGAGTTCAAGATTTCTGCTATAGGAGCCAGGGAAACAATGAAGAATTTTAAACCAGGAGATCTGACCTAGTTGGATTTTATTTACAGTAGCTCAATGTTGCATACATGTGAATAAGTGATGCAAGATGAACAGACCTAGAGCCTAGAACTCCCAGTTAGAATCTTCAGCAGTGATCTGAGTGAGAGATAATACCAGAGGAAGGAGAGATAGAGGAAAGAAATGAGAATGAGGAGAGACACACATGGGTTTCAACTCTATGTGTTGTGTTTTACTTTGGTTTACTCTGATATATTTGTGGTGAAATATTAGGATTTTATATTGTATTTGACAGTGCTTGATAGAGAATTGTTTTTTATATGTAGCTCTGAAATTTTAATGCAATTCATAGTAAAATAGAGAAATCATGTGATTTTGAGTTCTAATAGTAATAGCAGGCATTGTGAGTGGCAGAATGATTCTATAGTTGTTCGGAAGCTAAACTAAGAGAGTAGGGGAAGAAAAATGAATCAAAGATAATTCCTAGGTTATTTTTTTTTTCCTAGTGTCTACTAGGTCTATTTGGTCAAGTGTTGAGTAGTTCAGAGATATCTTTTTTTTTTTTTTTCTTTTTGGAAACAGGGTTTTGCTCTGTTTCCCAGGCTGGAGTGCAGTGGTGCGATCTTGGCTCACTGCAACCTCTGCCTCCTGGGGTCAATTGATTCTCCTGCCTCAGCCTCCTGAGTAGCTGGGACCACAGGCATGCACCACCATACCTAGCTAACTTTTGTATTTTTAGTAGAGACAGGGTTTCACCATGTTGGCCAGGCTGGTCTTGAGCTCCTGGCCTCAAGTGATTCACCTGCCTCAGGCTCCCAAAATGCTGGGATTACAGGCGTGAGCCACCGCTCCTGGCCGATTCTTCCTAGGTTTCTAAAATGAGTTTATAGGTATGTGGGGATTCAAAACATAAAGAAAGATAATAAGAAAATTAGGTTTAGAGAGTGAGGGGATTATTATATATGAGAGAAAAGCACTTTTTCTAAATTCAGGACCCGGAGAATATAAAAAGACATTGTATTAACATCAAGGAATAAGATGAGTTGGTGTCAATACACAAGAGGGATAACATCTCACTCCCAATAGTTTAGAAAAGGAGGCAGAAGAGGTGTAAGATTATGAACATATCTCCCTGAAATCATAAACTCCAAGGCAACCCAGTGACTTCTTAAAACATCTTACCACTTTCATACATTCGTCCCTGCTACTCAGATTTGTGCCTAGAAATATTTTGCTATTGTTCCTATCCTGAAGTAGATTCTGGAAAATTAAATTATCATCATCAAATCAAGTAAAAAAACTGTCATATATTCTACTTTTAATCTAATATAACATCTTAAACATTACTAATTAGCTAAAATATGACTTTTTACCTTCCTCTCAGTTTTATAATTTTCACTATCCTAATGTAATGACATGGTTTAAAAATGAATAGAATAGGTCAAGAGAAAGGTATATATTATAAAGTAACATTTATTTTTATAAGTAGAAGTATTGATGAACCTACTATTTCAGTCAGAGTTTCATCTGTGAAAGAAAACCCACAACAGACATTGTAATAGAGTTGAGAAAGAAAAGAACAACTTCTTCATCTGACAGCTGGGAGTTGACCGTTATATGTTCCTACTGAACATGAACAATTTCAAATAATACCTGTGCAAAATGAATTGAATTGAGAGAGACAAAAACAAAATCACTTTGCAAACCTGTCTTAACACAGACAAAAACAAAAACACTGTACAAGAAAATGACCACCAAACCACTCTCCCAGCAAACACTACTGGCTGCTACTTTTTCACAGTTACAACTTTAAATCTGCTCTGTTCTGTGCACAACCTAAATAAAAATTACTAAGGTAACAAAGAATATAACTAACCACACTTTTGATAGCACTCATTCCAGAGCAAAAACAAAGAAATAAACAAAAGCTATTTCCTTGAATTCTTACCCAAATCACCGAACACAAGCTCAGATCTTATGAAGAATCCATTCTATTCATAAGATCCATTCTATTCCATTATCACCATCTTTTTGAGATATCTAATGCTTCCCTTTGTGTGTGCTCTCCCTGGTTGTGGCAAAGAACCCAAATTTGACTAAATGTATGTTCCTGGTAGTAGCTGTCTGATGAGAATCTACAGAAGAACTTTTAAAATAGTGTAATAAAATAATAGAAACAGAAAACTGAAGAAGTAAGGCAACCCTAAGATTAGCCATAGCAAGCAGGTTCTACCACTTCTGGGACTGGGGCGATAGAGAAAGGGGCTGATTTTAAGAAGACAGGAGCCTAGTGAGAACTGAAAACATTGAAGTTTAGATTCCCAGCAGGAACAGAAATCATGGAGGAAGCAGCTATTTGGTGGAAACTGAGACCAGAGGAAGACATAAATACTGCTGGAGAATGTGATGTCAACCACAGGTAAAGGGGAGACATGTTTTATCTTCATATTGACTGAGGATAGGGTGAATTGTCTTTGAGGAATGATGATATCATCCAAAACTGCTATACGTTTTCAAACATGAGATCCCATATTAAACAAAAAAAAACCAAAAAAACAAAAAAAGAAAGAGAACATCAAGAAACAGCACTACTGAAAAATAAAACATACCAATATAATTACAACCCTAGTGACCTCTATATTAGAATTATCTAAATTGGATTTTAAAATAATTCTAATTAATATTTTCAAAAGAATAGATAAGAATGGACCATTTGATCTGAAATCTGAAACTGAACTGTGAAAAGAAAAAAAGCTATAAATCTAGAACTGAAAAAAATATGCAATTGCAATGTATAACTTCATAAGTGAGCTTAACAGGACATCAGATACTGCTGAAAAGAAAATAAGAGAGATTGAAGATAGATCAGTAGTAAATTCCACCAAAGTACAGACATCAAAAGGGATGGAAAGTACAGAAAATATTATAAAACATATACAGGCAAAGAGAGCTACCATCTCACACAAAAAAATTGACTTGTAATTTTAGATTGACTTATGAATAAATTTATACAAGTTGAAAAATATGTTTTTTAATTATGTTAAGTATGTCAATTTCCCCATATAACATTAAAAGAGAAGCTATTTAATTTTTCATGGCTTGTTTAAAATTCACCATTAGGCAAACTGAATTCTCAAGCACATAAAAAGCACATAAAAAAGCCCACACAATCAAGTGGGCTTTGTTCCTGGAATGCAAGTTTGGTTCAACATATGTAAATTAATAAATATGATTCAGCCCACAAACAGAAATAAAAACAAAAAGCATATGATCATTTCGATAGATGCAGAAAAGGCTTTTGATAAAATTCAACATCCTTTCATGTTAAAAACAGTCAAGAGTCTAGGCATCTAAGGTACATACATCAAAATAATAAGAGCCATCTACAGTAAACCTTCAGTCAACAATATACTGAATGGTCAAACTGGGAAGCATTCCCCTTGAGAATTGAAACAAGACAGGGATGCTCACTCTCACACCACTCCTATTTAACGTGGTTCTGGAAGTCCTAACCAGAGCATTTAGGCAAGGGGAAGGAATAGAAGGCATCTAAATAGGAAGAGAGGAAGTCAAAACATCTTACTTCACAGATGACATAATAGTATACCTACAAAAGCCTGTAATTTCTGCCAAAGGGTTTCTTGAGCTGATAAACAACCTTAGCAAAGTTTCAGGACTCCAATCAGCGTACAAAAATTAGTAGCATTTCTATACACCAATAACATCCAAGCTGAAAGCCAAATCAAGAATGTAATACCATTCACAATAGCTACAAAAAGGATTAAAATGCCTAGGAATACAGCTAACCAAGGACATGAAAGATCTCTACAATGAGAATTACAAAACACTGCCGAAAGAAATCAGAGACAACACAAATAAATGAAAAAACATATGCTTATAGATAGGAAGAATCAATGTTCCTAAAATGGCCATCATGCCCCACAAAATTTATAGATTCAGTGTTATTCCTATCAAACTACTAAAAACTTTTTATTCACAGAATTACAAAACAATACTATAAAATTCATTTGGAACCAAATAAAACCCAAATAGCCAAAGCAATCCTCAGTGATAAGAACAAAGCTGAAGGCATCACATTACTCAACTTCAAACTATACAACGAAGCAACAGTAACCAAAACAGCATAGTACTAGTACAAAAGCAGACACATACACCAATGGAACAGTTTAGAGAATGTAAATATAAAGCTTACAACTACAACCATCTAATCTTCAAAAAAGTGAGCAAAGGCAAGCAATGGTGAAAGGATTGCTCATACACTAAATGATGATGGGATAACTGGCTACCCATATGCAGAATACTGAAATTGGGCCCTACCTTTTACCATACATACAAATCAACTCAAGTTGGATTAAAGACTTAAAGGCAAAACCTAAAACTTTAAAACCCTTGAAGAAAATCTATAACATACCATTCTGGACATTGGCCAGGCAAAGACTTCATGACGAAGACTCTAAAAGCAATTGCAAAAAAAATAAAAATTGACAAATGGCACCTAATTAAACTAGAGAGCTTCTGCACAATTAAAAAAAGCAAGAAAAGAAAAGAAAAAATAACCAACAGAGTATACAGACAACTTACAGAATGGGAGAAAATATTCACAAGCTATACATCCGATATAGGCCTAATTTCCAGAATTCATAAAGAACTTAAACAAATTACCAATCAAGAACTTAAACAAATTACCAATCAAAAACAACTTCATTTACAAGTGGGCAAAGGACACAGACATTTTTCAAAAGAAGTCATACATGTGGCAAACAAGCATATGAAAAAAATACTCAATATCACTAATCACTAGGGAAATGCAAATAAAAACCACAATGAGATACTATCTTACACTAGCCAGAGTGGCTATTACTAAAAAGTCAAAATTAACAGATTCTGGCTAGGATGAAGGGAAAAGGAAATGATTATACAGTGCTGGTGGGAATGTAATTAGTTCAGACATTGTGGAAAACAGAGTGGAAATTTCTCCAAGATCTTAAAATGGAACTACCATTTTACCTAGCAGTCCCATATTTGGGTATATACAAAGAAATATAAATTGTTCTACCATAAAGACACATGCCCATGTATGTTCATCACAAAACTATTCATAATAGCAAAGACATGGAATCAACCTTTATGCCCAATTAACGGTGGACTAGATAAAGAAAATGTTGTATATATACACCATGCAATACTATGCAGTCACAAAAAAATGAGATGACATCCCTTGCAGTAACATGGATGGAGTTGGTGGCCAATAGCCTAAGTGAATTAACACAGGCACAGAAAACACAGGCACAGAAAACCAAATATTTGCCATGTTCTCACTTATAAGTGGGAGTTAAACATTGAGTACACATGGACAAAAAGAAGGGAACAATAGACACTGGGGCCTATATTTGAGAGTGTAGGCTGGGAGGAGGGTGAAAATTGAGAAACTACCTATTGAGTATTATGCTAATTACCTGGGTCACAGTATTCTCTCTACACCAAGCCATGTGACATGAAATTTACCCTTGTAACAATTCAGCATATGTACCCCTTGAAACTAAAAGTTGGAAAGAATGAATGAATAAATAAATACTACATGCAAAATAAAATAAAATGTAACAGTTAATATGAAATTTTACCATTGAACAATGTTTAACAAGAAAAAAGTGAAATCAGAGTGATCCCTAACAAATTTTACAACCTATCAATATATTTTAGTTCATTACATTTTTTTTCTCTCAGGTATTTTAGTGCCACGTGGATGTCAATTTTAGTCATATACAAAAGTAAGTGTTCTCAGCTAAATGGACGTATTTATCAAGAAAGAACATCTTGGTCTTGGTTTCTAATTTAGGGTTCTTCTAGTCAGGAATGGACAAATGTTTTCCGTAGAGAGCCAGATAGTGAACATTTTAGGCTTTGCTGTCAATATTGGCTTGGTAGCAACCATTCAACATTGCTGTTGTAGAACAAAATCAACCCTAAACAAGATGTAAGTGAATAGATCGGCTGTGTTCCAAAACAAACCTTATTTACAAAAAATGGTCTGCTGGCAACAGTTTACCAATTCCTGTATTAGCTCAAACATTGATGAAGATAGTTTTGTTGATTAATGTGTTATTAGACCTGAGATGTTTTCATGTTTGTTTGTTTAATATTCTTTTGATGGTAGATAGAGTATTCAAGACGAGGGTGCTTGTTTACCTAAATTCAATTAGCAGCCCAAATTATAGCTGTATTTTGCTAAAATTCTCTCTCAAATACATTGAGAGAAGACCTATCCCAGAAAATAGGTTAATTGAACAACTTACTCTTTAATTCTTTATTCAAAAATTTGTATGGGATATGATTTATGCAAAAGATCATTATGAATGATATGAAACACTGAGGTTCCTGTTTTAAAAAGCAAATATGGGAGACTTGAGTTCAATATGGCTGAATGATGCAACCAGTGAATTCCTACTCCACAGAGAAAAAGCGTAACAGCAAGTAAATAGTCACAATTTGAATAAATCATCTAAGAGCAAACAATAAGATTAAACAGAGAAGTGACAGAGAGCACCAAAAGCGAGTAAGGAGACAGAAGCAAGTCAACCTGCTTGACTGAGATTGGCTGGGACCCTGAAGAAGCTCCCACATGTCGAGAAAAGGTAAGACAGTGATCCTCAGAGTTCCACACCTTCACAATAGTCTTTGACAATCCTAGCTATGGGACAGCCCATCGACCCACATTGGCCTTGATACTAACATAGGGAGCTTCCTAGAGATTGTACAGAGGCATTGATACAGAGAGGGAGCTCACATAGACTCCCACAGGCTTCTGATCCTAAGAAACTACAGCTTGGCACCATTCAGCGAGCTAAACTCCCAAAGAACTGTGTCCTGTGCTGGCCAATGCTGCCAAAGTCACTGCTGAACTAAGGAGGGAGAGGGAAAGCCAGGCACCTTTGTGCACCCTGAGGACAAATCTCCCTGCTGCTGCTGTGGACTCCTGTGGGACTGACACACAGTCAAATTTCACTCTTCACAGCTACTTGCCTATGCAGCCACTGACAGTAGCCCCACCTTCCCAAGTTCAGGCCCGCAGCTGGTGAAATTCTGATAACCTAGCCTCCAAAGATCTGTGTCCTGCCTTTGAGACAGTGCTAACGCCATGGATTCCTCTGCTGAGCCAAGAAGGAGATGGGAGACAGTACTTTCACACACTTTAATGACAAATGCTATCACCACTGTGGGTGGCTGCTGTGAAACTGAGGTACTAAGAAACTATCTGTCCCACAACTACCTTCCTATACTGCACTCACTGACAGTGGCCTCATCCTTTCCAGTGGCAGTCCTGCAGTGCAGCTGCCGCTGAACACACCTGAAAATTCTGCTAGCAGCCTGGGTACCACCCAACCCTTCCTGTCACAACCAGCATCTGAACACATTAGCAAGGGGCCTGCGAATAAGTTAGCTGGCCCAATCTCATTCCCCTAGTATTGATCATGCTGTCTGTTGCCTAGAAATCACACAGCCCAGACTATCACTGTTGGTACCTGAACACTCCTCTCAGGGGCAGAAACAACCTGCCTCTGCAGGTTGCCCAATGTAGTTGGCAACCACCCACAAGTACCACCACCTGTGGCAGCCACCACAAACACTGGCATGAACTGCTTGGGTTCCACTGGTTTGCTCCACCACTAATAATGCCATTGCCAACATCACACCAGCTGCCTAGGGGTTCAAGAACCTGCCACAGACCCAGCCCACTGCTGCCACCAACAACATCTGGGCAAACCATAAGAAGACCTAACACAGAACTGCCTGGGCCCAAAAATACCAGTACCAGGATAAGCCACTGTGAGGCCCAAGGACAGACAAACTCAGCTCACTGCTGCCACCATGGGAACACAACATCTGGCGCACATAGCATTTTACTTCCCAGCAAAACTTCACCACAGCATCTACTGATAACTGCACTCTAAGCAACTGAGGAAATCACAGATAACACTGATGCAATTTACATCTGAAGAAATTCTACAGAGATCACACTGCTGCAACCAACTAAAATCAAAGCCAGAATGCCCTACCCAACCATAAACATATATATCTTCAGGAAAAAGTCCCCCTACACAAAAGCTACCTAAAAAAATTGGAAGAAGCAACTATTATACCAGATGTGTGGATGTCAATGTAAGGATACAGGAAAAATGGGAAAGCAAAAAAAATCTGACACTTCCAATGGAACACAATAATTCTACAGCAACAGATCCCAATTGAAATAACATTTGCAAAATCACTGAACATAGAATTCAAAATATGGATTTTAAAGAAGCTCAATGAGATACAAGAGAGTTCTAAAAAAAATACAACAAATTCAGAAAAGTAATTCTGAATATAAATGAAAAATTTATCAGTTAGATATTCTTTAAAATGAACCAAACAGAAATCAGGAAATAAAGAATAAATAAAATATAAAACGCAATTGAAAGCTTCAACAATAGATGTACTATCTTAATTTAACAATATATTAATCTAATCAAGCAGCAAAAAAAACTCAGAACTTGAAAACAAGTGTTTTGAATTAATCCAGACAAGCAAAAGTAAAGAAAAAAAATAAAGAAAGAAAAGCCAAGCACTGTGTCATTTAGGACAATATAAAGCAACCAAATATTCAAATTATTGGTATCCCCAAAGTTGAAGAGAAAATGAAAGGGTTAGAAAATTTATTTAATAAAATATTAGCTTAAAACTTCCCAAGTTGAGTAAGACATCTAGACTTCCACACAGAGAATGCCCCCAAATCCCCAAACAGATATCATGCAAAATGGTCATCTTCATACCACATTGTGGTTAAACATACCACATTGTCTTTTACTAAGACAAAGTAAAAGACAAGAAACTAAAAGCAGCAAGAAAAAAGCATCTAGTCACCTATAAAAGAACTCTCATCAGACTGACAGAAAATTTCTCAGCAGAAACCTTGCAGGAAAGGAGAGAATGAAATGACACATTCAAAGTGCTGAAAAAAAAATGTCACCCAAGGATATATTTTTAAAAATTATCTTTCATAAATGAACAAGAAATAAAGTCTTTCCAAATGAGCAACTGCTGAAGGAATTTATCACGACTGGACCTGTCCTACAAGAAATGCTTGAGAGAGTCCTAAGCTTAGAAGCAAAAGGATGACATTTATAATCAAGAACATACACAAAAGTATAAAATTCAGTGGTAAACCAAACACACAATGAGAAAGAGAATGGCCTCAAATGCTACCACTACAGTATACCACCAAATCACTATGACAAACAATAAGAGAAAATGAAAGGAACAAATAATATTAAAAACAAAAATCAAATAAAAGTAATATGATAGTAAAAAAGATCACATAGAAATAATAGCCTTGAATGTAACTTGATTAAATTCCTCACTTCAAAGATAGAGACTGGCTGAACAAAGAAACATGATCCAACCATGTGCAGAAAAAAAAAAAAAAAAAAAAAAAAAAAACTTTACCTGAAAAGACACATGTAGACTCAAAGTAAAGAAAAGGAAAAAGATATTTCACACAAACAGAACCAAAAGCAAGCAGAAGTATCTATACGGTTATCAGATAAAACAGACTTTAAGTCCAAAACAATTTTTTAAAAAATGACAAAGAAGGTCACTATATAATGATAAAGAGATCAAGAGGATATAAAAGTTGTAAATATATATGAACTCAACAATGGAGAATTTCAATTCATAAAGTAAATATTACTATATCTAAAGAGAGAGACTTACTAGATTACTAAATCTAAAGAGAGAGATAGACTCCAATAAAATAATAGTGAGAGACCTCAACACCCCACTCTCAGCATTATACAGATTATCTAGACAGAATATCAACAAAGAAACATTAGATTTAAATGGGACTCTAGACTGGATAGACCTAAGAAACATTTACAGAACATTTTATCCAACAATTGCAGAATACATATTATTCTCATCAACATATAAAAATTCTTCAAGATAGACCATATGTTGGGCCACAAAACAAGTGTAAAAATATTTTAAAATTAAAATTATACCAAGTATTTTCTCAGACCAGATTAGCATAAAATCAGAAATTCACATTCAGAAATTCACATTACGGAAAACTTCAGAAAAAATACAAATACACTGAAGTTAAACAACATGTTTCTAAATGACCATTGGCTCAATTTAAAAAATAAGATGGACATTTAAAATTTTCTTGAAACAAATGAAAATGGAAACACAACGTTTCAAAACTTGTAAGACACAGAAAAAGGAGTGCTAAGAGGGAAGTTTATAGCAATAAATGCCTATATCAAAAAAGTAGGACAATTTTAAATAAACAACTTAATAATGCACATCAAGGAAACAGAATAACAACAAAAATCCCCACAAAATTAGTGAAGGAAGAAAATAATAAAGATCAGAGCGGAATTAAATGAAATAGAGACTAAAAATATAATACAAAGAATCAGTGAAGCAAACAGTTGGTTTTTCAGAAGACAAGCAAAATTGACTAACCTCTAGCTAGACTAATCAAGAAAAGAAGAGAAAAGACCCAAATAAACAAACTCAGAAATGGGAAAGAAAAGAAAATAGAAAAGAAAAGAAAGAAAGAAAATCAAAATTACAAAAGATCATCAGAGACTATTAGGAGCAACTATACACTAACAAACTGGAAAACCTCAAGGAAATGGATACATTTCTAGAAGCATACAACCTACCAAGATTGAGTCAGGAAGAAATGAAAAATCTGAACACACCAATTATGAGTAGCAAAATTAAATCAGAAATAAGGTCTTTCAACAAACAAAATCCCAGGACCAGATGGATTCACAGCTGAATTCTACCAAATATATAAAGAAGAAATAATACCAATACTCCTTAACTATTTTTAAAACATTGAAATGGAAGGAGCTCTCCCTAACTTATTCTCCAAGACCAGCATCACCCTGATACCAAAACCAAACAGGACCACAGCAAGGAAAAGACTACAAGCCAATACCACAGATGAAGAGAGACACAAACATTCTCAAGAAATACTAGCAAACTGTATACAACAGCGTATCAAAAACAAAAACAAACAAAACAGCATAACCAAGTGGGATTTGTACCAGGGATAAAAAGATGTTGGAATATACACAAATCAATTAATGTGATACATCACATGAAAAGAATGAAGGACAGAACCATATGACCATATAAATAAATGCAGAAAACATATTTGATAAAATTCAACATTTATTCATGATGAAAACTCAGCAAACTAAGAATAGAAGAATCTTACCTCAAAGCAATAAATGCCATATATACTGTATCCATTGTTCCTTATCCTCAGCTCTGGGAGGCAGAGGTGACTCTGCCACAACTTTTGTCACCCTATGGAATGCACAGACTGTTAACATTCAGGAAAAAGGCCATAGAATTCTCTCTGGAGGAGTAGGAATGACTGAACTCTGCACAGCAGAATTTGTATAAGAATGTGATGTTAGATAACTACAGAAACCTGGTTTCCTAGGGTCTTAAAATCTCTAAGCCAGACCTCATCACCTGTCTGGAGCAAATAAAAGAGCCATGTAATGTGAAGAGCCATGAGACATAGCCAAACACCCAGGAATTTTCTTTGTGATCACCTTTAGAAATGGAGAATACATAAAACATCATAAGCTTATAAAATGTATATTTTAATCATATAACAACTTCAATTGAATTAAAAAAAAAAAACCCTATACTTTGAGTACTACATTCCTGCACCACCACCACCACTGGTGCAAACACACATGCAGAAACCTGTTGCCCCACAACCACCCGCTTGCTAAGCTGCCACCACCACTACTATGAACGTCCATTCAGAGGCCAGCAGTCTCATGCCCACCAGAGCCACACCCTAGGCAATAAGCATGCACCCTGCCATGCTATCACTGGTGCTGGCAGGTGCAAACAAGCACAGAACCTGCCGCTGCCCTCTTACAAAAAACTTTGGCTGCCACAACCCATTGGAGGCATTGTTACCACCCAGTGGTCTGGTAACACCTCAGCTCCTCCAATGTAGCAGGTTCCTAAACACGATGGGCCAGAGAACAAAGCCGAGAGCCCAATACCTGCCACCCAGAGATAGAGCACGCAACACTGGAGTACTGAGCTGAGCCTTAGCCCCCTAAACTATTTCAGAAATGAAGCCAGTAGACTGAACCCATCTTAGACTATAATCAAACCCTCAAGGATATTAAAGAAGCTAAAATCAAAACAAAATCCATCCAAACGACAGCAGCTTCAAAGATTAAAGGTATATCAGCCCCCAAAGAGAGAAAGAACCAGGACAAAAACTCTGGCAACTCAAAAAGCCAGAGTGTCTTCTTACTTCCAGATAACTGTATTAGTTTCCCAGCAATGGTTCTTAATCAGGCTGAAATGGCTGAAATGCCAGAAAAAGAATTCAGAATTTGGATCGGAAGGAAGATCACTGACATTCAGGGGAAAGTAAAAATTCAATCCAAGGATTCTAAGGAAGATAATGAAATGACATAGTAGATGAAAAATGAAATGGTATTTTAAGAAAGAACCAATCTGATCAGATAAAGCTGAAAAGCTCATTACAAGAATTTTAGAATACAATCACAAGTATTAACAGCAGAATTGACCAAGCTGAGGAAACAGTGTCAGAGCTCACTGATATAACTTAGACCAAAAGAAAGAAACAATAAAGAAGAATAAACAAAACCTCCATGAAATATGGGATTATGTAAAGACACCAAATCTATGACTCATTGGCATCCCTGAGAGAATGAGAGAAAGCAAGCAACGTGAAATACATATTTTAGGATCCACTCATGAAAAATTTCCCAACCTCACTAGAGAGGTAAACATTCAAATTCAAGAAATGCATAGAACCCCTGAAAAATACTACACAAGAAGACCATTCCCAAGACATATGTTTATCAGATCATCCCCATGACACATAGTCTCCAAGATTAAAATAAAAGAAAAAAATGTTAAAGGCAGACAGAGAAAAATGGGAAGTAACCTGCAAAGGGAGCCCCATCAGGTTAATAGCAAACCTTTCAGGTGAAAACCTACAAGCCAGAAGAGATTGGCAGCTGTACTAGTCTGTTCTCACACTGCTATAAAGACATAGCCGAGATTGGGTAATTTATAAAGGAAAGAGGTTTAATTGACTCACAGTTCTACATGGCTGGGGAGGCCTCAGGAAATATACAATCATGGCAGAAGGCGAGAGAGAAGCAAAGGCATGTCTTACATGGTGGCAGGCAAGAAAGAGAACAATGAATGAAGGAGGAGGAACCCCTTATAAAACCATCATATCTCATGAGAACTCACATACCATCATGAGAACAGTATGGGGAAAACACACACCCATGATTCAATCACCTCCCACCAAGTCCCACCTTCAACACATGGGAATTGTGAGGATTACTTATGCTTCATGATAAAATTTGGGTGGGGACATAGAGTCAAACCATATTAGGGGCCTATATTCAACATTCTTAAAGATGGGAATTTCCAATTAATAATTTTATATTCAGCCAAACTAAGCTTCATAAGCAAAGGAGAAATAAGATCTTTTTCAGACAAGCAAATGCTAAGGGACTTTATTACCACAAGACCTGCCTTTCAAGAGTTTCTGAAGATATAGCTAAATATGGAAAGGTAAGACCACTAACCAGCCACTAAAAACAAAAAGAAAAACAAAAAACTCACTTATGTGCATAGACCATTGACACTATAAAGCAACAACACAAACAAGTCTGTATAATAACTAGTTCACAACTCAATGACAGGATCAAACCCACACATATCAATACTAACCTTAAATATAAATAGGCTAAATGCCTAAATTAAAAGGCACAGTGTCAAGCTAGATAAAGAACCAAGATAAAATGATATGCTGTCTTCAAGATAATATGCTGTCTTAAATGCAATGACACCCATAGGCTCTAAGTAATAAGATGGAAAGAAATCTACCAAAAAATTGAAATCAGAAAAAAGCAGGGATTGCTTTTGTAATTTCAGACAAAACAGACGTTAAAAGAGATCAAAGAATACAAAGAAGAGCATTACATAATGGTAAATGACTCAATTCAACAAGATCTAAGTATCCTAAACATACACGCACCCAAAGCCAGGGCACCCAGATTCATAAGCAAGTTTCTAGAAACCTATGAAGAGACTTAGATAACCATACAATAATACTTGGAGACTCAATACCCCACTGGCAGTAGTAGACAGATCATTAAGGCAGACAACCAACAAAGATATTTCTGAACTCGGCCAGGCCGGTGATTCACGCCTGTAATCCCAGCACTTTGGGAGGCTGAGGGGGGTGGATCATGAGGTAAGGAGATCAAGGTCATCCTGGTTAACACAGTGAAACCCCGTCTCTATTAAAAAATACAAAAAAATAGCTGGGCGTGGTGGCAGGTGCCTGTAATCCCAGCTACTCAGGAGGCTGAAGCAGGAGAATCGCTTGAACCCGGGAGGTGCTGGTTGCAATGAGCTGAGTTTGCACCACTGCACTCCAGCCTGGGCGACAGAGCGAGACTCTGTCTCAAAAAAAAAAAAAAGGTATCTCTGAACTCCACACTTGATGAAATAGACCTACTAGACATCTAGAGAACCCTACCCCCAAAACAACAAAATGTACATTCTTCTCATCTTCACATGGCACATACTCTAAAATCAACCAAACAATAGGATATAAAACAGTCCTCAGCAAATTCAAAACAACCAAAATTGTACCAACCACATTTCTGTACCACAGCACGATAACAATAGAAATCAATACTAAGCAAATTGCTTATAATTATACAATTACACAGAAAATAAACAATCTGCCCCTGAATTATTTATATGCAAACAATGAAATTAAGACAGGAATCAAGAAACCCTTTGATACAAATGAGAGCAAAGATACAACATACCAGACTCTGGGATATAGCAAAAGCAGTTTTAAGAGAGAAACACTCAAATTGAAAAGTTAGAAAGATCTCAAATTAACAACCTAACATCACAACTAGAAGAATAATAGAAACAAGACTAAACTAAGCCCAAAGCGAGCAGAAGACAAGTAAAAAAAAAAAATCAGATCTAAAGGAAGCTGTGAAAAAATCAGGAACTGTTTTTTGTTGTTGTTGTTGTTGTTTTTGAAAATTTAGTAGGATAGATGGACCACTAGCTAGACAAATAAATAAGAAAAGAGAGAAGATCCAAATAAACACAATCAGAAATGACAAAGAAGACATTACCATTGACCCCAAAGGGGGATAAAAAAAAACCTCAGAGACTACTTCTATGCACACAACCTAGAAAACCTAGAATAAATGAATAAATTCCTGGAAGCATACAACCTTCCAAGATTGAACTGGGAGAAAATTGAATCCCTAAAGAGACCAATAATGAGTTCTAAAATTGAATCAGTAATAAAAAGCCTACCAACCAGAAAAAGCCCAGGACAAGATAGATTCACAGCCAAATTTTAGCAGATCTATGAATAAGAGCTGGTACCATTCCTACTGAAACTATTCCAAAAAAATTGAGAAGGGACTCTACCCTCAATCCTTCTATGAGGCCAACGTCATCCTGATACCAAAATGTAGCAGAGACACAACAAAATAAGACAACTTCAGGCCAATAACTTTGATGAATACTGATGCAAAAATCCTCAATAAAATACTTGCAAACTAAATCCAGCAGCATGATCAAGTAAGCTCTATCCTTGGGATGCAAGTTTTGTTCAACATATGTAAATCAATAAATGTGATTCACCACAAAAACAGAACTTTTTAAAAGCACATAATCATCTCAACAGGTGCAGAAAAGGCTTTCGATAAATTTCAACATCACTTCATGTCAAAAAGCCTGAATAAACTATGCATTGAAGTAATATACTTCAAAATAATAAGAGCCATCTATGACAAACACAGCCAACATCATATTGAATGGGCAAAATTTCTAAGCATTCCACTTGAAAACCAAAACAAGACAAGAATGTCCTGTCACCACTCCTATTCAATATAGTACTAAAAGTCTTGGCCAGAGAAATCAGGCAAAATAAATAAACAAATAGAGGGCATCCAACTAGGATGAAAAGAAGTCAAACTATCTCTGTTTGCAGATGATATTATTCTAATACCTAGAAAACCACACAGTCTCTACTCAAAATAACCAATTCAACAAAGTTGCAGGATATAATTTCAATGTACAAAAAAATCATAAGCATTCCTATATAACAACAACATCCAGGCTGACAGCCAAATCAAGAATGCAATCCCTTTCACAACAACCACAAAAAGAAGATAGAGGAATACAGCTTACCAAGGAGGTGAAAAATCTCCTACTCAAGAACCCTACTCAAAGAAATTGGAGATGACAGAAATGACAGAAATGACAGAAATGACAGAAATGTAAAAACATCTCATGTTCATTGATAAGATGAATCGATTTTCTTAAAATGGCCATACTTCCCAAAGCAATTTACAGATTCAGTGCTATTCTTAGTAAACTACCAATGACATTCTTGACAGAATTAGAATAAACTATTTTTTTAAATTCATGTGGGACCAAAAAGAGCCTGAATAACAAAGGCCATCTTAAGCAAAATGAACAAAGCTGGAAGCATTCCATTACCCAACTTTAAACTACTACAAGGCTACAATAACCAAAACAGCATGGTACTGTTACAAAACAGGCACATAGTCCAATGGAACATAATAGAGAGGCTAGAAATAATGCTACATACCTATAACCATCTGATCTTCATTAAAGTCAACAAAAACAAGTACTGCTCATTCAATAAATGGTGATGTGATAACTGGACACCTATATGCAGAAGATTGAAACTGGAGCCCTTCCTTATACCAAAACAAACATTGACTCAAGATGAATTAAAGATAAATGTAAAACCTAACACTATAAAAACCCTGGAAGATAACCTAAGAGATACCATTCTGGATGTAGAACTTGGCAAAGGCTCCATGACAAAAACTCCAAAAGCAATTGGAAAAAACACAAAAACTGACAAATGGCACCTCATTAACTAAAGAAATTCTGCACAGAAAAATGAACAGAGTAAACAGACAACCTACAGAATGGGAGGAAATATTTGTAAACTATGCATTTGACAAAGGTCTAATATCCTGAATATATATAAAACTAAACAAAAAGCAAAAAACAAACTACTTGATTTAAATGTGAGCAAAGAACAGGAATGGACACTTTTTAAGAAAAGACGTACATGCATCCAACAAGCATATGAAAAAGTACTCAACGTCACTAATCATTAAATAATGTTAATCAAAACCACAGTGAGATACTATCTCACACCAGCCAGAATTGTTATTATTAAAAAGTCAAAAAATAATAGCTGCTGGCACGGAAGCAGAGAAAGGGAAATGCTTATATATTGCTGGTGGAAATGCAATTAGTTCAACCACTGTGGAACACAGTTTGGTGATTTCCCAGAGAACTCAAAGCTGAATTACCATTCGACCCAGCAATCCCATATTTGAGTATATACCCAAATGAATATTAATGATTCTACCATAAAGACACATGTACATGTATGTTCATCGCAGCACTATTCACAATAACAAAGACATAGAATCAACCTAGATGCCCACCAACGGTAGACTGGATAAAGAAAATGTGGTACACATACACCATGGAAAACTACACAGCCATATAAAAGAATGAGACCATGTCCTTTGCAGCAACACAGATAGAACTGGCAGCCATTATTCTAAGCAAACTAATACAAGAACAGAAAATCAAATATTGCCATGTTCTCACTTATAATTGGGAGCTCAATATCAAGTACATAATGAACACAAGTAAGGGAAAAACAGACACTGGGGCCTACTTGAGGGAAGAGAGAGGGAAGACGGTGAGGATCAAAAAACTACCTACCAGATACTATGCTTATTTCTGAGTGATGAAATAATGTCTATACCAATCCCCCATGACTTGCAACTTATCTGTATAACAAACCTGCAGTATGTACCCCTGAACCTTAAATACAAGTTAAGAAAATAAAGGCCCTATATAAGAAACTCACAGCTAACATTATACTGAATGAGGAAAAGCTGAAAGTTTCCCTCTAAGATCTGTAACAATACAAGAATACCCACTTTCACCACTACTATTCAATAGTGGAAGGGCTAGCCACAGCAGCAATAAGGCAAGAGAAAAAATTAAAAGACAACCAAATTGGAAAAGTATAAGTCAAATTGTCCCTTTTTACTGATAATATGATTTTATTTCTGTAAAAAACTAAGGCTCCACCAAAAGTCTCCTCAATACTATAAATAAATTGAATAAAGTTGCAGGACACAAAATCAGCATTCAAAAATCAGGAGCATTTCTATACATTATATTGAGCTAGCTAAAGAAATCAAGGCAATCTCATATACAATAGATTGTAACCTTAACCAAGGAAGTGAAATATTTCTACCAGGAGAACTACAAAATACTGATGAAAGAAATTAAAGATGACACAAACAAATAGACATCCCATACTCAAGGATCAAAAGAATTAATGTCATTGAAAACGAGCATGCTCCTCAAAGAAATCTACAGATGCAATGCAATCCTTAACAAAATAGTAACATCATTTTTCACAGAATTAGAGAAAGTAATCCTAAAATTTGTATGGAGCCCAAAAAGACCCCAAATAGCCAAAGCAATCCTGAGCAAGAAGAACAAAACTGGAGGTATCACATTACCTGACTTCAAAATATATTACAAAGGTAGCCCAAACAGCAGGATATTGGTAAAGAAACAGACACAGAGATTAATGGAACAGGATAGAGTCCAGAAATGAATCCATATACTTACATCTAAATGATTATTTTTAAAAGCACCAAGAGCCTACTCTTGGGAAAGAACACTATCTTCAATCAATGGTACTAGGAGACATTGGATATCTGAATACAGAAGATTGAAAATGGATGCCTATCTCTCCTCACATACAAAAATCAACCCATGATGGGTTAAAGACTTAAACATAAGACCTGAAAGTATTAAACTAGGTAGAAAAACAACAGGAAAAATACTTCAAAGGTGTTTTAGGTCTAGGCAAAGATTTCATGTCTAAGAACTAAAAAGCACAAACAACTCTAACAAAAATAAGGGAATGAAACTATATTAAACTAAAAAGCTTCTGTACAGCAAAAGAAACTATCAACAACTTGTTAAATGGAATAAAATATCTGCAAACTATTTATCTAATAATGGACTAATATACAGAACATACAAGCAACTCAAACAACTGAACAATTAAAAAAACTCATTAAAATTGGGCTAAAGACATGAACAGACATTGCACAAAAGAAGCATACAAATGGCCAATAGGTATATGAAAAATATGCTCAATATCACTAAGCATCAGGGAAATGCAAATCAAAAACACAATGAGATATTATCTTACTCCAGTTAGAATGGCTATCAGGACCAAAAAAAAAAAAAACCATGTTGGAGAAGATAAGGAGAAAACGGAACTCTTATACAATGTTGGTGAGTATGTAAATTGGTACTACTATGGAAATCAGTATGGCGAGTTCTGCAAAAATTAAAAATAGAACTACCATATGATTTAAGAATCCTACTTCTGGATATTTATCCACAGAAAAATAAATCTGTACATCCAAGGGATACCTGCGCTCACATGTTTATCACAGCACTATTCACTATAGCAAATATACGGTATCAACCTAATTATCCATTGTAGAAAAATGGATAAGGTTTTTCTGTGGTATATATCCACAGTGGCATACTATTCATTGATAAAAAAGAATGATGTCATTTTCAGCAGCATGGATGAAACTGGAGGTTATTATGTTAAGTGAAATAAAGCCAGACACAGAAAAATAGATGACAGATGTTCTCACTAATATGTAGGAGCTCAAAAACCTGATCCAATGGAGATAAAGAACGATAGATACCAGAGCATGGAAACAGTGTGTGGGTGGGAGGAGGGGATAAAGAGAGGTTGGTTATGGGTACAAACATACAGTTAGAACAAGCAAGTCACAATATTAGATAGCAGAGTAGGGTGAATATGGTTAGCAACAATGTATTGTATATTTCAAAGTAGCTACAAGAGAGGACTTAAAATTTTACCAACACACGAAAATGATAAGTATTTGGAGTGACGGATATCCCTAAGATTCTGATCTGACCATTATACATTCTATGCCTATAATAAATACTCACATATAACCTCATAAAGTTTAAAGTATTTTGTATCGATAAAAAATTAAAAATCCAAATACGTACTTGTGTACATATACACCTTTATTCTATGTATTGATAAACATATACCTGTACTTTATATTATTTATTGAAAAACCAACAATAGTATACTCAACTTTATACCAATAGTTATTATGAAAATGATGCGGTGAATAGGGGCAATTATTAATTTTCAGGCATTTATTTTGCTTTTAGTAAATATTCAATGCAAAATATCAAATAGAGCCATCCTATTCTTGGAGATAAAAATAAATTTTGATGTTAAACCAACATTCAACACATGATAGGAAAACTATTGTGTGTTGGTATCCCTTGGGATAGACATTTAGGAATCCCTGGCGATAGAAAGAAGGTATGGGCAGGTCCTTATATTTTCCCTAGTAACCTCAGGTTTCAGGTTTCTTCACTGATAAAATTCTAGAACATCCCATGGTTTCCTGATTCTGTGCTCTTTTCCTCTGTCACTTTAAACAAATGGATACTTCACTACTTAGAAAAATTATCTAAAATGTGGAAATAGGACAAAAAGATAACCATATTTTTTCAATGTCATACTGAAACATTTTCTAATAGGTCCACCAAAGGATTTCTGAGCAGCAGAAAATATTATCTTAAAAGTTATATTTTTATTGCCCTGTAGAATATTTCATATATACATATATGTACATATAGATGTACATATATTACATATATACATATAGATATATATACACACACACACACATGGAATATATGTCCAGATATATATCCTATACATAACATGGTATATTCCATATATAATATATAACATATACATAATGTATATAGTATATCCCGTGTGTGTGTATGTGTGTGTGTGTATTTATATGTGATATGGTTTGACTGTATCCCCACTCAAATCTCATCTTGAATTGTAGCTCCCATAATTCCCATGTGCCATGGGAGGGACCCAGTGGGAGGTAATTGAATCATGGGGGTGAGTCTTTCCTTGTTGTTCTTGTGACAGTGAATAAGTCTCATGGGATCCGATGGTTTTATAAAGAGGAGTTCCCCTGCACATGCTCTCTCTCTTGCCTGCTGCCATGTAAGATGTGATTTTGCTCTTCCTTTGCCTTCCCTCACTATTGTGAGGCTTCCCCAGTCACATGAAACTGTGAGTCCATTAAACCTCTTTTTCTTTATAAATTACCCAGTCTCAGGTATGTCTTTATTAGTAGCATGAAAACAGACTAATACAATATGCAAATTTATCTAAATATTCTTTTGAGTAAATAACTATAGAAATCTATATTCTTCATTTTTTACCTGAACCAACTTAGCTATCCTAAAAGTTCTCTCATTAATAAGTTAGTCATTGAATGCTATCAACTATAAACTTACATAAGAGTAATCTTTTAGTAAAAATTATATAATGGCAACTCCACTTCCTATACTCCATGCTATCACTATTTGATATTGCATGTGTAACTAATTTTACCAAAGTTCTGAAGCAGAGAAATAGTTACAGCACATACAGACATACAATGAAGACTGAATCTGAGATCTGACTGCTGTTAAGTTTCCTTTAGTTATCTCTAAAAAGGGGGCTGACTTTTTATTGTGTGCTCCAACATCTGTTATATCTCTTTCCTCTGACATCCTCCCTTCATCTTTCTAATTAATTACATCTTCTCTTTTTCCCAAACAAAAATTTATATTAATTTACCCACAGACTAGTTTAGCTATAATTTTTAAAATTATATCCTAGTCCATTAAGGCTATTCTCCGACACCTTCACCTATGTACACAAAGACAACTGCTAAAAGAAATATCTAAAATAGTGTTATTTTTCTCCTAAGGTCAGGTTGTTAAAGAGACTGAAGTTTTATATGAAAACAAGAAATTGATCTGTAGAATAAAAGTACAGAAGTGTGAAAAGGCTTGAGAAATGGGAGGTGGGGAAGACCTTTCAATCAAGAGGGTAGCAAGAGGAATCAATATCCTAAGCCCTAATTCAGTCAGGCTATATTTAAGTTTGTAGAAACATCTAAAGAAGAGTTTAATATCAGAGTACTATTGAAGAATCTTTGAGGAAGAGCAGAGAAAAGAGAGAATAAAGCATCTGAACAACATGAAAATAATTTTATGGGGAAGAATATATAACCAGAGAGTTGATATTTTGCCAAGTACTAAGGATGAGAAGGATGAAAACTGTGTGATAACATGTCTGGACCAAGAAATTCCTTATCAAGACAGAGCTTCAGCATTGTAAACATAGAAAACTCATCGATCAGAATGTAAAAGGCCAATGATGAAAGAAATTATCTATGCTAACAGAAGGGCATCCTGCCACAAGAGAGGCAGTGTGACAGGAGACGAAATGATACATCGGCATCTGACAAAGATAAACTTAGCCTTGATGACGTATTTGGTTATAAATTACATTTGAAAAAGAAAAGCAGCCACTGACATCTGGGTTCTAGCCTAGCAATGTCAGCTTTTGATTTTGTAACAAGCTGTCCAGGCACTTACAAATGAGCTGTGCTTTTCTTCTGTTAAACATAAATATTTTCACAGAGCGCCAACATTAGACAAGAATAATCTGTGATTGTGATGAATCAAGGCAAAAACAAGTCTATTCTGTCACAATCACGACTGAACACAGGCGAAAAGGAAAGTTGTCCAAACTCCAAAAATGACCAAACATGTCCTGTATTCTGGCTATTATAAATGACTGCTTCTTAAAAAAAAAACGATTAACTACCCTCTTATCTATCTTCTAAAGAAGAATTATTATAAAGACTCAATTATATAATCATTTCTGTGTCATGGTAATATCAAATTCAGAGAAAAGTCCCACTTCCTTATACCTTCCCCAAAATCAGTTAACACAAGCCCAAATTCTAAAATACATGTTTCTAACCTCCTTTTACTGAGACATTTTTCAGTTCCCTATGGTGTGCATTATCCCTTTTTATAGTGAGTCAATAATCCTAACTTTAAGTATAAGGGTGCTCCTCATAGTCTTTGATGATAGGGCACTGACATATAAAAACAAAATCATTTATTCATAAGCATATGCACTTAGACAATGTTAACACAATGTTCACTCTATAATTTGTATAGAAAGTTCAGTTTTCCTTCTTTCATTCTAGTGGAAATCTTCAGTGAAATAATTTGAAAGATGGCCCAGGCCCAGGATCCTGATCAACAAAATGCTGCTGCACATAGATAGTCTCACAAGGTCACAAAGGAATAGAAAAGTACAAAATATATGTCACAGCAAAGACACACATAGCAGTTACTTGCTGAGGTGTGGTTGAAAACATTTTAGCCTTGATGATCATGGTTAGACCATGTTAAGCTACAAGAATTTGTCTTGCTGAGGCATAGGTAGAACTAAGAATTATAGCCAAAACATGCCAAGTAGCTTCATTTCTGTATCTTCCCCTAAACTGAAACCTACTTACTATTTTTGGATATTATTATATAAACTTCAAGAAAAAGAGCAAAAGCACATCAAAAAAACAAGAGGGTAGGGTTCTTGCTAAAGTCTGTTAATAATATAGTCTACTTTATTCATTTTAGGGCTTTGAAAGAACATTGACAATTATGCTCAATACCAGAACCTAAGAAATAATCTGAATCTTGACTTACCATTATCAGTACTCCTGTAACTATTTGTGTGTGGGTGTGGAAGTGAGAGCTCCTTGGAGGCACTTGTTCATTTATCTAACGCAATTTATCTTAATATTAGCCACTTGTAAGAATTGCAAAAATAACAGTGTCAAGTTTCAACCAGAGACAAAATGTATTATAATCTCTTCTACTTCTACAGGTGTGGGCACTGTTCTTTTTTAAAGAGCTCCCCTGTGAGGGAATGTTGATAATAACTGACAACACAATGGACATAATTCAAATTAATCAGCAGAGTTGTTACCTTCCTTGAAGGATGAGATCAGAGAAACCTTAATCAGAAAAGACCCTACCTACATGGGGTCACTTCACAATTTGCACCAATACTGTACAACTATCAAGGACCAATGAGATTAGAAGTTAAATCTCTCAATGAATATAAGAATAAGTATTGGCTACAATTCCTAAATCCCAGCAAGAGTCAAAACATTATTTCAATTAAGTTTACTCAGAAGTTATGCCAAATTCAAAGCCAAAATGTTCTATTTTATATCATATTTCAATATTTGCCTAATCAACTATTGTCCACCCAAACTTACCAGCCCAGAATAACTCAAATCAATAAATAAGTAAATATCAATGATATAAAATTCACCATACTTGCTTTTACTCTACAGATAAATAACTATTTAAAACACTTAATAAGATGTCAGCAGCAATGGCAGAGTAAGTACCTCCAAACATCATTTCCTCCATGAAAGCAATGCAAAACATGCAGAAATGGTCAAAACCAACTTTTTCACAATTATGAAAATTAACCAAAATTTACAAGAATCCGGGAAACATTTGGTAAATATTGGTAGCAACAGCAAGCTTTGTGGTGTTTGAACATATCCAATCACTCCAGCTCTGCAACAATCTTCAAAACCAGTAGTCCATAATCAAGGTGAAACCCAGCAGACTGATAGACACCGGAGTGGGCAGAACAGGGTTGGTGCCCCTTCTGAGCCTCATTTCCAGAGAATTATCACTATTTTACTTGTCTAGTGGTTTCCTGGAATACCCCTGATAGAAAAGTAGTGTCAATTTGATCTGACTCAGTGCTCAATCATTATGGAAAACCTTTTCTCCAGGAAAATCCATATGAAGAAATAAACGGCACAAGTAAAGGTAAAAACATAGGTATATTTAAAAAACATATATGTGTGTGTGTGTGTGTGTATATACGTATGCATATATCTGTTTCCAAGTCTTACGTCTTATTTTTTCTCTTATCAGATTTAGAAGAAAAATGCATAACCCAATAGTTATAAATTTGCATCGATGGGCACCAAATGGATAATGATGTAATTTTCATGGCAAAAACAGAACAAAGAAGGGGTAGTAAAATAGAGCTATATAATAGCAAATATTTGTATATAATTAAAATTAAATTGATATTGATTCAAACTAGATTGTTATAAATTAAGATAGTAATTTTAATCTGCAGGACAACACGGAAAAATACTAATAAACAGTATACTAAAAATTATAGAGATTAAAATGATACATTAGAAAATACCTATTTAACATAGAAGACAGTAATTGAGGAAAAGAAGAACAAAATAGACAAAATACATATGGGAAACAAATAGCAAAATGGCAGATATAATCCTATCAAATAAGAAATCTCACTAAATGTAAATGGTTTATATAGAAGCAGAGAGCAGAACAGTGGTCACAAGGGACTGGGGAAGATAAGAGAGAGTGGAGGATGGAGAGGTTGGTCAGCAGGTAGAAAGTTACAATTACATAAAAGGAATAAGTTCTGGTGTTCTATCACACGGTAGGGTAAGAGTGGATACCAGTTAAGATATATTTACAAAGCATCTAGAAAAGAGGCTTTCCAGCAACCTCACCACAAAGAAATGATAAATGCATGTGATGGTCACACTAAATACCCTGATTTGATCATTGTGCAACACATACATGTATCAAAACATCAAATCGTACCCCATAAAGATGTACAATTGCATTGCATCAATTAAAAATATATATAATTTAAAATGTAAATTGTTTAATCTCTCCAATGAAAAATAAGAGTATGTCATAAGAGATAAAAAATAAAATGATTCAAGAAAATGAGGTCTAAAAGAGACACACTTTAAAAATCAAAAGCACAAATAGATGGAAAGTAAAATAAAATGGAAACAGACACAACATTTGACAGTAACTAAAAGAGAGCTGAATTGTCTATACTAATAATGAATGAAATAAATTTTTTTCTCTTTTTTTGAGATGGAGTCTTGCTCTGTTGCCCAGGCTGGAGTTCTATGGCATGATCTTGGCTGACTGCAGTCTCTGCCTCCCAGGTTCAAGCGATTCTCATGCCTCAGCCTCCCAAATAGCTAGAACTACAGGCATGTACCACCACGCCTGGATAATTTTTTGTATTTTTATTAGACACTAGGTTTTGCCATGTTGACCAGTCTGGTCTCGAACTCCTGACCTCAGGTGATACACCCACCTCATCCTCCCAAAGTGAGGGGATTACAGGCATGAGCCATAGTGCCTGACCCTAAATAGACTTTAAGATAAAAATTGTTATTAGAGTTAGGGAAGGACATTCAATAATGAAAAATATCCATTCAATCAAAAGATAAATAATACCAAACATATATAAAATAGACAAAAAAGCCCCCAATACGTCAAGCCAAGATTGACAAAATTTATAGGAGAAATAGGCAATTTAATAATAATGTTTGTAGACTTTCATTTCCCACTTTCAATAATCAATAGAACTGGAAAGATTAATCAGATAATAAGTGACTATTAGAGACTTAACAGACATATATAGAACACTATACCCTCAAACAACAAGATAACACATTCATTTCAAATGCACATAGACCATTCTCCAGGACAGACCATGTGTTAGTCAAAACACAAGTCTCAATAAAATTAAAAGGACTGAAAATATATTAAATATGTACAACTATAGTAGCATGAAATTACAAATAAGTAAAAGAAAGGAGGTTGGAAATTTACAAACGTGAAAACTAAGCAATATATTCTTATATAACCAATGATAAAAGAGAAATTAGAAAATACTTGGAGATGAATGAAAATGGAAACATAATATACAAACACATTTGGGAAGCAGCAAAAACAGTACTCAGAGGAAATTTATACTTATAAGTGCCTATATTAACAAAGAGGAATTATTCTAAATCAATTAACTGTTTTAGGATCAAGAATGAAAGAGGGGGTATTACTACCAAATTTACAAAACCTAAATGGATTATAAGAGGATACAAGAAACAATTATGTGCCAAAAAATTAGATAATCTAAGTGAAATGGACTAATTCCTAGAAAGAACAAACTACCAATTCAGACTCAAGAAGAAAGAAAGTCTGAATAGATTAATACAAAGTAAAGACATTGAGTTAGTAATAGAAAAACTTACAATAAGAAAATTTCAGAACCATATGGGCTCACTCGTGAATTTTATCAAACATTTAAAGAAGAACTAACACAAAACACTGATACATTCTTAACAAAAAATAGAGAAAGAAAAAATATTTCCCACTTCTTCCTATACCAATCCAGACAAAAATGCTAAAGAATTTTATCAAAACTCCAAACTGTTGTCAAATCCAAAGTCACAGAATTTGCGCTTATGTTTTCTCCTAGGAATTTTATAATTTTAGTATGAAAGACAACAAATTTGGAGGACTCACATTTTCTGATTTTAAAACTTACTGTAAAGCTACAATAATCCATATTCTGTGTTACTGACATAAAAATAAACATTTTTCATGAAGGGTGCTAAGATAAATCAATAGTGAAAAAGTATTTTCAACAAATAGTCATGAAATACTCACATCCAAAAACATGAAGTTGTATTCCGACCTTGCCCTGTTTCAAAAATTAATTAAATGTGTATCAGTGAACTAAATGTTACCACTAAAAGTATAAAATTCTTGGGAGAAAACAGAAGTGCAAGCTCTGGTTCTGTGATCTTAGATTTGGCAATAGTTTATTAAATAGGATGTATAAAGCAAAAACTACCAAAGAAGGAAAAAAATAGTTAAATGGGACCTTATCAAAAATTTTCAAAATGTGCCTCAATGTGTGCTATGAGAAAGTAAAACGATAACTCATATAATGAAAGAGAATATTTGCAAATATATCTAGTAAGGATCTAGTATTAAAAACATATAACAAACACGACTCAATACAAAACAAATAATCCAATTAAAATTAGCTATAATTTTGAATAGACTTCTTCTAAAAAGATAAATGGCCAATAAACACAGAAAAAGATGCTCAAATTTACACTTTTATAGTATACTTTTACAGTATATACTTTTATATATACTTTTATAGCATAGTCATCAAAATATATACTTTAATATATAAAATATATAATATATTTATATATTATATATAATTATATATTATATATGAGTAAATATTTTATATAAACATATATAAAATATAAAAATATATACTTTTATAGTATAGTCATTAGGAAAATGTAAATCAAAACCACAATGAGATGCCACTTCACACTCTCTACAGTAGCTGAAATGATTTTTAAAAATGGAAAGTAAAAGTGTTTGGTAAGAATGTGGAAGAACTGAAACCCTCATTAATTGCTGGTGGGAATGTAAAATGAAGTAGTCACTTTGTAAAACAGTTTTACTGCTCCTTAAAAATTTAAACATAGGGTTACTGTATAACCAAGCAATTTCACTTCAAGGTATATGTCTAAGAGAATTGAAAAAACACATTCATAAAAAAATGTGTACATGGATGTCCACAGCAGCATCATTCACAATAGTCAGATATTAGAAACAAGCCAAATGTCTGTCAGCCAATAAACAGGTAATGGCCAGTAAATGGGTAAACAATATGTGGTGTATTCATATCATAGAATAGTATTCAGCCATAAAAAGAACAGTGTATTGATTCACACTAAAACGTGCATGACATTTGAAAATACAGTAAGTAAAAGAAGTCAAACACAAAAGACCACATAATGACAATTTACAGAAAATGTCAAGAATAAGAAAATCCAGAGTTAGAAAACAGATTAGCAGTTGGTGGGGGCTTTGGAAAGTGGGAAACAGGAAGTATGACTTTCTTTCTCTTGGGGTAATGAAACTGTTCTGGAATTATGTAGTTGTGATGATTGCACAGTTCTATGATTATACTAAAAACCACCTACACTTTAAAAGGGTGAATTTTGTGGTAAGAGAATTATATCTTAAAAATAAAAACAAAACCCTTCAATTATCCAATTAATTATTTCACTGACAAATGCATTAAAGGCCCTCAAATGGATGTCTCTCTATTTTCCAATAGAGATATTAAGGTTTCCAAATCATCATAATATGTCTTCCTCTCTCCAGAATTTATTCGTTTACAGAATACAAAAACATGTTCTTTGTTTTCATGACTTCTCCAGCTCTATCTGTATGGGCAATCTTTCACTAAATCTGAAGCGACTCACTCCACAACTACTAAAAGATATGCACTCAAGCCTATGTCTCCACTGTGCCCCATTTTTTCAAACTTTCAGAGGGTTAGTAGGAATTTACACAGATAAATTACCAGTTAACAATCTTAATAGCTATTCTTCACTCAATTCCTAATGATTTTAATGTTCCCAAAATAAGATATATATTTTGGCCTGAACCTATGTTGTTATTACAAAATATCAGGGAGGCTGGGGTGAAAAGGTAAAATAAAAGCTAAGTACAATGACTAGCTTAGCTTTCCTGAGTTGCTAGTCAATTTCTAGTCAGTGATGTGTTGTACACCATTCACCAATTCACAGGCCTAAGGCATTCCTGGGGGGGAAAACTATCAAAGAGCTAATTAGGACATCATGCTTCTTATATCTCAGGGAGAATAATACTCTAAGACATGAGCAACCTCTTCTAGAATGTGGTGTCTAAACTCAATTTTATATCTTTTAGAAATTTGTGATTATGGTAACTGTTGTGTGTAAGTTTCCTCTGCGGTTAGCTTTGTCTTCAAAGTGTCATTTCTGCATGAGTTTTAATTTTCTGGAATGTGAAAGGTAAATTATGTGAGTATAGTCTACTCACACACAACTTTAGATAAAGGCAGATGGCATTTTTAAAACTCAATATGTAAGGAATTGTAAAATCACAATTCTTTGCCTTGTAGTGTGTAAAATTTCTTTACCTGGGTAGAAGGTTTCCATAGCTCTTTCTCCCTCTGCTACACTTTTACATACTTCCTAAGACAGATGTTGAAAGCTAAACAGGAAGAAATGTTTAACATAATTTCTCCTCATAACTTTCCTTTCTTCATCTGAATATGTGAAGTAGTTTGTAATCTTTGTTATTCCGATGAATGCACTAACATTTCTTCCCATCACCTATTTGTATCCAAAAAAGGGACCTAATTTAGTTTCTCCTGAAGTCACCAGTCATATCCTCAGCTATGGGTGAGAAACCGGAAAACAGCAACAGAGCATGAATCACCCAGTGTCATTTCTTAGCTCCATCCAGTCCAGATCTTTCCTTCTCCTCCAGGAATAATCCTGGAGATATTATTCCCCAGGTCTTTGGTATTCATAGTTTTATGGCCCTCTTTGTGGCTTCCTTACTCCCACTAATAAAGCTATTCTCAATTATATGTGATCTTGATAATTCCGTGTGGTAACTTGTACCAGAGTATCTGTACAATTCATTAGTTGTTTCTGAAAAGGAATTTGCCTGGTAAACCCTAGTGCCCCAGCCTTACCTTACTGCCAAACCCATGTCAAAATAGCCACCAGCTGACTTTGAAGAGAGAGACACAACAGGGGAAACCACTTAAACTTGGGCTGAAGGCTATGGTTCCTTCTCATGATATCCCAATTCCTCACTACTGTGGCCCAGTAGGCTTGATGTTGATCCAGGATAATATCTAATCTTCACATTGCTTGTGAAGAACAAAGAAGTGGGATTGATGGTAGAAACTTGTACTCTCTTCAGGGGTCAAAAGCACCATAGGGTGCAGAGCATGCTGGAGAACTTCATTTCATAAGCAGAGCCTTTTCAGAGAGATTATTACAGTTCTCAATGGCTCTGTCATTGGCCATATGCAGCTCTTTAAGCCTTATAATTTCTGTTGGCAGCAGGTGTGGAATCCTTTGGTGATTATTTTGTAATAATCATAGACACATGAATCAAGGGTGAGCCTGCTAAGTGTAGGTATGGTGTTCAATGTCTATAGGACAAGACATTAGTGACTTTTTAATATGCATGTGTGCTGAATGACTTATTAACCACTTTCAACTGAAAAGGTAAAGCTAATAATCAAGGAAATATGAAATCCTTCTTTGCCCTGAAGAATTTTTTTCTCTTTTACAGAGACAGAATTCTGGAGGTAGAAGCAACATAAAGTTAAGGGCCTTCTTGTGGATTACATAAAACATAAGTAGGAAAATAGCACTCTATCCTAAGTTCTTCGAAGTGCAATTAAGTTTTCTTACCTCTAGCTAATGAGGAAAGACCAATAAAAGCACCACACAAACAATTACTAAATATATGAATTGCTAAATATTCTACTTTTTCCCATTATCTGAAAAGATATTTCTGCATAGTAGGAATACTACTAAGATAAAATAAACACAAAGATATAAAGTATAGCACTTCTGTCAGAAATTTATTTTCATTAATTGAATAAAAATGTATTGAATTCCAACTAGGTGCCTAATTCTGTAATAGGCATTGGGGCAGCCTATGTAACTAAGGTATTGGCTCTATCTTTACTCAAACAAGTAGTTAATAGCTCAGTGGGAAAATGAATTCATAACATAATGTAATGCATGCACTGTAGAGGCATACTGAACAGAAAAGAATGAAGCTTTTCCATTTGGTTTACATTTATCACTTACAACTATTGGTGCATGAATTTTTATGTTGGTATTTTTTTCTTGTCCAGTGTCCCTGAAACTACTTCCACTTCTACCAATTTATGATTTTGAGCTGGACATAGTATAATTTTTCTTTGCTAGAATTGTTGTTCCTTATAATTTCTTTATATATTTTTATCACTTTTGTTCTTTCTTGCTCTACATCCTGCTCTTTATCCCTCCATTTTCCAGTTCTATTTTTTTAAAATGTCTATGGAAAATGCATTCCTTTCAGTTCACGTTTCCCCTTGATATGCCCTAATTATTATTTTTGATGGTTTGATTATACTATGTGCTATGTAAAATAGAAAAGTTATTAAGATCACTATTATTAGATTTAGGGGTACCTGCAACGAGCAGTAATAATAAAGCCCAGATTACTGAATTGAGCATCCCTTTTTCTTCTTTAGGTTCAAGTAGGATAATAGGCTGGACACTGTATTCCAGCTTTTCAGTAGCCCCTTTGCTTCTCAACATTCAAGAGGTCCAGGTGCAAAAATATCTAAAAGTTCTTTATACATTTTTCTCAGTTTACTTTCTGTTCTTAGTAAGCTCAAAATCATTAAAGGAACTGAATGAAATGTTAGTTCAGTCTGTTTCTTTCTCAAAGCAGAAGAAAATCTAATAAGGAGTTCTTAAATGAGTTCTATTAAACTTTCAGTACAAAAAATCTTTTGAAAAATGTTCTGGGACATGTCAGAATTTTTGACAGATATAATCATGTTTAACAAACTACTGAAGCTCATGGACATATACAGAAAATAAAATGCAGCATTGATTGAGAAAATAAAGCTATACCTTCCTTGCTGGCAGTAACTGATAACTAATTAAAAATGCTAATATTAAAGTTTACTTGGTAAACATTTTCCTATTTTTACAGAAATAACATGATAAATAGAATATTAGATATTTTTCTTCTTTCACAAAAATGCTATGCTTTCTAGTTTTATAAAACTTTGTAAAAGCTATTCTTTTTGTTAACTGCACCTCTTTGAGATTTAAGGTTTCTGTATTTTATGTAAATACAAGAATGGAAATGCTTTGTAGAACACAATATTCTAAATATTCTTTACGAATTTATGTATTTTTCTGGTATTTTCATGGGCAATGCAACTGTAAAAATGACTATCTGCTTTCCTGTTCATGCAAAGAATATAAGCGTGTTCTTAGGTTCATGATAAAAATTGATTATTAAACATTTTTGTCAATATGTGAGGTCATATCTGTAAGCATAATTTTTCACATAAACACAATTCTAGCAAAGGTACATTAAGAAAATGATTTTTAAATGTAATTTCTGAAAGCAATTTTCTAGCAACAGAAGTATTAAGTGCTGGGAGGAAAAGTGACTCAAATGGGCATCTTGAAAAATTACTTCAAGGTGCCAATTCTGGTTCATTACTTCAAAACCATCAGATGTGCTTGAAATGTATTTTCCCAAATTCTTTAATATACTTGAAATAATAACACTAAGCATTAAAATACATTATTAACACTTAGAATCTTCAGAATCCCTCCACTTAAAGTATCACATTTTAATATTTTTCTTGTTACGTTTTTCTAGAGAATACACAGAATATTACAAACTGAAAAATTTCTGAAACCAATGCTTTAAATCACTAAAATATTCTGCCTAGAATGCATATTTTTATTAATATTATATCTACATTATATCTTTCTTAGCATCATATATATGTATATATATTCTCGTATTTTTTAATTAAAAGCTGTTTGTCCTAGAAACGCTAAATTTTTAAAATGTATGGCTATTAAGCATATAGTTGAGAGTTGGGATAATCATTGATGTAAATATAAGCTTTTTCTTAAAACTATGTATTATGTATTTTTCTAAAATCTATCTGTATAAATGAAGAAAGTTTGGGTAAATTAATTTGCATTATATAAATTCAAGAGTTTGTTATAGTTTGTATACATTTCAATAGTAGTTAACAGTAAATTAAAATGCTTTTTTAAAAGATGTAGCTTGTCATTTGAGAATTGTGTTAGCATAGGGTGTTGCTTTTTCAAATATAGATAAAACAAAAATGTTAAACACATGTAATTACACTACTAAAAATAAAACACATGCAATGCAATTTATTTCATTAATAACATCTGCAAATTTATACGTAAGTGATACGATTTCAAAATGGTGACCATTTTTTCATTCAAAATGGATTATTAGACTGATACATTAAAGGTGCTCTTAAATTTGAAAGGGGAGCAATGGAAATACAGACATTCACTGCTAGTGTTGCTATCAGCAAAGGGATGAAGTACTGGAAAACTGTATTTTAGATGTGTTTCATTTTTGTAAAATGAGTTAAAATCTGCCAATATTTGTTTCATTTATTTCTCCAAATTTAAACTTAATAGTCATGCAATTGGGTACCTCAGTAACACTTCAATTTGATCATGATGAGGATTTGTGTGTGAAGTCATATATGTCATACAAGAGAATCACACAGCTCTGTTCCTTTCTATCTGGGTCTCAGAAAAACTACTTACTCTCTCTGGGTATAAATTTCCTTTCTATAAAGAATAAATATGCCTATTACTCAGAGGTGTTTGGAATATTAGTTGAGATATTATATGCAAAAGTGTCAAAAGTTGTGACTCACATTATAAACACTAAGTAGCAGTAATGTGAATTATAAGAGAAAGGGGAGGAGGGCTAAAAGCAGTATTTTAATAGGTTGATTCAATAGATTATTTATCGCTTTTTCAATTCTATTAGGTAATTAATTTTGCTAGTGTCTAAGATGAATGTGAAAGGGGTGAAACATATTCACTCATTCAACAAGTATTTTAAACTCTCAGTTGTGTGCAACATGGTGCTAAACTCTATAGAAAATAAGAAAAAAACACATTTCTGTCTTTAAGAATACTGACTGCTCATAAGGAAGCAGTCAAGTAGTTGAGAATCCAACAATAACATACTCGAAAATAGTGAGTGGTAACTTGTGTGGTGTTTTTAAGATACAATAGGAGCTCAGAGAAAGAAGAACTTTGAGTATACTCCAAGAATTCAGAAACACTTATTGAGCTAGACATAGAGAATGAGTGAATTCTAAGTATGTGGAATGGAGAAAGAAGTTATTCTGACAGGAAATTGAAGGAAAGAAAGGTCATATAGACTTTGAAAGCAGAACGGAACTAGGTGTGCCTTCTGGCTTACTCATTTAATAGCTGCAATATCTGGGGTATTACTTAAAACTTGAGTATTAAAATGACATGTGAATAGTAATACTTTGTAATAGTATCTAATGGTGTTTCCACTATGGGGCAAGGATTCAGAAACAATGAGAACACAGAAGCAAACAACTTGGCCGCAGCAGAAATGGATATATAATAATAGGTATACCATTGAGTGCTAATGTGGCCCCTTGTCCTGCTTACTGGTATGCGTCAATGAGCTCATAGTTCATTTCCTGTTATTTCAGGATGTGTTTGTCACTCTGTAGGTTGCAACTAATGATGAATATAGGCAGAGCCTTGGTGAGGAGCTAGCTAGGGAGGCACAGCAGGGCAGGGGTGGGGGGTATTCTGTTCCTTTTCATTTGTATCTTTATTAAAAAATTTTTACATTGCTTGACTTGTTGATTTGTTAGGGAATCTAGGAGAAAGCAATTTAAGCTAAATCTGCGGCACCATTATTAAGAATCTTCTTGGCCTGGTTTAGCTAACTTATCACATCAGCAAAAGGCAAGAGAGAGTTATTGTTTTATGTGGGGAACGTAGAAAAATAAAATAAAGATGAGAATTAATGTATTCGCATGCACACACACACAAACACACACACACAAACACACACACAGACTACACTCAAACAAAATCTTCCAGGCTACATAAATTGAGTCAGAATAAACAAAAACCATACAACACTGAAACCGTGGGAAATTATTTTGTGTCTCTTTGGTTGACTGGGGAAGGACATATATTGGAGCCTGCCTGAGCTGTCAGCTGCATGACCCCAAGAGGTGGCAGCTACAAGAGATAGATGAGAAGCCCGCCACAGCTAGCTCCCCTTCCCACCCCAACATAAGAAAAACAGGGTATGACACCAATTCAGAGGGGAGAGAGCATGCAGCAGCAGGGAAAGGGACTGCAGGTGCTGATAACAAAGTGCTCTCAAGGCAAGTTGCTGGCCTTACCTCTTTTACTTCAGTCTGAAGCTCACCAAATGACTTCTTTCCACAGCCTGCCATTCTGGTCGAGTTGCTGGCTTCCTGGTCATCCAGGTCTTGGGGCTAATTGTAGAAGGAAAGCAGCTGAGTCAGTGAATAGCCCTGATCACATTCTACAAGATGAACCTGTGCCTAGCTACCTACTGAAATGAATGAAATAGTCCTCACCTGTGCAGCTTCATTTGTTTTTAAATTCTATAAAACATATTTATAAAAATCAATTAAAATTAATGTAAAGCTTACCAAATCATCATAAAGTAAAGATTCTTATCACCACTGGCCAGGCCAAAGAGTATAACTTCGCCCTTCCATATGCTCCATTCCAATCACAAATTCCTGTCTTCCTCCAAAAGTAAACACCACTCTATTCCTTTTGTTTCTTTAGTAGTATCACCTAAGTGTGTGCCCATAGACAACAGAACTTCGTCTTGCTCATTTAAAAAAGTTGACATACAAGTTAAATCACTTTCATTCATAGGTTTCCCATTTGACTATTTCCTTTTCTTTCTGTTGAAGAACCTGGGAGGTTTGGCCTGTACACTATCACTTAGTCAATTGCAAAATCTTGGAGTAGCTTGGCATGTTCCTGCGTCTACTGCATTTCCTACAATTTGTCAACTGGGTTCAGAGGCTAGATCATATTTGATCAGAGGCTCAATCAAATCAAATGTAGATTTTATCCTTTGGCAAGAGTATAAATGGCATTTTCTTCTAATGAGATATTTGTAACATCTGGTTTTCCCATTTTTCTGTGAGTTATAAGTTGTTGCTCAGTGCCTAGATTCATTAATTCACTGGAGATGATTGCAAAATGATCATATTCTAAGTGTTTTAATGTATTTTTCATACTTAGCTAAAATATTTTTATAAAGAGACGTCCCTTCCTCTACTTCTTGGTTTCTTGTATTAGAGTTTATACTGGAAAGGCAAAATAAAGGAGTGATTCACATTTTTTATTTACCTGTTTTTATTGTAATTAATAGGCTTATTGTTCATTACAATAACTCTCCAAAAATCAACAATCAATTTTAACATTCTTATAAACTCATAAATATATTTCTTGGGTTTTACCCATTGCTCATATCATTCTAACTGTAGCTTAAATTATCCCATTTCAGCCCATAATAGCCTCTTCAAGTAGGTTTTTAGGTACTTTTACTATAAGGTATTTTTATTTTATAATTTTCTTGCCATATTTTATACAAAGATATTCTAGGTTTCTCTTATGCTAGTCTAAAACCTAGAATCAGTCATTTATTCAAGAAACCCTGGTTGCCATTAGAAGTGAATTGTATTGCAAGACAATAATTTGAATAACAGGAATGCTCATCACTCCTGGATTAGTCAGGCTGCTTCTTTCAAAAGAGAAAATATCCATTTATAATTTTTTAAGATAAAATACTTCATGTATTCATACTGATATTTTACATTCAAATCATGTCTAAGGGTTTTGTTGCTTAATCTGTTCTCTGTTGCATCTGTATCTCATTTCTTCCACACTGAGAGAATCTTAGTTCTCCAAGACCCCGGGGATGATAGAATTAGAATATCTCATAATAATTAATTTGCATTTTAGCACATTACAAAAACAAGAGTCTCAAGATAATATAGCATTACCAATATAAATTTAATTACCAAAACTCATTTTTACATATGCTCCTCCCATTCTCTCCACATCTTTTATATTTATACTATGTCTCCATTGTCATTTATATTTACCTCTACAAATAACCATACACGTTATGTTCACTATCATCCTTGTGTCAATGTCTTTTTAGTCATTTTAATTATGTAAATATTATTATCCAATTGAGTTACTACATTCCTGCATTTTGATAATAGTTTGTTTCTGAATTTTATAAATTGAAAGTTATTCTGTGTTCTTTGAATTTGAAAGTCTTTGGCCCATATATTATTTTCTGGAGTATATTAAATGTTAGTTCACTTTTTGCTTACTAAAAGAGTTGTTTTCAAAACCTGAGGTAATATAATATTTTCTCTCTCTTACATCTATGTTTCTTTTTTTGCCTAGATGCTCATATAATGTTTTTTTAATTTAAAGTCAGTAATTTTATTAGAATATGTTTTAATAATGGTAATTCTGGTTCAAAAATCCCAGATACACAATGTGTTCCTTAATATGCAGTTTCAATGTTTCACTATTTTTTTTAATTTCAGAAAAGTGATTTTACTTAAATTTTTAGTGTTAGTTTTGTTTCCCTGACTTGGTTCTCTGCTTAGTGACTCCTATTTTCTGTATAGTAGATTTTATTAATCTTTGAAAATTTTACTCAAATCATTTTAAGATTTTTTATTTTAAAAGGTATCATTCCTTTCATTTATTTATTTTGAGATGATATCAGTTGTGTTTATTTGCTCTTATAATTTCTCTAGTTTGATTCTTATTTATAATTTATTTCTTATGTTTTTAATTCTTTTCTGAGCTATAACATCATTTCTAAGTTTTCCTTTTGGAATTTACTTTATTATTTCATTTGTTGTACAAATTTGCTAATGTCTTGTAGTTTTCTGTGGAGTAATAAGTTATATTTTTATGTTTTGGAAGCATGTTGTCTGGAGAGCTAGCCATCTCTGTATGTATGGATGCTACTTTTGTCTTTATTCTCTTTTTTTTCTCCTTTTCATAATTTTGTATAATCTGGTTCATTTTTGGTTGATCATTTTGATGAAATGTTTGTTTTATTCAGGTTTTAGAAGCAGCTATGGCTCAAGAGTTTTTCTAACTTTACAGTGTTATAGTGACACAAGTCAGTATAAAAACTTCCACCTTGAATAATATACCAGTAACACAAATCTTCAGGTGATTATTTTAGGTATTAAGGATGCCAGATTTTTCTTACTATACAGTTCTTTACATTTTTTGACTAATTCTTCAGTCAGTGGGGGTCATATCATGCAGCTCAGTATGGCACAGATTGTAGACAGCATCAAAATATTTTAGCCTAGAATGGCTAATTGTGGGAGATATGTGGAAGATGTAAGTAAAAATTAAATTCTCCTCATAGCAAGTTTGTACATAGGAAGCCTCTCATGTTAACCTTACCTTGTCTCTCTTTCTCTTACTTTGTATTAAACTCTACAATCACCTCTAATAAACTGTTGTTCCCAACAAAAGCCTGTACCATAAACAACAATGCATGTATACATTACTTATTTAATTACACAGACCAGACAGAATTAATACTCTATTTCTTCCTCCCATATGGAGACTATATTTTCCTAGTTATATACCATTTTCTCTCCTGAGCATCCATATTAACCACCTTCTTGACACACACACACACATTCAAACACACATATCTTAGTCATTAAGGCTAGAAGGAATGAGGAACTACCACTACAAATATACACGCATGCACACATAAACAATCTAGTTAGGCAAGGCTATGAGAGAGGATTTTCCAAATGCATACAGAGATGAGGATGAATCCTAGTTGCATGGAAAGTTTTCTATCTACAATCGAGATTGGGCATTAGGGTTCAATCCTCTGCATGTAACTTCTAGTGGGAGCCACTAGAGTGCAAGAAGAGTGATGGTTTTTGAAACCTCTCATTACAGTTGACATGCATTCCCATGTTCACATCTTCATTTGGGTGTCAGCCATTTTCTACCAGTATTTATGAAGGCTTTAGAAGTTCACTTTTCATTACTGGACCTTGTGCCAGCACCATGTTTCCTTCACAAAGCCAATACTTTAAGATCCTGGCCTTTCAGTTCTCAGAACAGAAGGCAACAAAGGTGATTCTAGGATAAAGAAAATGAAATGTAAAAACAGATGGAGCAACTATCTATGTGCACATCAGAACTAGGCATTTTGGTGCCTTCATGAGCTTCGAAATACCACAGGTAAAGATTAAACACTAACGTGATATTTTGCATGCTGTCAGCAATGATGTGGAATGAAGCTGTATTAGTCCATTTTCATGCTGCTAATAAAGACATACCCAAGACTGAGAAATTTACAAAAGAAAAAGGTTTAATGGACTCACAGTTCCATGTGACTGGGGAGCCCTCACAATCATGACAGAAGGTGAAAAGCATATCTCACATGGTGGCAGACAAGAGAATTTCTGCAGGGAAACTCCCCTTTATAAAACCATCAGACCTCATGAGACTTATTCATTATCATAAGAACAGCATGGGAAAGACCTGCCCCCATGATTCAATTATCTCCCACCGGGTCCCTGCACAACATGTCGGAATTATGGGAGCTGCAATTCAAGATGATTTGGGTAAGGACACAGCCAAACCATGTCATTCTGCCCTTGGCCCCTCCCAAATCTCATGTCCTCACATTTCAAAACCAATCATGCATTCCCAACAGTCTCACAAATTCTTAACTCATTTCAGCACTAACTCAAAAGTCCACAGTACAAAGTCTCATCTGAGACAAGGCAAGTCCCTTTTACCTATGAGCCTCTAAAAGCAAAAGCAAGTCAGTTTCTTTCTAGATACAGTGTGGGTACAGGCATTGGGTAAATACGGCCATTCAAATGGGAGAAATTGGCCAAAGCAAAAGGGCTAAAGTCCCCATGAGAGTCTGAAATTCAGCTTGGCAATCATCGTAAAGCTCCAAAATGATATCCTTTGACTCCATGTCTCACATCCAGGTCACGCCAATGCAAGAGGTGGGTTACTGTGGTCTTGGGTAGCCCTGCTCCTGTGGCTCTGCAGGGTACAGCTGCCCTCCTAGCTGCTTTCATGGGCTGGTGTTGAGTGCCTGTGGCTTTTCCAAGTGCTCAGGGCAAGCTGTTGCTGGATCTACCATCTGGGGTCTGGAGGATGGTGACCCTCTTCTTACAGCTCCACTAGGCAGTATCCCAGTGGGGACTCTGTGTGGGGGCTTCAGTCCCACATTTCCCCTCTGCAATCCCCCAGCAGAGGATCCCCATAGGAGCACTGCCCCTGCAGCAAACTTCTGCCTGAACATCCAGGTGTTTCCATACATACTCTGAAATCTAGGTGGAGGTTCTCAAACCGCAATTATTGATGTCTGTGTACCCGCAGGCTCAACATCAAATGGAAGCTGCCAAGGCTTGGGGCTTCCACCCTCTGAAGCCACAGCCTGAGTTCTATGTTGGCCTCTTTCAGCCATGGCTGGAGCAGCTGGAATGCAGGGCACAAGGCAGCACACAACATGAGGACCCTAGGCCCAGCCCACAAAACCATTTTTTCCTCCTAGGCCTTTGGGCCTGTGATGGAAGAGGCTGTTGTGAAGGCCCATTGACATGCCCTGGAGACATTTTCCCTGTTGTCTTGGGGATTAACATTCAGCTCCTTGTTACTTATGCAAAGTTCTGCAGCTGGCTTGAAGGCTTGAATTTCTACTCAGAAAATGGGATTTTCTTCTCTATTGCATTGTCAGGCTGCAAATTTTCCAAACTTTTTTGATATGCTTCCCTTATAAAACCTAATGCCAGCCAGGCATGGTGGCTCACACCTGTAATCTCTGCACTTTGGAAGGCTGAGGTGGCAGATCACTTGAAGTCAGAAGTTTGAGACCAGCCTGGCCAACATGGTGAAACCCCATCTCTACTAAAAATACAAACAATTATCCAGGCATGGTGGGAGGTGCCTGTAATCCCAACTACTCGGAAGGCTGAGGCAGGATAATTTGAACACAGGAGGCAGAGGTTGCAGTGAGCCAAGACTGCACCACTGCACTCCAGCTTGAGCAACAGAGTGAGACTCCATTTCAAAAAACAAACAAACAAAAACCCTGAATGCCATTAACACCACCAAAGTCAGCTCTTGAACGCTTTGCTGCTTAGAAATTTCTTCCTCCAGATACCCTAAATTATCTCCCTCAAGATCAAAGTTCCACAAACCTCTATGGCAGGGGTAAAATGCCACCAGTCTCTTTGTTAAAACATAACAAGGGTCACCTTTTCTCCAGTTCCAAACAAGTTCCTCATTTCCATCTGACATCACCTCAGCCTGGACTTTATTGTCCATATTGCCATTAGCATTTTGGGCAAAGCCATTCAACAGGTCTCTAGGAAGTTCCAAACTTTCCCACATTTTCCTGTCTTCTTCTGAGCCCTACAAACTGTTTCAGCCTCTGCCTGTTACCCAGTTCCAAAGTTGTTTCCATATTTTCAGGTATCTTTTCTGCAGCACTCCATTCTACTGGTACCAATTTACTGTATTAGTCCGTTTCAAGCTGCTGATAAAGACATACTCAAGACTAGGCAATTTACAAAAGAAAAGTGTTTAATGAACTCAGTTCCATGTGGCTAGGAGGCCTCACCATAGTGGAAGAAGGTGAAAGGCACATCTCACATGGTGGCAGACAGGAGAAGAGAACTTATGCAGGGAAACTCCCTTTATAAAACCATCAAATCTCATGGGACTTATTCACTATCTTGAGAATAGCACAGGAAACGCCCACCTCCATGATTCTATTATCTTCCATCAGGTCCCTCCCACAACATGTGGAGACTATGGAAGATACAATTCAAGATGAGATTTGAGTGGAGGCACAGCCAAACCATATCAGAAGCTGATGGAAGCAATGAAGACTGCTAGTTGTAAGAATAGGATAGGCTCAAAATAGCTACCAAGTATTCATTAGGTAGTAGAAAAGGCCATCATGGTGTCTGTTGTTTTAGTGCAATGTTTAAAATACAGTGACTGACTTCTTGAGTTATCTTAGCTCTGTTTCCCTCCCACACTTTTACTTCTCACATTCTTACCTATTGGGGGATGAAGAGAAGTTGATTAACAGAAACAAATACATAGTTTGATAGAAGAAATAAGATCTACTGTTCGATAGATCAGTAGGGTGAGTAGAGTTTACAGTAATCTACTGCACATTCAAAACAGCTGGAAGAGAATAATTAGAATGTTTATAGTGCAATGAAAAGACAAATACTTAAGGTGTTGGCTATCCCAAGTACACTGAACTTTACAAATTATGTGAATCTATTAACTTATCATATGTACCTTGAAAATATGTACATGTATTATGCATCAATAAAAAATCAATGGCATAGATACCTTTTTAGAAAGCATGACAAATAAAAGTGCACAATTTTTTTAAAAAAGATAGAGGGATAGCACTGGCCATGCTGGGCTGGAACTTTTTGCTGCCACCCATATATTATCGCCATACTGAGGTGCATGGTATGCCTCCACTAAATAAAGAATGAACAAAACAATGATAAGAACTGCAAAGTAGAAAAAATATGATATATTAAAGACCTAAAAGAGTCACTTGGAGATTTGTATTCTTGGTGTACTACTCAACGTGGAAGTTTATATAGTGATTTGTATCAGTTGTTTATGATGGTGTTTGTGCTATTACCATATTAAAAGTTTACATCTCTTCGCATTGTCCAGAATTGTTGAATATTTACTGGGAATGAGGAATGTACAAGGAACCAAAGAGTAAATTATACTGAATTGTATCCAGGTCTGCTGAATGTCTAAGGCTCTTGCAAAAAGTGGTCCATGGATATATGCGCCTGTAATACCATAAGGAACTGATTTATATGGTAAAGATAATTATTTATGTGTTGCTTCCTGCAGTCTAATAGTATAATAAGAACAAGTCTGTGTGTTTTCTGGCTCAATCAACCTTGAGTGAGTGGAATTAACTTAAGTAACTACAGAAATATTGGGAGCTGTTTGTACAATTTTAGTTGACTTCTTTATATCACAAGGCCTTTGCAATTTTGTTTGCAGTTTGGATACTAAAACAAAATGAAAGCTATTTAAGCTGACTCTGTTACCATTCTTGACAGGCTCTGAACTCTAATAAGCCTCTATAGTGTAGGCTATTTTAATTGACATTAACTGTTTACATTCCTATACATCCTGCAAATAATATAAATTCTAATTAGGGAGCACTTTTGTTTTATTTATTGTTGTATCTTAAGAGCCTAGTATCATCCTCAATAGGTGTAAATAAAAGAACAAATGTGGTTCTCAGATATATATGGAACTGGCTTGCAGTCAAAGAAACCAAAGTCTTCAAAATTATATAGTTGTATATTTCAATAAGATAGTAAGTAAAAGGCACATAGAATAAGATAGTTGTAATAGAAAATTTAAGAGATTGTTCAGAAAAAGACAAGTCATTCTATAAATAGTGCATGCAGTATAAAAAGGCAAGGTACCATGAAATATGTGAATGGGAAAATACTTTGGAAATAAAGAAATAAAATCAGTGTATTTCTCAATACTACACAGATGGTACACATGAGAAGAACAAAAGCTATGTTTCTAGCTTTTTAATTTAGAATAATTAATGTACTCACTTAGTATTAAAATGCTAAGAATTTACTGAAGAGATGAACTCAGCATGAAACATTTATAGGTTGAGTAGATGACACACATTAATCCAAAGATGTCTTCATAATTATTATTATAGAACTACAGTAGAAGAAACAAACTGAACTTCAGCAGCTCTAATTATTTTAGCAATGAGTTTAAAGCTTTTGAATAATGAGAGCTGTTGAATGATGCAAGGATGGTAATGATTTTTTATTTCTAGAAGTGTTCATATATAGTATTTTTCAGATTTATTTATAGAACCTTTCTATTTCAGAAATTATGTTTTCCTTTATTTTTTATCTATATGCACTTTATGCAACCCTTGAGTCTGTTATTTTATTTTTAGTCCTTTTTTGATAGTATAAAAGAAGTAAAAATCTTGAATCCTTACAATTTTTGCATTTTTTTTAGTTTACTAGAGCACTTCATCAAATTTCAGTATAGGTAAATAAAATATTTAAAAATCATTCAGAGCAATTCCATAGAACTACTCTAGTGAATTTTATACACACAACTAAAACAGCAACAATAAGTCAAAATTTATATGAGGCCACATGCTTTTAATTACTTTCCAGATATAATTATGCATATACACAGATGGCAGATAGAACAGCTTAGTTATACAAAAGAAGGTGCATGAATAATTGCTATAGCTTGAGCAACAAAAGTAAGTTGTTTTACATATAAAATGATAGGATAACTACCATCAGAGAATACTACAAACACCTCTACGCAAATAAACTAGAAAATCTAGAAGAAATGGATACATTCCTCGACACATACATTCTCCCAAGACTAAACCAGGAATAAGTTGAAGCTCTGAATAGACCAAAAACAGGATCTGAAATTGTGGCAATAATCAATAGCTTACCAATCAAAAAGAGTCCAGGACCAGATGGATTCACAGCCGAATTCTACCAGAGGTACAAGGAGGAACTGGTACCATTCCTTCTGAAACTATTCCAATCAATAGAAAAAGAGGGAATCCTCCCTAACTCATTTTATGAGGCCAGCATCATCCTGATACCAAAGCCGGGCAGAGACACAACCAAAAAAGAGAATTTTAGACCAATATCCTTGATGAACATTGATGCAAAAATCCTCAATAAAAAACTGGCAAACCGAATCCAGCAGCACATCAAAAAGCTTATCCACCATGATCAAGTGGGCTTCATCCCTGGGATGCAAGGCTGGTTCAATATACACAAATTAATAAATGTAATCCAGCATATAAACAGAACCAAAGACAAAAACCACATGATTATCTCAATAGATGCAGAAAAGGCCTTTGACAAAATTCAACAACGCTTCATGCTAAAAACTCTCAATAAATTAGGTATTGATGGGACATATCTCAAAATAATAAGAGCTATCTATGACAAACCCACAGCCAATATCATAATGAATGGGCAAAAACTGGAAGCATTCCCTTTGAAAACTGGCACAAGACAGGGATGCCCTCTCTCACCACTCCTATTCAACATAGCGTTGGAAGTTCTGGCCAGGGCAATTAGGCAGGAGAAGGAAATAAAGGGTATTCAATTAGGAAAAGAGGAAGTCAAATTGTCCCTGTTTGCAGATGACATGATTGTATATCTAGAAAACCCCATTGTCTCAGCCCAAAATCTCCTTAAGCTGATAAGCAACTTCAGCAAAGTCTCAGGATACAAAATCAATGTACAAAAATCACAAGCATTCTTATACACCAGTAACAGACAAACAGAGAGCCAAATCATGAGTGAACTCCCATTCACAATTGCTTCAAAGAGAATAAAATACCTAGGAATCCAACTTACAAGGGACGTGAAGGACCTCTTCAAGGAGAACTACAAACCATTGCTCAATGAAATAAAAGAGGATACAAACAAATGGAAGAACATTCCATGCTCATGGGTAGGAAGAATAAATATCGTGAAAATGGCCATACTGCCCAAGGTAACTTATAGATTCAATGCCATCCCCATCAAGCTACCAATGACTTTCTTCACAGAATTGGAAAAAACTACTTTAAAGTTCATATGGAACCAAAAAAGAGCCCACATCGCCAAGTCAATCCTAAGCCAAAAGAAAAAAGCTGGAGGCATCACGCTACCTGACTTCAAAATATACTACAAGGCTACAGTAACCAAAACAGCATGGTACTGGTGCCAAAACAGAGATATAGATCAATGGAACAGAACAGAGCCCTCAGAAATAACACCGCATATCTACAACTATCTGATCTTTGACAAACCTGAGAAAAACAAGCAATGGGGAAAGGATTCCCTATTTAATAAATGGTGCTGGGATAACTGGCTAGCCATATGTAGAAAGCTGAAATTGGATCCCTTCCTTGCACCTTATACAAAAATCAATTCAAGATGGATTAAAGACTTAAACGTTAGACCTAAAACCATAAAAACCCTAGAAGAAAACCTAGGCAATACCATTCAGGACATAGGCATGGGCAAGGACTTCATATCTAAAACACCAAAAGCAATGGCAACAAAAGCCAAAATTGACAAATGGGATCTAATTAAACTAAAGAGCTTCTGCACAGCAAAAGAAACTACCATCACAGTGAACAGGCAACCTACAGAATGGGAGAAAATTTTCGCAACCTACTCATCTGACAAAGGGCTAATATCCAGAATCTACAATGAACTCAAACAAATTTACAAGAAAAAAACAAACAACCCCATCAAAAAGTGGGCAAAGGATATGAACAGACACTTCTCAAAAGAAGACATTTATGCTGCCAAAAAACACATGAAAAAATGCTCACCATCGCTGGCCATCAGAGAAATGCAAATCAAAACCACAATGAGATACCATCTCACACCAGTTAGAATGGCAATCATTAAAAAGTCAGGAAACAACAGCTGCTGGAGAGGATGTGGAGAAATAGGAACACTTTTACACTGTTGGTGGGACTGTAAACTAGTTCAACCATTGTGGAAGTCAGTGTGGCGATTTCTCAGGGATCTAGAACTAGAAATACCATTTGACCCAGCCATCCCATTACTGGGTATATACCCAAAGGACTATAAATCTTGCTGCTATAAAGACACATGCACACGTATGTTTATTACGGCACTATTCACAATAGCAAAGACTTGGAACCAACCCAAATGTCCAACAATGATAGACTGGATTAAGAAAATGTGGCACATATACACCATGGAATACTATGCAGCCATAAAAAATGATGAGTTCATGTCCTTTGTAGGGACATGGATGAAACTGGAAATCATCATTCTCAGTAAACTATCACAAGGACAAAAAACCAAACACTGCATGTTCTCACTCATAGGTGGGAACTGAACAATGAGAACACATGGACACAGGAAGGGGAACATCACACGCTGGGGACTGTTGTGGGTTTGGGGGAGTGGGGAGGGATAGCATTAGGAGATATACCTAATGCTAAATGACAAGTTAATGGGTGCAGCACACCAGCATGGCACATGTATACACATGTAACTAACCTGCACATTGTGCACATGTACCCTAAAACTTAAAGTATAATAAAAAACAAAAAAAGATGCAGTGAATTTGAATCTGGTTTAAAAAGAGGAGTCATGATTGACATTATAGTCTCGATAACACAAAATTGTAATAAACAATAGTGAGTAAATAATACAGAACACACCTAAATAGCTGCTTAGAATTGCAGATGGATGCAACCTTGTCTCATTGAAAGTCTCCAGGCACAGCTGAAACATTCAGATAAATAAGGTTTAGATGACAGAGAAGCTGGCCACAAGCTTTTCTAAACACCCAAAATCTATGTAAGCAAGCATTCAAAAGTGGCTGCTGTGTTCCTAATGACAAGCAACCATCAAAACCAATAGTTAAAGCCAAGAATAACATTTGGCTTCCATTTTCTCAGGACACAGAGTAATATAAAATATAATAAATAATGCTTTATATTGACTTAATGAATATATTGCTTTATTTTACCACGTTTTAATTTCCACTTATCTCAGATTATCACTAAGTTTTGAAAATAAAAATAATTTTAGCTTATTATTAGAGAGACTAGAAAAAACTGAGTAAATGAGTAAATTATAATGCATTTTAAATGCTGACTGTATGCCCTCATTTTTTAAAAAGTTTAAAAATTAATTAAAAAGTTATTTTCAAAACAAGATCTTTTCTTAATAACTTTTTTAAAGTCTGAATATGCACATTCTACTTCTGATGAACAGCAATATTCTCCATGGTTTAAAAATGTTTCAAAGTTTTACACATGTGCCTGAATTTGAATTACATGGGTAAAAACGATTACCTTAACCAAGCTCTAAAGGAATATGAATCATATATAAAAAATCTTTGTAATTTTATTTAATGTACTATGATATATACATATATTTACTTAATAAACAAAATACAAACTTGAAAACAAATATTTAATGACAATAGTAAAATATTTCTACTTATTAGGGCTGTCTGATTAAAAAAATGTTAAATCCAAATGCAAACTTTCTGATTTTATTTTTATTTTTAAACGTATCCACTATATGGAAAAAAGGTGTCTTCATCACTCACAGTCTGAATAGAGATTCCCAATTATGTCATTTCACTTATGCAGGGTATTAAATGCCTCATGGTGATGATTTTTTGAATTAAATAAGTTCAGTACATTTATTGGTATACTTACTTGTAACTCCTGGGCTAATTGTTCTAAATGAGTACTTTGCCAAATTGGAACATGAGACTATGCTACAGGAAATAGAGAAGCCGGTTTTCAATTATTTTAATTGATAATTAGTGACTGTATCTTCTTTATAATAGGTGATACATATATACAAAAAATTCTAATATGTAATGTTAAAGAGTATAGTGACTTTTTATTTAAAAAATTATTTTATGGCAGCAAGAGCACATAATATGAGTTCTACCCTGTTAATAAATTTTTAAGTATACATTATTACTATAGGTATAGTATTGCACAGCAAATCTCCATAGCTTATTCATTTCGCTTAACTAAAACTTTATGCTTGTCGATTAGTAACTCCCAATTTCCTTCTCCCCCCATCCCCTGGCAATCATCATTCCACTCTTTGATTCTATGAATTTGAATATTTTAGATGCTTATATAAGTGGACTCATGCAGGATTTGTCTTTCTGCAACTGGTTCAATATCACTTAGCATGGTATCCTCCAGGTTCATCCATGTTGTTGCATATTGCCAATATTTTCTTCTTTTGTGATGCTGAATAGTATTCCTTTGCGTATACATATCAAACTTTATTTATCCATTCATGAATAAATAAAGCTGATGCACACTTAAGCTGATTTTACATCTTGTGAATAGTGCTGCAATAAAAATAGGGGTGCTAATATCTCTTTGATGCTCAGCATCACTAATCATCAGGAAAATGTAAACAAAAACCACATATCAGGATGGCTATTATCAAAAAGAAAAAACGCAAGTGTTAGTGAGGATTTAGAGAAATTGGAACCTTTGCAAACTGTTGGTGGGAATCCAAAGTGGTGCAGCCACAAACAGATGGAGGTTTCAAAAAAAAAAGAAAAAGAAAAAAAGGAAAAGAAAACTATCATATGATCCAGGAATCCCACTTCTAGGTATTTATCAAAGAGAGTTGAAATCAGGACCTCAAAGAAGTATCTGCACTCCTATAATGACTTTCACATTAACTCAACACAGTTTTCTTGAGCAACCTCAAACTCCCTCTGTCATTTTCCCAAATCTGTTACTTTTTCAGTTATTGCAGGTTGGCTTTTTTTTTTTCTAAAAAAAGACAAACAGTCAACATTTTAGCCTTTGCAGGCTGTAAAGGCTTCTATTTTACTAAGATTTGCCAATGATTTGTAAAAGTAATTTAAAAGCTGAGCAATTGTAAAGCCATTTGTCACAAAAGTTCATTTTATTCACATAACTCATGAAAGTCAGTATGGTTTCATTATGGAACTGTTCCATCAATGATATAAAAACATTTTCATATTGTCAACAAAATAATTGTTGCATATGAAATTATTACTCAGCATACCTATCTATTAATTAAAGTATACACCTTAAAACCATTAAGAAATGAAGGAAATATAACAAAGTCTCACCGAATTGATTTTTAATATGGTTTGGTTCTTAGGTTCTTATTCTTTACAATTGCAGTTACTATATTGCACATTCCAATAATTGTTTATTATTTTATTCAAAACATGCTATGCATATAATGATTATACAGATACAGTAAATATTTATACCATTTCCATTAAATAGAAATATACTTAGAAAATAATGAATCCCCTCAGATTTCTGTTGGTAATTTAAAATATATATATTTTATATAGTGAAATTGAAATAAGGCAAAAGAACTCTTTTAACTGGCTATGACCAGATAATTATCTTTATATTCTACTTGAGTAAAATATAATAAAACCATATGACCAGATCAAAAACTTTGATTTTTTTAGATTTAATGTCAGCCTTAGTTTGGGAGTTAGATTGAGTAAAGACAATTCTGAGTATTGTTAGGGCATATCCTTATAAACACATTTCCTCTACTAACAACTACTTGTTGAGATATCATCAACTTGAGCAATATGTTCTTTCAGATAAATTCATTTAGTTATCTCTCACAAAATATTAAGTTCTGTTATATTATATGCAAAGATTTGTGCTAACCAACCTTGAATATCAGGAATGTCCTCAGTTTCAAGTAACTGTGAGTGTAGTGAAGAATGTAACTAAAATCTAAGCAGGAATTAATGAGGTGTGTAGGCAAAGGCATATGTTTTAGACAGAGGAACAGTGTGAATGATGACATGCCATCAACAAATATGTAGTGAGAGTTTTTTGTGAGCAAGCAGTGTTCTAAGAACTGTGATATGGTAATGAGTAACAGAATGAATCACTGCATTCACAAAGTTTCCATTCTTGCAGAAGGAGACAAACAATAAACAAATGAGCAAGAATATCTGTAATATGAGAAGCTACATCACACAGTGGACAAAAGCATAGATGCTTGAGACAAATTGCAAGGGCTTGAATCTCAGCTCTGCCACTTGATAACTCTGTAGTCTTGGGCTAATTCTTAACATTAGCTTGCCTAAAGTACCTCATGGGTAAAATGGATATAATAAAACTATCTCTTAATGCTGTTATGAGAATTGAATGAGTTAATATAGGTCAAATGCTTAGAATAGTGTGTGGAACATAATGTCATAGAAATCTTGCTTTTATTTTCAAGAGCTATGAGGGGAATAAGCAGTTTAAGGAAAATAGGGAAGAGTGTGTGATGTGGTAATCTGATAGAGGATCATCAGGGAAGACCACTCTAATTAGGTGACAGTTGAGCAGAGGTCTAAAAAAGGGTGATGAAACACACCACGGTGAAAGCTGGAAGAAGAGTGTTCAGGCAGCAGGGACAGCAAATGCAAAGGTTTATAGACCATTCTAAGAAGTTTGGCTTTTACTGACATTGACATCAAAAGACAGTAGAGGCACTGTGACAGCAAATGACATGATTTGACTTATATTTTAAACATATTGCACTGACTGCTCTATGGAGAATAGACTCTCAAGGATCAAAAGAGGAAGGTCTGTTAGGAGGCTATTCCAATAGTCTGGGAGAGAGGATGATAGCTTGAACCAGGGTGGGGCCAGTGATCACACAAAAAAGAAAAAAAAGTACGGGCATGGTGGCTCATGCCTGTAATCCCACCACTTTGGGAGGCTGAGGCCAGCAGATCACCTGAGGTCAGGAGTTCGAGGCCAGCCTGGCCAACATGGTGAATCTCTGTCTCTACTAAAATACAAAAATTAGCCGGACATGGTGGTGGGCGCCTGTAATTCCAGCTACTTGGGAGGCTGAGGCAGGAGAATCGCTTGAATCCAGGAGGCGGAGGTTTCAGTGAGCAGAGATTGTGCCACTGCACTCCAGCCTGGTTGACAGAGCAAGACTCTGTCTCAAAAACAACAACAACAACAACAAAATTCGAACTCTAAATTTTTATGTAGGTAGTTTTTAGGTAGATTTAAATTTGCATTTTCTCACAGATAGGGTTTGGGTTAAAGAAAGAGAAGTCAAGATGCTACCCAGGTATTTACCCTGAGAAGCCATAAAAATACAATTTTCTTTTATTAAAAAAGACTATTTGACAGATAAGGTTTCGAGCCTTCGAGAAAATAAAAGTTGCAAACAAGAGCAAAATGGTTAGTTTAGCAAGAAACATGGATTGGAAAAGGAAAGCAAAAGATATGCCCTTTATGTGCAGAAGTTTTTGAGGTGAAGCCAAGTATTTTAATTTGTAGATATCTTCAAATAGTTCTTTCTTGCTTGCTTCCTTGTTTTACTTCTTTCTATAGAAGATGATTTCTGTTAACTTTTTTTTTCAGCACTTTGTAGGTCGGATGTATTTACCTAATTGAAAAAGCAAGTATGACTTTCCATATGAAGGAAAACTTAATACCTGAATAAAACCAAAGCTATTTTAAAAAGATAGGCTTTATTGGAACCCTCTTGGGTTTTCTTTTTTGTACTTCTTAAGACAAACTACACGAAACACAGTGAAGAGGCCTCTCTGTTGCCACTTGTATATTTCATCCATATGGAAAATCTACTTCTGATCTTTTAGAATATCACAGACAGCATCTTAAAAACTTGTAAAGTATGTTGACTCACATTCTCTATAAGCTATCTGCTCAGAAACGTGTTATTCTTGAGTTTCTAGATTTTTATTTTCATTTAACCGTTCACTAAAATAATTTCAAAACATTTCTGTAGAACTTCTTTTTATTGTAACATAGAAAAACAAGTTTCCTTGTGACTTACTTCCTAGAAATAACTCTGAAAGCTATTGCTGAAAACCACAGAGTTTATAAAGTACTATGTTTAAAAGTTTAATAGTAATCTCTCTAAAAGATCAAGATTATTTGGTCAAATGTGATTTGTCATCAAATAACAGGACAGATATTATACTTTGTTGCAGTTTTTTTTTTAGAAAATGTGTATCTCGTTATATCTTTCAGAGCAAAAACAACCTGAGGAACCCAGGCAAAATTCCTTATAAAAATAGTAGTATTAATACAAAAGTAATGTAAAGGTTGATATTACAACCTTTCACATTGATAGCACCATTTCACAAATTTATATACATGTGGAGTAAAATGAAATCCTAAATGATGCAGTCCATTATTTGGTGACAGAAATGTGGATTTCAGACAGGTTTTAGAAACTGAAATTTACAATTACCACACTGCTATGTATTTTCATGTAGAACATCATCAAACTATTTAGAAAATTGATTGATTAGCTAAAAAATAGGCCAGAAGTATGTATAATGCTGTTAAATATCAAATATAGTGGCTCCATGTTTATTTACATAAATAAAGTGCTTTCAATTTGGACACAGTCTTAATAGCGAGTTAGTTAGATGGTTAACTAGGTTCAAACCCCTCCCCAATCACCATAGTAGTCTAGAACAAAAAGCTCTCCAATTAGGAATAATCAGAACAGGGCTGCAACACTATGCAACTTGTAAACATAGCCATACCTGAGACAATACAGAAATGGTTATAGGACATTAGAAAGGAAAAGCATATTAATAATTTTACAAAAATCATACATAGAATGGATGACTATTGCAGATTCAGCTATTTGTAAGTAATCCCAAAGGATCAGAACATGTAAAATTCTGATTTATTTGCTGTTTGGTGAACCAAATTCAAATAGCAGCAAAGAAATTGCAGTGTATAATTTACTGAAAAATACCAATGAATAGATTGACAGTGACACATGTGAAGTGGGATTTGAAACACTGAACACAGATTATACCAAGAGGTTGTTTTACATTGGAAAAAATAATCTGTAGTTAAGAGAGTAAATTCAGGAGTTAAACCAACCTACTACCTTCATGACGTCTACAACTAATTTTTCTATCTAGTGAGGGGAGAAGAGCAATCCTCTTTCCTAGAGTTGTTTTAAGTATTAAACATGGCAGATGAAAACATTCTCAATAGTTGCTGACAGTAATTGCTATTGTTTAGTACTTTTCCTTACTGGACAACATGACCGATGAATGCAGTGGGGTGCTGAATCATAAAGTTAGTCTAGTTACTTTTCATTATAACTAAATATGTTTGCCTCAAGTTTGTTTTGCTCAATTTTTTGACTCCTTTTATTTTAAGCTGATTATTTACTATTATGTTCCTTCATTCCCTATTGCCAAACAAAAAAGACTACAAATCACATACAAATTTACACATAAATCAATTTCACAAAACTTACACACGAAATAGTTTCTTAATAATTTTCAAAACATGAGATATATATTTGGAGAATGAGACAAAGTGAGAAAGAGGATCTCTTTTTAACTTCAAGTATGTGTAAGAACTAAAGATATCAAACATAGTAAAAATTCAATAAGGAATGGTTAAAGCAATATTTTTATTCTCAAAATTTAATCCATACCTTTAGTTGGCATCAACTATAAGTTTGCATACTTCTCATACTAAATTATAATTTAATATATGAAAAAATTAATTTACAAATGCAAAATGAGATTTAATTGAAAGAATTTATCTTCACCAAATTATCTTAAGTATCAATTTTATCCTTGTACTTCAGATTTGATTGTACCAAATACCATGGATATAGTCGTATAATTTTAAGTATAATTTCATACTATAAAATAAATAATCAAAAAGCCTATTTAAATAACTTGTTCTCCTCAACATTAGCACTTGAGATTGCTGTATTAGTAGAACTTTTGCATTGTGCTGATATTTAGAGAGAAACTACTCTGTGTCAAGCACTGTGCAATAAGAGACATTGTCCTCACACTCATTGAAATACAGCCTACATCAAGAATTGGGTACTAAATCAAGCTTGTCAAACCCACAGCCCATGGGCTGCATGCAACCCTGGATGGCTTTGAATGTGGCCCAACACATCTTAATAAACTTTCTCAAAACATTATAATTTTTTGTGACTTTTTTAGCTCATCAGCTATTGTTAGTGTATTTCATGTGTGACCCAAGACAATACTTCTTCTTCCAATGTGGCCCAGGGAAGCGAAAAGATTGGACAACCCTCTACTAAATAATCACACAAATGTGAAAATAAATGCATAGGATTCTATGCATATCTTTATGGTTGATAAAAGAAAGTGCAGCAAAGGCTTAGATTGAGTTGTCCAGAATGACCTTTATAAGGAAATAACTTTTAACTTGAGACTTAAAGAATGAGTAAGACTTAGTCAAGTGAAGGTATTCCAGGCAGAAGGAATAGCATGCGTGAAGGCTTGGAGTGGCTTTTGCAGATGGAAAGTGCTGCACTGTGACTACAATGCAGAGAATTCAAGAATGAGTGGTACAGATTTATCCTGGAAAGACAGGAACAGTCAGACCATATTGGGTCCTGCTGGCCACATCTAAAAAATATTAGTTTGGAACACCGTTTTGGTGTAAGGCATAAGAGTTAAGAACAGTTGCTGTATTCTAGGTAAATAATTTATTTCATTACCTCTTCCAGCTTCTAGAGCTTGCTCACTTTCCTCATTGTCTCATCTTATTTTGCCATCATGAAGACCATTACATTGCTTCTCTTTGGCCCTTTTTCATTATCCCCTCTCCAGGGATCTCTACCTCCCCTCCCCTCCCTATCCTTCCCCTCCCCTCCTCTCCCCTCCCCTTCTCCCCTCCCCTCCCCTTCTCCTCTCCTATCCCCTCCCCTTCTCCCCTCCCCTCCCCTCTCCTTTCCTCTCCTCTTCTCTCCTCTCCTCTTCCCCTTTATTCCCCACTCTCCCTCCCTGACCCCAGATGACTCATGTGCTTAGAGTGGGCTCACTATTATAATCCAGAAAATCTTACGTCAGAGTCTGTAACCTCAATCACATACCTATACAAAGTTCCCTTTGCCATATAAGGTGACATATTCACAAGTTCCAGGGATTCGAGCATGAATATCTTTGGGAGCCATTTCTGCTTTTATTGAAAATTATCTGGTGAGGAGAACATTACCCCATGAGATAATCTCTCCCAGACATGAAAAGGAAAGGTTAGGAATTCCTTCTGATGCTAAAAGAAGTAGGCTGTCATACGACAAAGATGCAATGATAGATAGATAGATAGATAGATAGATAGATAGATACATACATACATACATACATACATACATAGAGATAGAGATACAGATAGAGATATAAAACTCTCTCTAAATCTTCATCTCTATCTATCACTAGAGGGATGAGAAAGAATGAAAGTATAAAAAGTGAAAGGCCAAGTGATCTGTGAATTTCTTGATTACCATCCCTATACATTTTTTGGTACTGTTTTTGGTGTCTACCCCTAGGTAGTGTTGAAGCTCTGAACTGGGTGCTGGAGGATATGAGGAAGATCCGAACATTTTTCAGAGCTGGAGACAGAATGTGGTTGTTATTCCTCTTACTTCCTTAAAAAAAAAAGTGTCAAGTCCGTTATAGAATCTTTTGCTGAAATGGAGTAGAGCTGGGTGTGGTGGCTCATGCCTGTAATCCCAGTACTTTGGGAGGCCTAGATGGGCAGATCACCTGAGGTCAGCAGTTGAAGACTAGCTTGTCCAACATATTGTGAAACCCTGCCTCTACTAAAAATACAAAAATTAGCTGGGAGTAGTGGCACATGCCTGTAGTCCCAACTACTTGGGAAGCTGAGGCAGGAGAATCGCTTGAACCCTGGAGGCGGACGTTGCAGTGAACCAAGATTGTGCCACTGCACTCCAGCCTGGGTGACAGAGCAACATTCTATCTCTCAAATAAATAAATAAATAAATAAAAATAAAAATAAAATGGAGTAGAGTGGCTACAGGAAATTACAAATGACAGATTATGTGTTTGGGCAATGATATGACCTGGGACAGAAATTTGCCTGGTTCCCAGTCCAGTGGCTAGTGTAGATAATTTAAGAAATGTAGACATATCCATGAGTCCTTGAGTGGCAGAAGTGAAGCAGTCTGTAATCAAGAATCAGTTTGCCTTTCAGAGATACATATTAATGAGGGACAAGAACTATGCATCAGAAGTGATAGAATGAATACCACCAAGGGGCACATGGCTGATTTTCTCCAGGTCAAAAGCACAGAAAAATCTCAGGAGAAGTCTGTGGCCAGCAGAGGAGGTTTGCTGTTCTTCCCAGATGGCAACCAATGAGTATTGGCATTGCATACAGAACAGACTGTATGTTAACTGGGAAACAGGGATAGCAACAGGGATAAGTATCTACCATTAAAAATGGGGCAACAGAATCTATAATGAACTTAGACAAATCAACAACAACAACAACAACAAAATAACCCCATTAAATAGTGAGCAAAGAACATGAACAGGCACTTCTCAAAAGAAGACATATAATCAGCCAACAAACATAAAAAATTCTCAATATCACTAATCACCAGCAAGAACGGCAATTATTTAACAGACAAAAAAATAACGGATCTTGATGAGGTTGCAGAGAAAAGAGAATGCTTATACACTGTAGGTGGAAAGTAAACTAGTTCAGCTACTATGGTAAGCAGTGTGAAGATATCTGAAAGAACTAAAAATAGAATTAGCATTTGACCCAGAAATCCCATTATTGGATAACCCCCACCAAATAAATAATTCTACCAAAAAGACATGAGCATTCATATGTTTATTGTAGCACTATTCACCATAGCAAAAATGTGGAACCAACCTAGATGCCCATCAACTGGTGGACTGGATAGAGAAAATGTGGTACATATACACCATGGAATAGTATGCAGCCATAAAATGGAATGAAATCATGTCTTTGCAGGAACATGGATGCAGCTGAAGGACATTATCCTAAGTGAATTAACACAGAAACAGAAAAACCAAATGTGACATGTTCTCACTTATAAGTGGGAGCTAAACATTAGATACATATGGACATAAAAATGGGAACAATAGTAGAGATTTCAAAAGGGCAGAAGGAAAGAGGGGCAAGGGCTGAAAAACTTCCTATTAGGTACTACATTCACTATTTGGATGATGGGATCAATAGAAATCCAAACCTCAGCATCATGCAACATATACATGTAACAAACTTGAACATGTGTCACCTGAATCTAAAATAAAAATGAATAAATAAATGAAATAAAGAACAGGCAGCAAGGGGTAAGCAGGAGTCAGAAAAGAAGTGCCAGAAAGCTAAGTACTAGGATCACACATGAAATTTCCTTTGAAAAAAAGTTGCAACTTGAGGAAGGAAAATGTGTTAAGAAGAAATTCTGAAGGATGGAGAAGTTATAAAATGAAACTGAATTCACAGAGAGAGAGAGAGAGAGTGACAGAGAGAGAGAAATTAACTGTTTCAACACAAAGAGTATCCCTCTTCAAATTCCAACTCCATCAGTGACAAAAGAGGCTGTGGTTCCAGATGAAATCAATTCTAGAAAGAAAAGAAAGAAGGGTACTTTTTTTTACGGGGGAAGATGGGGTTGTTTTGTTTGTTTGTGTTTTAGCATATCTGAGCTGCTTAGACTTTGGCAAACTCCTGTATGTAGCAAATTCTCTTTTGGAAAATTGAAGTCAATTGAAAAATGCATTCTGACATAATCTTATCTTTTGCAAGACTAACAGTTGCCGCAGACCTACTTATTTAGCTCAAGGATAGTTTAATATTTTATTTAAAAGAACATACTTCAATATTTGCTCCTTAACTGCATTCTGTGTCAACAGCTGTCATTTCAGTTTTTGACATCAGAGTTGTTACTGCAAATTGACCTTCAATAAGTCACATAACCTCACCCAAGTAGATGATAAAGCTTTGAACAAATAATGTAACTTCATAGTGAACACTTCAGGTCCAAGAGTGACATGCAGTTTGTTTCATCATAAGATAGAGCACTGGATTTTCCTATGGAGTTAATTTTAAATCATCCTATTTTTTGGTAGACATTAGGCAACTTATATAATATTGTATATTAACTTTATTTTTGGGCTGTTTACAATGATCTGAAATTGTTGTTTATGATATTTATGAATTTTAAAACACTATGTTTCCCCTTACCTAGACTATATCCAAAATTTTGCAAATTGCTTCCCCTCTAAATTGCCAGAGTACAAAGAAATATCAAAATGGAGAAAGGAAAGAATTAATAAGATGTTCTTGGGTATCCAGATAAAATAACTATCCATTTTTTTTCACTACCTGGCTTGTTTACTGGATGTGAAACAGAGTTTACAATCTTAAACTTCCCTTAAATAAAATTGGAAAGCCTTAATTCTACCTCTTTCATGGTACTAAAAAACTTGTGAAGTTTATGAATTATATTTATAGTCTTTTATCTAAGTATTAACTACATCTATAAGGCAAAGTGAGACAGATGAACTTTATCTAATGAATAAAATATTAGTAAAAATGTTCTATAATCATTACACTAAACTTGCCTGATATGTTAGTTGACATCAAAACATTTAACTGGATGATGTACTGCTTGCAGATCCAAAGAAGTACCAAAGAAGAGGGCCCTCTATCCAGTAAGACCTGCCCTGTGATTGTACATGAAATGGTTATGGAGAAAGGGAAAAATGACTGCCTGATCATGAAAAATCATTAATTAAATCTGAAGGCACATTCGCCCTCAGTGATGCCATGTAAACACTGTGAAACTGAAGTTATCAAGTTAGTTTTGTCAACACTGGCATGTCTTAACAAAATTGCTTCAAATTATATGTTTGTATGCGTATGTGTCTGCAGGTAGGATTTTCTAGGAAAATCACCCTTTGGGTTTTGAATCTTGAGTCTTGTATCTGATGCATTAGAAGGAAATTTTCTTCCTTTGGCCACTATGCTATGTCTACATTATTGGGAGTCGGCAGGGATTTTATTAAAACCAAGTAAATGACATCTGATTTTAAATTTAAGAATAAATGCTATGTTTGAAGTGAAATAGTATGAACACCTTTGAACTACATATTATGTGTCAATAAATTATTTTTGCATAGATAACCCAGTCTTTAAATGTCTTTACAACCTCCAGTAGCCTAATAGCAGAAAGCTACCATTGGTGACCCTTTCTAGAGACTTTTCTACTTCATGCCATTCCTGCTGCTTCTTCTACCATACCTACATGAGACAGACACAGATTTTAAAGAACGCACAGGGAGCCAGGCACGGTGGCTCACACCTGTAATCCCAGCACTTTGGGAGGCCGAGACAGGAGGATCACCTGAGGTCAGGAGTTCAAGACCAGCCTCGCCAACATGGTGAAACCCCATCTCTACTAAAAATACGAAAAATAGTTGGGCATGGTGGCAGGTGCCTGTAATTCCATCTACTCAGGAGGCTGAGCAGGAGAATCTCTTGAATCAGGGAGGCAGAGGTTGCAATGAGCTGAGATCGTGCCATCGCACTCCAGCCTGGGCAACAAGAGCGAAACTCTGTATAAAAAAAAACAAAAAACAAAAGCAGGCTGCAGAATGGTTCTGTCTCGCCTTCTCTGTTGCCAACAGTGCAAGTCACATCCTGACTGAGGCAGTGAGAAGCTGGAACCTGTTTCTCTTCCTGGACCACAATTTCCTCTGTCATCCCCTCCCCACTTTAGAGTTATGGTTGGTAGGTAATGACATACCAAATAAATTGTGTTCTCTGTGGAAAGTCCAATCATTTAGAGAAAAATAAAAGAAGCGTATTTCAGTTTCATCTTTATAATTAGAAAATGAGTCTTTAATTTGACTAAGAAATTGTGCATTTGTACCTATGTGCATGTAAATGTATAGTATGTGCATTTTAGGGGACTAAGACATCCAGGTTAGCTGTGCTTAAGGGTAAGTTCATATATTTACTAATCATGGGAAAGGAATTCAATTTTTCTGGGCCTAAATTCTCTAATCTATTAAACGAAGCATGGTTCAGTGTCATTAAATTGGGTGGCTGTATAAAATAATATAATAACAACAATTAATATTTACTGAGCACTTACTGTGGCTCAGAATAACCTGTTTTACATTTAGTGTCCCATTTTACCTCACAAAAAGTCTTTAGTTAATGTGACAAACGAAAAATTTTTTAAAACTTGAAAACCTAAACTTTGTGTAAGTTAAGCCAAATTCTGATATACTGAGCACACAAAAGTGAATCAGTGACCACGCAACATTTTAGAGATTTGAGCAAGTACCACTGAAGATTATTTTAGATATGCAGTTCAATAACTGTATCAAGTCAACTGATATTTTTGACAGTTCCCCTTTATGAAGTCGGTGACTATATCAACAAGATTTGCAAACACAGAAAGCACAAAAAATTTGAAAAAAAAAAAGATCTATTTTATGGTTCAGATATATTATAAAAACCTTGACCAGAAGGTCTCAAGAGTGTAGGGAGGAATTTGCAATCTTAGAGTTTATCATTTAATTCAGAATCCTGTGTAGAGTACTTGATTAAGGCAATAAGGCTACATCTGGAAGGCAGAGAGTCTGGCTAAACAAGCAGTAGGTTTCCAGTGTCACTCTACACACTGTAAGTAATATTCTTTTACAGATTCTTGCACGGTTCAGAGGATTAAAGCTTTATCTTTCAAAATAACTCTGATATCTCCATGTTATTTAACACCTAGCCCAGTCTGAACTTCTAACACTTAACTTTTCATGAGAAAATTAAAAATATGTATTTGGCATGGAAGTATATTAAAGTGATTCCTTAGCACCTACGAAGATTAGTATGTTAAATCTAAATTATTTTCTCTGTTAATCAACAATTCTAAAAATGGAAAATTTGGCTTTTGTAATATAAATATATATTTGATCAATTATCAGAACATGCTTTTTAAATGGGTTAAAAGAATATTTTTGGAAAAGAAGAATGACTCAAAAAAGCTTATGTCATTTTTTAAAGATGGGGTGTAGATATCTTTCCCATACAGAAGATTAAGAAGTAAAAATCTCAATTGTCCACATCATTAAAGAATCACTTCATTCTTGTTTTTTTGTTATTTTTACTATTTCTCTACTATACACACCCCCTAAACCCAAGCAATGCTATTTTAAATTTGATTTTTTGTTGTTGTTGTTTTTAGAGACAATAAGCTATAAGGAAAATGCAGCTGGACATGGTGGCTCATACCTGTAATCCCAGCATTTTGGGAGGCCAAGGCAGGAGGATTGCCTAAACCCAGGAGTTCAAAACCAACCTGGACAACATAGTGAGACTCTATCTCTACAAAAAATAAAAAAAACTAGCCAGGCATGGTGGCAGATGCCTATAGTCCCAGGTACCCGGGAGGCTGAGGTGGGAGGACTGCTTGATCCTGGGCAGTCTAGGCTGCAGTGAGCCACAACTGCACCACTGCACTCCAGCCTGGGTGGACAGAGTAAGACCTTGTCTCAAATTAAAAAAATAATAATAATTTAAAAAGAAAGAAAAGGAAGGGAAAATGCAGAATTCAGCCAGCTTTATGAAGAATATTACGCTCTTTAGCCATTTGTTTAAACACAAAACTCAATCAGTTAAGCATGCCAAACAAGGCAGGCCAGCATGAACTTATATTCCTCACCCCATGAAAAGCAGTGTGATCACCTACTAATTGTCTAATCAGCTTACATTTTACATAAATCAATTATCTTCAGTTAAAGACTCTAGGGTTCTACTGTGAGCACTCAGTATTCTGGATCCTACATGCAGGTTATCTCGGAAGATTATCTTATTGAAACACTTAATTCATTTGACACTACTGACATTAACTTCAAATATAAGCAGCCTCTTCAGACTAATAAGAAAATCTTAGGCATTGTGCATCCTTTACTAAGTCTAGGTGCTATGGACTGAATGTTTGTGTCCCCTCAAAATTTATATTTTGAAATTCTAATCCCCAATGTGATGGTATTAAGAGGTGGAGACTTTGGGAGGTGGTTAGGGCATGAGGGTAGAACCCTGATGAGTGGGATTACTGCCTTTATAAAATGACATTTAAAAGTTTGCTTCTTTTCTCTGTTCTCTGCCATGTGAGGTTACAACAAGAAGACGGCCGTCTGCAAACCAGGAAACAGGCCCTCACCAGGCACTGGATCTGCTAAAGCCTTAATCTTGGACTTCACAGAATACAGAACTGTGAGAAATATATGTTTGTCTTTTAAGCCGCCTGGTCTATGGTAATTAATTATAGCAACCTGAACTAACAAAGAAAAAAATAATTGTGTCATTGTCTGTGGATAGAAATTTGGAGAAACACACTTCATATTCAGACTTAACAACATGAATATCTTTTATAGTTATGATTATGATCTAATAAATTTTAATCTTCTACGTTCAATAATTCTAAAACCTACCTTTTAAAGAAAATACAAGCCAAGCTCAATTATTTTAAGTAAAAACAAGACTACCATTTTAGTTATATTTATATTCATTTATTTTTCTAATTCCTTATACTTTCTGATCAGTTTCATTGCAAGGAGTAGAAAAAATAAATTATTGAAATATTAATTGGCTTTTGTTATTAATTTAGCTATAAAACAAATGTACAATGGGGAACAACAACTTGAATGTGCATATAAAAACTATATATAATAGTAAAACATGATATACATGTGATGTAATATATATGTATATATGCCCTTGCTCTGTCAACTGAGAGGGCCTAAAAATAATGTCGACCCAGTAAGAACAAGCACACCTCGTGTCCATCTCCTGGTTTATAATACTATTCTTTAATAATAGAAACTAGGGCTCCTCATCTCATTCTAGGGCTAGGAAATATACAAAATGAGTCTGGAGCATCTTGTAGGCATTACCAGAAAGTGAGAACATTTTTAAAAACAAATCAACAAACACTTCAATGGTGGAATATGTCAGTGTGACACAGAGCCAACTCTAGAGCTCTTAATGGCCAATGCAGGAAAAATCTGAGCAGAAATTGAAATAATATTGAATTGTAACCAAGTATAAAATAAATATCTAGGAGTTCATATGGAGATAAACAAATAACTGAGTAAATAAGTAAGTGGGGGAAGAGGGGTATCTTACGCAGAATCTTTCAAATAATACATGTAGATGCCCTGTCCTCAAGGAGGTAGATAATAGTACCACATTCTGTAAGTGTGGACTGTGTATAGTGACTTCCTTCCAAAAAGGACAGTTTGAAAAGAGGGAGGAAATGGTAACCTTGTAGTGGAGAAACCTGACGAATACTATCTCACCCAGGTGATCAATGACAACATCAAGAGTGATAAGTCATGTAGATAGTAAGTACCCTTTGCATGATATAATGAGAATGGCATTTCATTTCTTTCTCCAAAAACTCATTATCTCAGCCTAATCATGAGGAAAACACTGGAGAAATTTCCACTGAGAGATATTCTGCTGAATACTTGACCACTACTCCTCAAAAAATGCCACAATTCACAAGATAATTCTGGTAAACTGTCACAGCCAAGGGGAGCCGAAAGAGATATACAACTAAATGCAATGCAGTATCAGAGATGGGAACACAGCAAAGACACTAAGTATAACTAAGAAAATCTGAATCAAGTATGAACTTTAGATAACAAGAATATATCAATATTTGTCAATGGTAACAAATATATTATCCAAATGTAAGATGTTAACAACAGGGGAAATTGAAGGTGGGGTGTATGGGAATTCTGTACTATCTTTGTAATTTTTCTGTAATATATTAATATACATGTATAAATATATTAAAGTTTAAAAATATTTATATAAAAGAACACTACATACCTTTGTGAAAAATGAGTTTAGGTTAAGTAAAATGCAGCTCTGCCCTTTCTCATAAGAGCATTTTTAAGTACTGATTCAACCAGGGTCCTGGCTGTAAGTTCCTCCTCTATAGAGTCTTCTCTTTCCAGCCAAGTGTGTACTTCTGAGAGGTCACAGCGTGCTGGCAGGCCTCACAGCCCTCGCTCGCTCTCCTCTGCCTGGGCTCCCACTTTAGAGGCACTTGAGGAACCTTCAGCCCACCGCTGCACTGTGGGAGCCCCTTTCTGGGCTGGCCAAGGCCGGAACCGGCTCCCTCAGCTTGCAGGCAGGTGTGGAAGGAGAGGCGCGAGCGGGAACCCGGGCTGCGCGCGGCGCTTGCGGGCCAGCTGGAGTTCCGGGTCAGCTGGAGTTCCGGGTGGGCGTGGGCTTGGCGGGCCCCGCACTCGGAGCAGCCGGGCAATGAGGGGCTCAGCACCTCGGCCAGCGGCTGTGGAGGGTGTACTCGGTCCCCCAGCAGTGCCAGCCCACCGGCGCTGCGCTCGATTTCTCACCGGGCCTTAGCTGCCTTCCCGCGGGTCAGGGCTCGGGACCTGCAGCCCGCCATGCCTGAGCCTCCCACCCATTCCATGGGCGCCGGATGAGCGCCGCCCCCTGCTCCACGGCGCCGAGTCCCATCGACCACCCAAGGGCTGAGGAGTGCGGGCGCACGGCGCGGGACTGGCAGGCAGCTCCACCTGAAGCCCAGGCACGGGATCCACTGGGTGAAGCCAGCTGGGCTCCTGAGTCTGGTGGGGACGTGGAGAACCTTTGTGTCTAGCTCAGGTGTTGTAAATACACCAATTGGCACTCTGTATCTAGCTCAAGGTTTGTAAACACACCAATCAGCATCCTGTGTCTAGCTCAGGGTTTGTGAATGCACCAATCCACACTCTGTATCTAGCTACTCTGGTGGGGCCTTGAAGAACCTCTGTATGGACACTCTGTATCCAGTGAATCTAGTGGGGACGTGGAGAACCAGGGATTGTAAACACACCAATCAGCACCCTGTAAAAACAGACCACTGGGCTCTACCAATCAGCAGGATGTGGGTGGGATCAGATAAGAGAATAAAAGCAGGCTGCCCGAGCCAGCAGTGGCAATCTGCTCGGGTCCCCTTCCATACTGTGGAAGCTTTGTTCTTTCGCTCTTTGCAATAAATCTTGCTACTGCTCACTCTTTGGGTCCACACTGCCTTTATGAGCTGTAACACTCATCCAGAAGGTCTGCAGCTTCACTCCCGAAGCCAGCGAGACCAGGAGCCCACCAGGAGGAAAGAACAACTCCAGACGCGCCGCCTAAAGAGCTGTAACACTCACCGCGAAGGTCTGCAGCTTCACTCCTGAGCCAGCGAGACCACGAACCCACCAGAAGGAAGAAACTCCGAACATCAGAAGGAACAAACTCCAGACGCGCCACCTTAAGAGCTGTAACACTCACCACGAGGGTCCGCGGCTTCATTCTTGAAGTCAGTGAAACCAAGAACCCACCAATTCCGGACACACTTCCTCTGTTACTTCTATAATTCTTTGCATATACTTCTACTAAAACATTGATAACCTGACTAATGATATACATTTACTTTCCTCTCCTTTTAAATACTTTACCACTTTAGGGAGTTAATAAAATAAATCCATCTTCATATCTGCAAACTTTACATAGCACAGTACCAAAGTTATAAAATAAATAAAAAATTTGTTGAATGTCTTCATAAATAAATATACATACAATGATTTAAACCTAAATATACTCATTGGAAATCAAGTATTTTTTAATCATTCACAATAAGCGTTAAATTATTGTAGAGTTGAAGGTTATATGGCTTTGACGAACATTCTTTGTCTGTCCAAACTTTAGTCAGGCTCCTGAATTTTCTCCTAGACCGATCTATGTACTTTCTTGTAAAATCTAGTTTTAGCAAAGAACCATGCTAAGTCAGTTTAGCAAGAATTCTCCACTCTTGATAATCTGATCATCCTCAATATCTGATCAGGTTTTTCATCTTCAACCATTTCGAAAGTGATATCTGGTCAGCCCGGCCTGTCTTTAGCAAGAATCTTCCTTACTCCTGATGTTTCCTCTTAGTAATTTTCCATCCACTGACCCTTGCCCTCCTCCTTTGCCATAAATTCCCACTTGCCAATGTTGTATTCAGAATTCAGCTTAAGGTCTCTCCCCTACTACAAACTCCCATTGCAGTGGTTCTTATGTCTATCTCGATGATCCTGAATAAAAGTATTCCTTTCTGTGTTTTAATAAGTGTCATTAATTTTTTATTCTTTAACAGCTTCAAACTAGTAATATTTTTCATCAATAGAACTGAAATGGTGATATCTAATTTATAAATGTTTTTTCATTGTCTGTGAGTCAAATATAATTCAAACCTTAGTTGTTACATATAATTACTGAGAATAACATTGAGGTGTGCAAGATAGTTTATTTAGGCAGACTATGTTTTTATAATTTGGTCTCAATTGCTTTCTTATCTTCATCTATAATTACTCCAATACAACTATGTTCCAGTCAAACAAATAAACTTTTAAAAAAAAAACTGTATTCTATTTTATAGAATACCCACTTTCTATACCTTCTATCAGTAATACTCTTCTATCCTCCCAGTTTGGGAATTTACTATTAACATTTCAAGACTAATATGAGGTCTTTCAAAAACATATGATAATTATCATTTATAAATTTATTCCCAAGTGCAATTATGGAAGTCTAGCTATATCTTTATGAGTCGAAACTTTCTGAGATGAAAGGGTTCAGAAATGTCTTAAGCGCTCCAATTAAACAAATTGGAAAATAGTAAGTACAACCAAGAAATCCTTAGAACTAAATTGCAAATTGCTCTTTTCTGCTTAAAAAAAGAAATGCCGGCCGGGCGCGGTGGCTCACGCCTGTAATCCCATTACTCTGGGAAGCCAAGGCGGGCGGATCATGAGGTCGGGAGATTGAGACCATCCTGATTAACCCAGTGAAACCTCGTCTACCCTAAAAAATACGAAAACTTAGCCGGGCGTAGTGGCGGGAGACTGTAGTCCCAGCTACTTGGGTGGCTGAGGCAGGAGAATGGTGTGAATCCGGGAGGCGGAGTTTGCAGTGAGCCGAGATCGCACCAGTGCACTCCAGCCTGGGCGACAAAGCGAGACTCCTTCTCAATAAAAAATAAAAAAAAGGAATGCTTATCTGCATTCTTTAGGTTACAAATACACTATTAAGATTGAACATAAATTTAAATTTAGATTTATAAATTTTAACTTTTTTATTATGATTTAAGAAAAATATATTAAAAATGAATTTCCGAATGCGCAAAATTTCAGTTACCTTTTTTCACGCAGTCTGTTGACACATTTTTCTTTTGAGGGCCAAGTTTGGATTGCATTTGTCTCTGCTCTGTTCTATATGACAAAAATTTATTTCTTCTGATCAAAATCCACTCTACTTTTAAATATCGAGATGCATTCAGACATCTCGATATTTTTTGCTTGAACTTAATCTTATTGTTAATATTTCTAAGCCCCAGTTTGCCTATATATCAAATCTGAAGAGAACAAGATTTAGAGAATGAGAAATCTAAAGTAAAATTAAAATCTTACAAATACATTGATTACCTGAAATATTATATCTGATAATATTGTCAAAAGACAAAATTAGAACAAATTTAGTATTAAAGATAGAATTGGCTTTTATTAACAGTTTATAAATTGATCAGCATCACATCTAGAAATAAATAAGTCCTCCATTGGATATAGCAGAACAGTTGGTTTTTGTAAGGTAGGAACATGGAAACAGAATAATTAAAAAAGTGAATTGGTTAGTAACAGATTACTTCAGGTTACTTTTCTTTTACAAGAGTTAAAGCAGAGGGGATTTCCTTCCCAAGCCATTCATGTTGACTAGGCCCTTTCCAATTGGTCGCTGAGGGTCTCCTGTTTTCAGGAAAAACTGGTCTGTTTGGAGAGTTCTCTGCTTCCGTAAAAGTTTTACTTTGATTGTCTGCCATTTAGCATGAATGACTGCATTTGGGTTTGGTCTGTTGGGGCCTAATACAGGAGCTCAGATCAAACAAATTTTATGTAACAGTATTTTACTACTTTTTGAGGGTTGGAGTGGAAATAATCACCATTCACTTATTCTGAAATGACGTATGGCTAAAACTGGTCTTGAGATTGCCTATCCATTTGAAAACCCAGAGAAATGCAGTCTGTTTCATGTTGAAGAGAGCACCATAAGGGAAGAATTGTATCTGAAGCTTTCCAAAATATTTCTCATTATAACAACTAATAAAAATAGATGCAAACATTGTATGTATAACTATTTATAGCACCTATCACATTGCAATTAGTAATATGCTTATTCTTCAATATCTTAGGAGAGATTATCATTTCTTTAGAGTGAGGGCCATATTTTATTCATCATTATACATTTAGCAACTGTTTAATAATAATAATGATCAAAATTAATTATGGTTTCAAAGAGATTAAGCAATTGGCATCACATCGTATCACTAGAAAATAAAAATACTTGTTCAAATCCATATCTTTTACATTGCAGAACCCACGTCCTTACCTTTTATATTATAATATGGCTTATTTATTCATTTAACAAATATAGATGAAAAATTTACTATATGTGTCAGGGACTGCTCAGCATTGGGATGTGTCAGTAAACAAGACAAAAATCTTTATTTTCATGAAAATTATGAAATAGGAAAGAAAAAAACAACAAAGTCATATATTAAAAATATGCAAGATCATAGTAGAATAGCATGAAAACTTTTACAACAATATTTTTAAAAATATGGGTGAATGAGACAGTTTTTTAAAAAGTAGACTAGCATAAGAAATTGAAGAAACATGAGAACACTGAACGGACTTGAAAAAATTATGAAATTAAATTCCAAATTTAGAATATACATGTAGAATAAAAGCACTAGGTTAGGTGATGTAAAATTTTCTCAATTTTCAAATGTTTTAAAGTGATGCACAGTTTTACCAGCTTTAAAAGCATTAACGTGGTCTGCATTAAACCAACAGCTTTAGAGATGGGAAAATGAGGGGAAGGTGCATTTTAGAAGGCTACTGAAACATGGAAAAACTCAAGAAGTTGAAAAATAAAAAATTATTGATCAATTTCGGTTTTGAAATAGATGCAATTATTTTAAAGAAGATATTATTTTTGAAGCCATGAACACATGTATACACATATACATACAGAAATATATATACACACACACACACACACACACACACACACACACACACATTGCATGGCCATTATAAACAATATATGTCCCAGAAACACATTATAGCTAAATATTGAAGAAACATTTGTTCTGTATCACTACATTAGTACATTAAAGGAGAAAGCAAATGTGGTCATTTAAATAATGACAGTATATTATTTATTAAAATTTGGCAGGCATACAGACATATCTATTTAAAAGAGCTAATGGGGGAAATTTTGTAGACAATATAATCTTTCATATACTGATAAAATATCATTAAAATACTAAGCAAATACTGTGCTGTGAAACATTAGAGTTATTCAATTTTGATGCAAAAAATACAAAAAAAAAATCAACATTTTACTAAGAGACAAAGCCAGTCAAGTAGGACATGAGAGAAAAAAAATCAAAGTATAATGATTGGAAGTAGAAAGAAATAAATCTGGACACATTTTGGAGAATGCAATTGTCTACCTAGAAAGTAAAAGAGAGTCCACAAGCTACTGGAATTACAGAAAAATTAAAGACAGTATCTGAGTACAAAGATCAATATGTAGAATCAAAAGTATTTCTATCTACCACAAAAATAGTATAAACTGCAATTTTAAACAATATCATTATAAGTGACTCCTTGAACAAATGTTGAGTATAGTGATTTCCTTCCATAGAGTACTTTATGGAAAGAGTGAAATAAAAAAGAATAACCTTGCCTTGAAGAAACTTGGCAAACATTAACTCAAACCACATGATCAAGGTGAGTATCAATAATATCAGGAGTTATGTTGATAGCATATAGGTGAATATCAACAATCATGTTGATAGCACATATCCTTGATATGATATGGTGAAAATGGCACTTTATGGCCATCCACTCAAAAAACCATAACTGTGGTTTAATCATTAGAAAAGCATCAGAAAACTCTCAATTGAGAAACATTCTAAGAATACCTGATTAGTACTTCTCAAAACTTTTAAAGTCATCAAAAATAAGGAATGTCTGAGAAACCAACCAGAGAAGGCTAGGGAGTCATAAGGATTAAATGCAGCGTAGTATGATCCTGGAGGAGAAAAATAACTTTAGGAAAAAATAATACAATCTGAATAATGTCTAGAACCTAGCTAATGATAATATGTTAAAAATAGTTTTGTTAGTTGTGATTGATGTACCATCGTTATGTAAGATACTAAAAATGGGGGTGCTCTTTAGGGACTCTTTGTATTATCTTCTCCACTCTTTTATAAATCTAAAGCTGTTATAGAAAGAAACGCTTATTTAAAAATGACATTTGTAATAACAACAAAAGACACAATACACCAAGGAGCAAAGCTAATAAATATGCATTGATATTGTTAAGATTGCTGCAGAAAAAGAATAGAATAAGATCTAAGAAATATACGCAGAGGAAGACTAAAAATCATAAAACAAGATAATTCACAAATTAATTTGAAATTAATCCAAAATTACAATTGCATTTTCTTCAAAAATCTTGTAAGATTTATCCTAAATATCTTGTGGAAAAATTTAAAAACCAAGAATAGAGGTTGACCAAACAAACAGAATAAACTGCTTCGAACATACCTACAGCTATTCGAGTTCTTCATATATGTCAGAAGTGGCATTGGGAAGTGGAGAGGAAAGTATGGGTTATTCAGTATGTTATTCTGAGATACTTGCCCATTCACACGGGTGGGGAGGTAATACATAAAATTGTATGTCTGCCTCACACCAAACTGAAATAGTATAGGTAAATTAAATACTCCAATATGGAAATGTGAACATCATAATTGAAAATAAGTAAATAGAAAATAAGAGAATTGTTTTGATTATATCAAATAACTGCCAACACACAAAGTGAGAGAAAATGTTCACCTATAGGTAAAAGGGAACATTGCAATGAAATCTGTAACTATGCACTCAAACAAAATTTCTTAGAGGTACCCTCATGCTAAGTTGAAAAAGAGAAGATAGCAACAGAAAAGCCTTTATAAAGAGATGTTTTAAAGTTTTCTCTTGACTTTAAAGATATTAAATTTTTTACACTAATGTGCAAATTGTTAAATATTGTCCCAGTTTCAAACCTGTTCTTCCATATTATCAGGTTTGCAATAAGGGGATCGTGACTGCAAACCACAATTTCCTTTGCCAACTGACTCTCTTGGGCTGTAACAATAGAGAATACTCAGGAGGCTGGAAACATGGGGAAGGAAGGAACACACAGTCTTCCTGTTTGCTTCCTTTTCTGTCCTTCTTTGTTTGTTTTCTCTTTCCTTCCTGTCAGTATTGCCTTTGTCACTTTTTTTTTCAGCAGTAGTTTTTTGCTGTTTTCAGTTTTCAAACAATTACAAAACCACCCTTATGTGCATTCTCAGAGATGACAGTGCCAGTTGGCTGGGGCCCTGGCTGGCAAGGCCTACGTCCCAGGTCAAGGGATCCCTCTCTCAGGCTTTAAAGCATCAGTAATTCACCACACCCCTTGGTAACGGCTTCCCATTGTTTCAACTCTTGTAATATTGCTGTGTTCCATTTTTTTCTTTTTAATTTTTCTATATCTATTTAATGATTCTTTTTGTTTGTTTGTTTTCTTTTTTTTGAGATGGAGTCTCGCTTTGTCGCCCAGGCTAGAGTGCAGTGGCACCATCTCGGCTCACTGCAAGTTCTGCCTCCTGTGTTCATGCCATTCTTCTGCCTCAGCCTCCCTAGTATCTGGGACTACAGTCACCCGCCACCACGCCTGGCTAACGTTTTTGTATTTTTAGTACAGACGGGTTTCACCGTGTTAGCCAGGATGGTCTTGATCTCTTTACCTTGTGATCTGCCCACCTTGGCCTCCCAAAGTGCTGGGATTACAGGCGTGAGCCACCATGCCCGGCCTATTTAATGATTATTTACAATGAATTAACTCAGCTAAAATAACTGGGGTTGTTTCCCTTCCAACCCTCTTGCAACTTTACTGATCCAACCGTTGTGTTTTAAAGTTTGACTTGGTTTCAAGAATATTTTTCTTACATTAATAATTTTTTAAATTATATTTCTAGAAAGCTACATAGAGTATGTGTTTCGGTTTTTCCCTTAGCAGCCTAAAAAAAGATGCAAAGATGTAGTAAGCTTTTACATATTCTATATGGAGACATCTATTAATTCTACTGAACATACTTGTCAGCTATTTAAACTGCTGCCCATGTGGAGCATTTGATGTCAAGAAGGAAATTTATGGACCCAAAACAGTCAAAGAAACACGTTCAATTTTGGTACCAATATGATTTACCAATATCTTGATGATCAGGAAGAAGCTTGACTATTACACAGTTGAATCTATATGATGTACTCTGATACACAATCAAACTTCTTTAAATTGTATGTTACCTAATTGAGACCTTAGCAACATGAGCTTTTATTAGTTTGTGAGAAGATATGATATTTTAAAATTATATAATTCAAAACAGTTTAAAGACCTCTTGTGAAATTATTATATTGACTCCCTAATTTTCCTGCATGGCTGTGCTAATTAAATGTTAGTCTTTCAAGCATATGTTATAATTTAGTGCACTGGCATATAAAATTTTATGTAAGATTCAGTGTTCATAATACTCTCATAGGATCCACTGTACCACCGATTTAAACTAATAATGCTGAAAAAGATGTTTACCTTCAAGATCCCTGTGGCACTTTAAAAGATCAATCAACTTGGCACTTTTGAAAATTTAAATTAAATTGATGATGTCTCATTACACTCTCTTTGATGATTATGTTTGCACAGAAGCAGAATATAAATCTTAAGAAAACTGGCTCTGAAAAGCTAACTAATAGAAAACATGATAGATGCTGAATGTAGACATTGTGACTTTTGTTCATCACTGATAGAGAAATTAATCATTTTAATTATTTTTTCATTTATATCTGAAGTACATCTTATGAACTTAAAAATTTTTAAATAAGATGAAAGAAAATGTAACTGACTTTTAAATATTAAGAAAAGTATATGTTTGTTTATAATACTAATTTGCTGTTCACATAATAATTTTCAGAATAAGTCCAGAATTATGTAACTTGTGGAAAATAAACTATAACATAAGCACATATCCACATGATCTATATGTCAAAATATAAATGACGCTTCTAAAATTGTGTATTTTTAAAACAAAAGTAATTATTGGCCATTAACATTTTGTACATATAACTTAATGGTGATTTTGTCCCTTTAAATTCATTTACATAGTTTGAAGGAGAAAAAATAATCATCTTAATTGATGCAAAAAGGGCATTTTCTAAAACTGAATATCCATTCTTGTATAATAAATGGTAAATTAGTAACCAAATCTAACAGTACATCAAAAAGATAACACATCCACTCTACTCCAGCCTGGCAACAGAGTGAGACTCTGTCTCAAAAAAAAAAAAAAAAAAAAAAAAAAAAGATAACACATCATGATCAAGTGGATTGCATCCCAGAGTTGCAGAGATAGTTTAACATATGCAGGTCAATAAATGTGATACATCACATAAACAATTAAAAACAAAAACTATATGATCATCTCAACAGATGCATTAAAAGCATTTGATAAAATCCAGCATCATTTATGATAAAAAAAAACCCTCAAGAAACTAGGCCTAGAAGGTGCTTACCTCAAAGTAATAAAAGCCATGTATGACAAACCCACAACCAATATCATACTGAATGGGGAAAAGTTGAAAGCATTCCCCCTGAGAAATGGAACAAGACAAGGATGCCCACTTTTACCATTTCTATTCCACATAGTACTGGAAGTCCTAGCCAAAGTAATCAGGCAAGAGAAAGAAATAAAGGGCAGTCAAACTGGAAAAGAGGAAGTCAAACTGTCACTGTTTGCCAATGATATGATCATATACCTAGGAAACCCTAAAGACTCATCCAAAAGGCTCCTAGATCTGATGAATGAATTCAGCAAAGTCTCTAGTTACAAAACCAATGTACACAAATCAGTAGCACTGCTATACACCAACGACCAAGCTGAGATGCAAATCAAAAATTCAAACAGCTGCAAAAAAAACAAAACCAAAACCAAAACTTAAGCATATACTCAACCAAGGAGGTGAAAGACTTCTACAAGGAAAACTACAAAACACTGCCAAAAGAAATCATAGTTTACACAAACAACTGGAAACATATCCCATGCTCATTGATAGGAAGAATCAATATTGTGAAAATGACCATACTGCCCAAATTAATCTACAGATTCAATGCAATTCCATCAAGATGCCATCATCATTTTTCACAGAACTAGAGAAAAACAATCCTAAAACTCATATCGTACCAAAAAAGAGCCAGCATAGCCAAGGCAATACTAAGCAAAAAGAACAAATCTGGAGGCATTGCATTATCAGACTTCTAATTATACTACAAGGTTATAGTTACAAAAACGGTATGGTACTGGTATAAAAATAGGCACATAGGCCAGGCACAGTGGCTCACGCCTGTAATCCCAGCAATTTGGGAGGCTGAGGCATGTGGATCACCTGAAGTTAGGAGCTGAAGACCAACCTGATCAACATGATGAAACCCCGTCTCTACTAAAAATACAAAATAATTAGCCAGGCGTGGTGGCCGGTGCCTGTAATCCCAGGTACTCAGAAGGCTGAGGCGGGAGAACTGCTTGAACCCGGCAGGCAGAGGTTGCAGTGAGCTGAGATCGCGCTACTGCACTCCAGCCGGAACAACAGAATGAGACTCTGTCTCAAAAATAAAAAATAAAATAAATAGGCATATAGACCAATGGAATAGAATAGAGAACCCAGAAATAAAGTCAAATACTTACAGCCAATTGATCTTTAAAAAGCATGCAAAAACATAAAGTGGAGAAAGGACATCCTATTAAATAAATGTTGCTGGGAAAACTGGCATACCACAAGTCAAAGAATAAAACTGGATACCCATCTCCCATTTTCTACAAAAATCAACTCAAGATGGATCAGTGACTTAAATCTAAGACCTGAAATCATAAAAATTCTAGAAGATAGCATTGGGAAAGATTTTTTTGGACATTGGCCTCAGCAAAGCATTCATAACTAAGACCCCAAAAGAAAATGCAGCAAATAAATAAATAAATAAATGAGACCTAATTTAAAAAGCTTCTGCACCGCAAAAGAAATAATCAGCAGAGTAAACAGACAACTCACAGAGTCGGGGGAAATATTTGCAAACTACGCATTGGACAAAGGGCTAGTATCCAGAATCTACAAGAAACAAATCAGCAAGAAAAAAAATCCCATCAAAAAGTGGACAATGGACACGAATAGACATTTCTCACAAGATATACAAACAGCCAACAAACATAGAAAATAATGTTCAACATCACTTATCATAAGCGAAATGCAAATTAAAACCACAATGAGAGACCACCTTACTCCTGCAAGAATGGCCATAATTTATAAGTCAGAAAACAATAAATGTTGGTGTGAGTGTAGTGAAAAGGAAACACTTTTACACTGCTGGTGGGAATGTAAACTATTACAACCGGTATGGAAAATAGTATGGAGATTCCTTAAATAAAAGCAGAACTGCAATTTGATCCCGCAATCCCACTACTGGGTATCCACTGAAAGAAAAAGAAGTTATTATATGAAAAAGACATATTACACACATGTTTATAGCCGTATAATTTGCTATTGCAGATGTGGAACCAACCTAATTGTCCATCAACCATTGAATGAATAAAGAAAACATAGTAAACATACACCATGAAATACTACTCAGTCATAAAAAGGAACAAAATAATATATTTTGCAGCAACTTGGATGGAGCTGGAGGCCATTATTTTAGGGGTAATAACTCTGGAATGGAAAACTAAATACCATATGTTCTCACTTATAAGTGGGGATTAAGCTAGGATGACAAAAAGATGTTCAGAGTGATATAACAGATTTTGGGGATTCAGTGAGGGAGGTTGGGAGAGGAATGAGGGATAAAAGACTATATACTGGGTATGGTGTATACTACTTGGGTGATGGGTGCACTAAAATTTCAGAATTCAATGCGATAGAACTCATCCATGTAACCAAAAACCGTCTGCACCCCAAAAATAATTGAAATTTTTGAAAAGGAAAAATAGTAAATTAGGAATAGAATGATAGTTTATTTTAGATAAACAGATAGATAGATAATAGGTAGATAGATATTTTCAGATTCCACTTTATATTTTAATAAATATGAGAGGGATTACAACTCCACAATTTGAAACTCTGGTAATTAAAAAATAAGATCAAATTATTAATAAAAATTAAACAAGGCAAAACAAAACTAAGCAGGAACACACACCTGTAGTCCCAGTACTCTGGAGGCTGAGGCAGAAGGATCTGTTGAGTCCAGGAGTTCAAGACCAGCAGGGACAACACAGTGAGAATCTGTCTCTACAAATAAAAAGTTAAAATTTTTTTAAAAAGGCAAAACAATCATTTGCATTCAGTATTTATTGGGCATATTATGGCAATAACAGTCTGTTTAAAGTTAGAATAATACAAAATGATATATTAAAAATAAATTTGTCAGGAAATAAGCAGGACCAATATGAAGGATAATGGTTTCTTTTTTTTTTTTTTTTTTTTTTTGAGACGGAGTCTCGCTCTGTCGCCCAGGCTGGAGTGCAGTGGCGGGATCTCGGCTCACTGCAAGTTCCGCCTCCCGAGTTCACGCCATTCTCCTGCCTCAGCCTCCCAAGTAGCTGGGACTACAGGCGCCCGCCACTACGCCCCGCTAATTTTTTGTATTTTTAGTAGAGACGGGGTTTCACCGTTTTAGCTGGGATGGTCTCGATCTCCTGACCTCGTGATCCGCCCGCCTCGGCCTCCCAAAGTGCTGGGATTACAGGCGTGAGCCACCGCGCCCGGCCGATAATGGTTTCTTGATAAACGTAGGCCCTGAGAGACATTTCATAGAAATAAAATAACCAAATATTGTAAATTCTTAAGTTGGAATCCTAATGGAATTTTTTCCTAATTTGGCAAAGTTAAATTGGAAAAATAAATTGTTTCTGGAGCATACACAGCTTTCCTGGTAACCAACCCCTGTTGCGAGGTGGGCTTTTCTGGCACCGGGCCCTGTGGTGTCCAGGAGCCAACAGCTTCCAGCAGGATGTTCTAGAGCAGAGTGCCTTCAGTGAGAACATCCTTTGAAGATAATTCCCCCATACTCTAGAGCAGTTATTAGAAGACTAGAGCTGGTATGCCAAATCTAGGCTATCAGGTGTTTTTGCAAATAAAGTTTTATTGGAACCTAGCCATACCCTTTTCTTTAGTTAGTTGTACTGCCAACTTTCACACTACAATTGTAGAATTGAGAAATGGTGACAGAGATTGTATGGTGGTCCACAAGGCCTAAAATACTTATTTTATGGCCCTTTATGGAAAGTCTGCAACCCTTGCCTTAGAAGGTGAATTTCCAGCAAGATTCAGAGGTCAAATTTCCAAAATGTTCTTCTGCTGCATCTCCACAATTACTCTGATATGGATTGAATCATGGCTGTGCTCCCTCCTACAAAGTCTGAATCCAACTTCTGGGAGAAAGAGTTTCTTTCTTTCTTGTGCACTCTTTCTCAGCCCTGTAGATGGCAGCTGCTCCTTTTATCTGCTATTCATGTATTCTCTAGAGTTCTATTTGCTTCTGATTAGCTAATCCCTCATTATTCCAATTCTGTGTTAGAGCTAATAATTCTTTAAGGTAAACTCTCCATGTTCAAATTATTCTCTGCTGTCTCTTCATTGGCTTTCATTGATATACAATGAGTATGATTTTTCTCCTTTTATTTTTAACCGATATGTGCATTTTATTTAAATTGGGTTTCTTGTAGAAAGTATATAGTTTGTTCTTTTCTTTAATATATATACAACCTAGCCGTCCATGCCTTTTAAATGACATGTTTGACCACACATTTTTAGTGTAATTTATTAATATGGGTGGATTCAAGTCTATCATCTTTGTTTTCTCTTTTCTCCATGTGTTCTTTGCTACTTGCTTTTCTTTTTTATGCCTTCTTTTAGATTAATTGAAGATTTATTGAATTCTACTTGCCTCTACTTTTGACTTACTAATGTTTAATAATAATGATTTTAAGTATTTGGTACAATATTCTAGTTATTTATGATGGGAAGAGAAATCCAGTTCTTATTACTACACCATAGTGGAAAGTTGAAACCTAATAGGGATATTTATTGTATATTTTCTTGGATTTATATAAAATTATGTAAGTTTTATATAAGAGAATAAATACTCAAAAAGTAAAATAATACATAAATTGATAAAAGCCAAAATTTTGAAAAAAATAAGAACAGATAGATATCAGGCTGTATAAAAATTTATAGTATGTTAGGACATAGGATAAAACCACAGATCAATTTGTATTGGTGTAGGACCAGAATAATTTATCATTTCACTTAACTGAATATAGAATCCAGAATGAGAAAGCAGTATTTATGAGAACTTTATGGATGATAAAAGCAGAAGTTTAATGGGAGAGAATGAATTACTTATTGCTGTTACAGCAGATTGTACAAATGGAATAAAATGAAGTCAGATCTCTATGTCTACCTTATTTATAAAAATAAATTTGAAATATTTTAAAGTGTTTTATTTATTTAAAATCATATAAAAATGTTTTTAAGAATATCTAAATCCAGTGTAAACTAGAGTTTGGAAGAATGTTGCTAACTCTATTAATTCAGATAGGCTAGATTGTGCTGCTATAAAAATTGCAAAAACTTAATGGTTATAAAAATAAAGGCATATATCTCATCACATTGTACATCCATCCTAAGCTGTCTGTGGCTCTTATCACCCTGACACCAAAGCTTATGTGAAAATTATCATCATAGATGATGCTGGCTTTTGTAGTACACTAGCTCTAAATACTTTCTCCCAGGAATCAGACCTGCCTTTTCTGCTCACAGTTTATTTCCCAAAACAAGTCACATGCCAATGCCTAACTTTAAAGAAATGAAAGTGGGAAGTAAAGTTCAATTCTAATGGGAACTGGAAATACTTGTTCAATACTTCTCATGAACACCTCACAAACAAACCTCGAATCTCAAAAAACTATTTGGGAAACTACATTATTGACTCCAGAAAAAAAAAATATAATGAATAATTTATCATCATTATTATCTCTAATATGCAAAGTAATTCCAAGTTTGCAAGAAACAGAAACAAATGCTCCCAGTCCAATTAAAATTGAACAAAAGATAACAATAAGGACTCCATAGGGATCAAATCTCAATATCCAATAAATACATATAAAGAATCTTAAGTTTAGTCTCATGAGGATAATAAATACTAAATCATTAATGAGGTATATCATCCCCTTTGAATGAAAACAAAATAAAAAGAATTTTTCACCTATGCCTGGTAGAGATATGAAGAAAATTTGCTGACCAAAAAGATGAATTTTACCACCTTATTGAAAAGCAGCATCTATCTATTAAAATTAAACATAAAATTTCACATATGAAGCAGAAATGTTACTTCAAGGAACCTACTCCACAGGGATAAAGACAATGATTGAGAAAGGTCTATTGCTATGGACTGAAGTATGTTATTTCAGAATTCTTATGCTGAAGGCCTAATCCCCAGCATGTGACTATATTTGGAGGTAGGGCCTCTAAAGAGGTAATTAACGCAAATGTGGTCATAAGAGTGGGGCCCTAATCCAATATGACTGGGCTCTTACAAGAAAAGAAAGAGACCAGGGCTATGATCACATGTTGAGGAGGGCATATAAAGACATAGCAAGAAGACAACCATCTACAAGCAAGAGAAGCCTCAGGCACAACCAAACCTGCAGATATTTCATCTGGGATTCCCAGCCTCCAGAACAGTGACAAATAAATCTATTTTGTTTAAAAGCAACTCAATCCATGGTATTTTGTTACGGAAGCCCTTGCAGACTAAGACACATATGTTCATATACAAAGATGTTTATTGAAGTATTGTCTATATTAGTAAAGAACTTTAAAAAAGAATACACATCTACCGGAAAATAACTGAAAATATTATGGTATATTCACTTCATGAAATATGATGTGGAGCTTATGAAGAATAATTCTGTCTACACTCCAGATGAAATGGTTAGAGTTCAACCAAGAATGTCGGAGTGAGAATACAGAGATGTAGAAAAGTATTTATCATCTAATTTAGTCTGATTTTCTAAGTTTTTGTAAAAAAAAAAAAAAATGTTTTAAAAATATATATAAATGCACACACACACACACACACACACACACACACACACACTAAATCCTACTTCCTCTGAGAATTCTTCCTTTATTCCACAAATATGGGTAAACTTTCATTATCCATATACTCATGAGGCATGACTTATACTTAATCAGTTGTATAATTCTAAAAGGCTAGCAAATTTTAAAAAATAAGCAGTTAAAAAAACTCTCTGATTATTCTTCAAAGTTGCTATTGAAATATTTGTAGCAGAAATTGAATGGTTTCTTATCCTTTGAATCACAATAAATCAGCAAATTTTATTTATCCTTGTTTGAAAAATTCAGAGGTCAGAGGTCAGGTGACAATAGTTACAAATTTTAAAAGGTAAATTTCGACTAAACAAGTTAAGCAACACTTGAGAAGACAATTTATATTATCATCTCTCAATGTCAGTGAAATGAATATATTTATACAATTAGTTGTATCCAGAATGTTATAAAGTATATTTCATAATCAAATGCAATTTATGGGAGTTAGAATGGACAGTGTAACAGGCAATTTATTTTCTTATCCAATAATTTTGATTTATTATCTTGTTAAACACACTATGAAGGAGAAACATTGTATCTTTTCCCAACAGTATTCTAGTAAAGAAACCAGCTAAAACCACTTTCAGATGAGGTAATTTAAACATGAAAGAAACAGAGACAGAGAAGGACAGAGGGAAAGAAAAAAATATATTTCATTTTAATCCTCATATAATATAAAACAGACTCATAGAAATAAAGATAGATGATCACGCTGTGTGGTGATTTTTTTATACTGCTTTATTTAGAGTTCACCAACTTTTTATTCCCAGTTATCGTATTTTGTTATAAAATGTTCAAGTGCTTCTTTTCCATAGCTTCTCTTTCTTTTCATGTGTTTATTTTCATTCCTTTTCACTCAATTTAATCGTTTCATAATTGCTCATTGAAGCATTTCTGTCCTTTAAAGCATTTTTATGCTCTTGAGATCATAGCCTGTCTTATTCACCTTTGTATTTCATAGCAGAGTACCTACGACATAGTAAGCACTCCAAAATTTTAAGTGAATGAATGAATGATAGATACGTTTTTCATGGGTATTTAAAACATTTTTATGCTTTAAAGCAGCTATGGCCACTTTAAAATCATGGTCTGATTATTCTAACATCAGTGCCATCTCACTGTTGTCATCTACTGATTACCTTTTTACAATCTGCTTGAGATCTTCCTGATTCTTGGTGTAGTAAGTGATTTTCCATTGAAGCCTGGGTATTTCGAGTATTGTGGGTTAAGATGTAGAATCATATTTACATCCCATTTTCAGCAGGCCTCCTGTGCCACCATTCTTATTACTGCCAGGTGGGTGTGGATGCCCAGGCTCCCGACGAGAACTCCACTGACACTGTTGGAGAAAGGTGACAAGGGTATCACTTGTTAGTGCCTGACAATGATGAAGGTCTGAGCTCCTTCCTCTGCTTCTCTGGCACCAGCTTGGCCAGAGTGCTAGGGATCTCACTAGTGGAGCAGAGTTCAAGTCTAGGCTCTCCACACAGCCTTTGCTGGCAGGGCTGAGAATAAATCATAAGTTTTGTTTACTTTCCTGTGTGTGTGTGTGTGTGTGTGTGTGTGTGTGTGTGTGTGGTGATTCGGTTGGAGTAGAATTGCTATTATCTAAAAGTTTTGTGACTTTCTTTCTTTCCTTGCTTTTTGGCCAGAGAGAGCAGATGTTTTGGGGGTCTTCTTTTTGTCAGCATGTATTCACATTTCTGGGTGTCTGGCTTCTGCAGTAGCTGGTCTGTACTATATGAAACCACAATGAAGCCAAGAGAACTCGCCACCATGTCATTCCTTTATGAAAACCAGCATCTACCTATTACAGTTCAACATAACTTATCATATTTGAAGCAGAAATGTTACTTCAAAGAAACTACTCCACAGGGCTAAAAGCAATGACTGAGAAAGGCCCATTGCTAGGGACAGAAGTGCATTCTCTCAAGATTCATATGCTCAGGCCCTGCTCCCAGTATGTGACTATATTTGCAGAGAGCACCTCTAAAGAGGTAATTAAGGTTAAACAAAGTCATAAGAGTGGGATGTTAATTCAATACGACTGGGCCCTTATAAAAATAAAAAGAGACATTAGGGATTTGACCACGTGTAGAAAAGGCCATATAAAGACATAACAAGAAGACAGCCATCTGCAAGCCAAGCAGAGAAGCCTCAGACAAAACCAAACTTGCTGACATTTCATCTGGGACTCCCAACCTCCAGAACAGTGAGAAATGCATTTCTTTTGTTTAAAAGCAACCCAGTTTATGGTATTTTGTTATGGCAGTCCTTGCATGCTGAGACATATAATGCACATACACAAAGGTGTGTATTGAAGTATTTTCTATATTAGTAAACAGCTTTAAAAAAGGAATACATATCTACAGGGAAATAGCTGAAAATATTATGTCAGTTACCTTGCTGATATGACTTTTTCCCCCTACCTCTCAGAGTTCTTTTTTGGTTGTTTTATATATGATGTCCAGGGTTTTTAGCTGTAACAAATAGGAAGTATAGATAAATAGAGGAAGAGAGACTTATCTACAAGTTGGAATTATAGTTTTTTAGAAAGTAACATAAACTATTCTTTTTTCTTTAAGTTTGCAAGGACATATGGGAAAAAAATTATCAAAAAACCTGAAAACTCAACTGTACTCTTTTTGTTCTTCTTCCTGAGGAGGATTTGCAATCTAATTATCTTTAGAAATTACACAGGAGGCTGTTCCAGAAATTATATTGTTGCTGTTGACATATGACTACTCATTTCTCTCTCCAGCATGCCGCTTTTCATATCTCACCATTAAAACAAGGGTAAAAAATGAATAGATTTCATTTAGGTTAGGGGCAGTCTAGGCAGAATCAGAAAGTAGGCTGTTTTTTGTTTGTTGGTTTGTATTTTGTTTGTTTGTTTTTTCTCCTCTATGCTGACTTTGGCCCGTTTTGCTATCTTTTCTGCAGATTTCTCTTCGGTAGATATCCAAAGTCCTTCTGAGGCCCCTGCTTTCTGCGCACTCCTATTTCTGGTGGTAACAGGGCTATGATCTGTGAAAATCCTTCTATCCCCATTTGTACTTTCACTCAGTTAAATGTACTTAACCTATGTTTCTCTCTCTAGAGGCTCCTTTTGACAGCTAATTATCTAATTCAAACTGATAAGACACTGAGTTGTTAAACCTCCCAAGTCATATACTTTGATTTAACAAAGATTTTTCTGAAGGCCATGTTGTAACTCAAAGGAATTTCCGTAACAGGAATGTCAGGCACAGTGCCAGACCTATTGGGAATGGAGTTATTGAAAAGATTGATTTTGTGCTCAAAGTATCCAGTACCTTATAACTTACAATTTATATGTGTTCTCTGGCCCTGATTTAAGGATACTTTTCTACTCTCACATATCAGGTAACCAGAATGCTTTTTGGGGAAACTTGGCTTCCATGTCCCACTGATATGTATTGGTAGCATTTTGAAAGCAAGACATCACTAAGAAATAAAAATTTTTCCCCAACATATACTCTACCTTCTCCTCTTCCCTATTTTAAATGCACTAAAACTTATTTTAAATTTTATAAGAAACATTCCTAAAATTTTGATAGAACAAAATAGAAGTTTAATCTTTTTTTAATACTAATGGCTGTAGTCTATTAAAATCAGTATTATTAGCCACTCCTTTATAGTTTTGTTTTGTTTGTTTGTTTGTTTATCTGATTTTGCTTGAAAGACCTATAAAGTCAGGCTTTTAGTATAAGAAAAAACAAACTATAATAATGCTGCAAAAAAACCCTAATTTTGTATAGGGAACAAAAACCTAAGATATTTAAGAGTCAGTCATATCACCTTTCTCAACATTCTCACTTGCTTCCTCAGTTGACTTCCTCCTTCTCTTTTACTTCTTTTACTCCCTCCTTTTTATTTGCCTCCTTTCTCTCTGATACCTTCTTTGCTTTTTTTTTTCTACTTCATTTCACTTCCTCATATGTTTTCTCCAACAGAAGACCATCTCAGCCATTTATCATTCATCCATATCTTATACTTACCTACAAGAGAAATCCGTATCTTATACTTACCGATAAGAGAAGAGTGAGTTGCAAGCTGTAAACTCATAATAATCATGAATTATCTGAATTATCTGCATTGACATGCTTGCTCAGGATACTACCCTGTCTTTCACAGAACCTGGGTTTATGTCCAAGCATCATTTACCTAAATATAAATTTTCTTACACTTTGAACATAATCTTAGCCTGAGTTTCCTTCTATCCAATAAACTTGTTTGTAGATTCTATATCTTTTAAAGCAGAAAGATGTATTTCAAATTATTTCCATTGAGAAGGAGTAAACAATAAATGCCTTTAATAGGTTTTTGCAAAGAAGCCACTGGTACATATATTTTAGAACTGGGCAATATTTTTCTCCACTCTTTTATAATTAAGCGAATAATCCATTATTGTTAAAGGAAGACTGATTTCATCTTTACTAACTGTTCCAATAATTGATACTTTTATTGGGCCCCTACTATGTCCAAGACACCATGTTAGGAAAATTATGTAGGCTCCAATCCAAACAACAAACTTATAAAGACAGGTTTTAGAAACTCATTTTAAGTATTGAGGAAATTAAGGTTTGCAAGAGTTAAGGTATTTGTCCATAAGTTACAGCTGCAAATGGCAAACTGGAATGCTAATAGAATTCTATCTGACTTGTTCCATTACCTTCGGCTGCTTTTTCAACTGTGAAACAGAATCAAGTACATATTGTGACAACACTTCAGAGCCTATCCCAAAATCTCATTTTAAATTTGTATCAGAGTGAACTTGTTGGCTAGAACTGCCTATATATGTCCAGCAATATGAGGAGCAGCCATTCAGAGTTGCAGGTCTGAGTATGTCTTTGTGAATGATGAAGAGAGCTTGTTCTCCTTGCTTTTTCTTTACTGCCACCCCTCCCCCATTTTTCCTCTTCCTCACCCTGGTCTAGAGAAAAGGAGAGATAAGGTTGCTAACTTCACCCAATGTGTCTGCATGATCACCTCTGCTGCAGGTTTCAGCAGGGGAGCAGATTGAATATAACTGCAAAAATCAGATTTGAGGATTATCTATGGATTTCATTTTCTATCTTCCCCCAAGATAATAAAAAGTTGGCTGTATCTGTGTCAAATTTATTACCTCTCTTAACTAGTTTATTTATTTATTAGGATTTCTATAATACTGCCTTTCTAGATATGCTGAGACATTTTAAAATGTAACATCTTGAAATGTAAGAATAATGACTTTTTAAATGGCTTCATATAGAATGTTTTTATGTGATCATATGTAAGATGATCAAGAGGATTCTAGATGTTAACTAACAAATTTAATAATAGATTTTTACCTTTAAACATGACATCATTACATTAAACTGAAGTGATTTAAAAACATACTAAGTTTAACTTTACTTTTTATTCTCCATTTTATTCTATTTCTAATTTGATAACTTTGGAATTAGCTACAGAATTCAATGCTATTGAACACAAGTTACACAAGGCAGAAATGTATAGATGTGTATTTTTCAAGAAAAATGATTTATAAGCGCATATTCATCTATGTAATAAATCCGATTTTATCAATATTATATTGTTTCTAACACAAAGACATGTGACAAAGAGAATATAAGCCAAAATACCTTTAAAATAAACCCAAGTGAGAGAAGTTGTTAGATAAATTAGAAAAAGAAATGTATTTTTTAATGAATTACTTTACATGGTGTTCATTTTTAAGCTTCCTTGTTTTCAATCTCAATTTTGCTTTTATAAACACATATTAGAAAATGCCTTAGCATTAGTTTACAGATCAAATTAAATTCAACCATGCTGCCTTTGAAGCTTATCCATTAAAAATGTTTATCTATCTGATCCATCCACTTTTTACCAGCACTATGTGAAAATAGGCTGATCATTTAAATTCTCTTAACTTCTGTTTCCTCTTCTTTAAAACAGGATACTAATCACCAGTCTGTTCTATGTCAAAAGTCATTTCAGGACTGAAGATGCTTATGTAAATAAAAATGGCTTGAAGAACTATAGCAAACTAAACCTTTAGTCATGGTACAATTTTTTTTGATGGTCACTGAAATGAAATTTCAAATAAACAATTGTACTTTTTTTCAGTCAATCACCAAATGAAATACATTACACATTCTCACATACATTTCTACAAAACAGTTGTTGAAAACTTTGGCATTGCTTTATGGAATTATAAGGTCACAGTGTAGAATACACTTTTCTATTCATACCATTTGTGAGTCAAGCAATCAATATTTATAACAAAAAATAAGAAGAATGATTTCTGGTGGTAAAAGCTTTCAATGTGGGTAGATAAAGTAAATACAGGTATATTTCCTTTATATTTATGAACAAAAGTCAAGAGTCATTTCTCTTCATAATTATATATGAAAGTATAAAATAATTCCCAGATACTAAACAAGCACATAACTTATGTGTAATAATATTTCATTTATCTCTAATTTAGACATACAACAAAGGTTTGTCTCTGGGGAAAAGTCAAAAAGATTCAATAAGAAAAGCTAATTGTACTTGTTATATTTTAAGAGTACAGGTAACATCTCTCATAGGATGTATTTTTTATAATCAACAGCTTTATTTTATACATCACCTTTTACTCTAATGATTATGTATTACCTCTTTTATGAATGTTTCTAATATGCTCAGAAAGAATGAATCTCTTTCCACTGTATTTTATACATATATAATAATATTTTTCATAGGAATGTATTGTTTTTGTATATATCCTTCACCTAAAATAGATTGTATTCTTTGAGATCAGTGACAATGATTGTTTTCTTTTAATCATCAGAGATTACCCCATCTCTTAGATGCATAGGTACTTAAGATGTTTGTATGCTATCAAATTATAAAGAAGTAGCAGAGAGAATTAGTATAAAATCAAACACATGTAGCAATAAACTGATAATTTCCAACAAAGAAAAAGAAATGAATAAACAGACAAAAAGAATAGCAAAGGTACAGCAATTTGAAACCATTTCTGTTACAGCCACTCAGCCATTTTTATAGGTCCCCAAAATATGGCTAACTTACAAGACAATATGATTACTAATGTTAGAATTTAATAATACAGCAAAAAGAGAAAACTGTAGTTTATTTCAAAAATTTTATTTTGTAGGGGCACTGAAGTATATAAGAAAAACTTTAAACTATGTTATTAAAAATATACATTCACTACTAAAATACTGAAAATACAAGTTATTTTAATTGACTTTCCAGTAATATTTCCAAGTGTGATTTAAATCAACATGATTTATTTTTAAACTTTACTTATTTTGAGTTTAGGGCTTACAAAATAAAGATTTAATTACCTAATAAAACTGTTATATATGGTGCCCAACGAATGCAAAGAATGTGTGTGTGTGTGTGTGTGTGTGTGTGTATGTGTGTGTGTGTGTGTATAAGTATGCCTGGTGTGAAACCACTCAATAGTCTCTTCTGAATGTTGATAAAGAATAATCATTATTAAATGTTTATCAATTAAAAGAAAACATAAAAGGTTTTATGTAACTAAAAATCATCTTTTAGAAATGGTTTATGCAGGAGGAATTAAAATATAAAATGAGATCTTTACAATATTTTACCAGGCAAACACCCATTTAGAAAAGTATTTTATTAGCTAACTGATATATTGAAATGAATGATTTTCTTTCTTATTTAGTCAGCTTTCCATTAGTATGAAAATGGGAGCAGTTTGAACCTTGATTAATGGGTAGAAAGAAAATAAAGTTACGTTTTCAACCTTGATGTTAACTGTGAGGCAGAATGAATGTAATTTCTTGAGGAATTGAAATTATTTACATGTGACAAAGATGTAACCCATCCTGATGCATTCTGTAAGTAGAAAGCAAAACTGACTCTATAGGAGTCTTTTCCTCTGAAGAACTGATGGAATGTTATGTTGACAATGGTTAAAAAAAAATTACTTTTCTTATAATTTCTGAAATGGCTCAGTAGAGCTTAATAAATTATATCATCTCTAAGGCTTGGTTCCACAGCCTTAATTTAGTGGTACAAATCTAAAGATTGTATTTTCACATATTTAGATATGCCTTGCAGAAGTCAATAAATGTTTTCTGTAAAAGACACAATAGTAAACATTTTAGGCTTTGTAGATGATATATCTGTTGCAACTACTCAACTCTATTGTTTTATAGAACATAACCACTGACAAAACTCAGAAGAATGGGCATGGCCTTGTTCTAATAAAACTTTATTTACAAAAACAGGAAATTTGCCTATAGCCTGTGATAACCCCCTGGATTTAAACATATATAACTCTGCTAATATAACTAGGAAGTCTAATGCTTTGAAATATACCTTCTAGTCACCCACCCCCCAATTCTTGTCAACATCGAACATATAAAGTTCCATTAAAATTATATTCATATTATAGAATTTTAATATATTCAGTCTTGTTTAGTGTACTCTAACATGCCTTTTCATAATAGGAAATGTTAGTCTTAAAAGAAAATATTAGGTAAGATTGTTCTGTAATGAGTATTAAAGAGTTGAGGAACTCAGTCAATGCTTCACAAAAGGTCAATAACCTAGGTGATGCACTATATAGGTCAATTTACTACAATGGTCAGTATTCCTACCAAAGCACTCTACTGTTGAAAAGTAAATGTTGGCAACTCAGCCCACACTTTATTTCTGAAAGCAGATATAATGAAGAGATTAGAAATAATCTATTTCATTTTAGTGTTTAATTCTAAGGAAGTTTATAAGGCAACATGTATTGATATTACTTCAAAAATTCAAATATATTGGTATTTTCTGACTATTCATTTCAAGGTACACTATATTTCTATTTATTTCATAAATATATTCATCTTTCTATATAGTGGATATTGGAGAACTTTATTAGAATTTTAATTTAATTAAATGTAATTAGATTTAGCAACAAGTAACTAAAGCAATTATATTAAGAGTTTGAAATCCACTGGAAATTTTTATCAGAAAAGAAAGAATGTAAGTTTATAAATTCACTGGTTACATATTCATCATGAATGGTATTTTACTATATCTTTAGTGAGTCATAAAGAAATTGTGAATATTAGGGACAAGAACAAATACTGATTCTGTATATCCTTCTTTGTTTGTAACATGAGGATGAAATCAGGATATACTGGTTTCAATTTTTTCTCAGAATCTGTCCTTTAATTATTTGATATAATAAATTCACCCACTCCTTTGTTTAACAAGTCACAATTTCTTATATAATTAAACCCATTAAAAATTATTTTTAAATGACAACAAAATCTACTTATCTTCAGTAAAACTATAACTAGAAGTCATAGAAGATTAAACTAATTGTTTTCTATTTAAAAAATCACTGCTTTATTTGAATAATGTTTGAGATTTTTAGTGTCCCACATTTTGGGTAACTAAACTGTGTGATGATTTTAGCACTTAATAAAAACCATAAAATTTTAGTACTGGAAAAGTGTCTAAAGTCATGTAGTTTGACTCCATTTTGCCAGTGATTAAAATTAAAGCCTGAGGAATAAGTGACACTGAAGGTCAGAAATACAGTTATTGGTAGACTCTAGATTGAAACTCATGATCTGTCCAATTTTTCTATAATTCATTGTTCTTGAAATAGGTTAGATAAAGAGTGCAGATTATACAATAGATAAAGCTCCATTCTTGAAGAAGTAACACAAGTTAACCATTACTGAGAACTTTGCATAGTCCAGATATGACACAAAGGACTTTCAACATACACCATCTCACTTGATCTTCCCAATAGCTTTCTTAGGTAGGCATTATTATTACCTCTTTACAGATGGGAAAACTGAGACCAAGAAAGATTAAATTTTTCTAAGTCACACAGCTAGTAAATGCCAGACACAAAACTTGAAGCTAGGCAGTTGGAAAGAGAATATGCTTAGACCTCATTCAATTTGCCATCCATTAGTAAACCTCCACTTGGTCCACTTGTTAAATTAGCAGATGTATCACCCTCCTTTAAAAACATGCTGATTCATGCCCAGGTCTACCAAATGCCTGAAACTGATAAGGCTACTTCTTATATGTAAAGTACTAGAACAGTGACTGACACAGAGTAAATCGAAAGTAAAATTCTCTAATTGGTCTCTACATTCACTAACTTTTCCAAGCAACCAACCACCTATGAGCCACAATTAACTGGAAAGGTGGTTATGTAGTGTACTAATTTCCATACTGAAAGAGTAAGAATTCCTTAGTCTTTCTGCCACAGAAGGACTGGATATGCATGAACATATTATTTATTATTTATTGTTTCTCAATTTTGGAAATTGTTCCTTGGGATAAAGTTAAACCATAATTAGTTAAGGAGGTTAGCCCAAAAAAATAACCTGCTACTCCATTCTGTGAAAAAAACACACACGAATGACAAATGCACCTGTATATAATCAAGTCCATATTTCCTTAATAGTTTATGGGAAAGGAATCAAAAGTGTGATTACCCATACTGTCAAAATTAGTGATTATTTTCCCAGAAAATCTAGTGTCATTAAAATTTCCAAGAATGAAAAGACACCTATGGAATTAGACCTTAGTCATTTTTACACTGGGGGCAAAGACTGTGTATTGAAGGCTGTATGATCACAGGTGAGATTCTTTATGTCTCTTATTTTTTCATTTAAAAGTGAAAAAGAAACAATAATGAGTCTCATAGAGTTCTCATTATTAATTAAGCTTCTGAAATTAATTAAGCTTCTAAATGTAAGGTGCTTGGAACAAGGCTGGGTGCATGTAAGTGCTACTCTTCCTTCTTCATGTATACCTTTAGGTTTTTAGGACTTTGAGTAAACACATTATGTTGTGTTAATTAATAACTTCAAATCAATCACTTCAAAGTCTTATTTTCAATGTAATCAAGAACCTTGATGACGTATTTTACCTTTTAGGAACACGTATTATTTTATTTCTGTAAATGATTAAGATTGCTGCTGTTGACAGCCTTAAAAGTGTCTCAGTCCAGTGATCAGTGACTGAAAAAGAGCTACATATTATAACTGATGTGATATCCTGTCCCTTGAGAGGCAGAACTGTCATATTGATAGTAATATTCTATTTCCAGAATGAGCATCTGAACCACAATATTAACCCTTGGACATTCTACACCATGTCAGCAAGGCTTTAATGCTAAGACAACTGGAAAGCTGAAAATTTCAAGCAAATGATTTGAACATATTTCTTAAGTCTGCACAATTATCAAATACTTATTTTGACTTGTAAAATATTGAGATTATGACTTGTTTGAGTTTCCCTTTAGCATAACAGACTCCAATTTGGGCATTTCTGAATATATTTACAGAAGGGAGAGCAGCTGACAGGATGTCCTGATTTGACTCAGCGAAATGGAAGAAAAGTTCCATGCACTAGGATTGCTGGAGGTCAGAGTTTGTGCTGCTGAAATCATTCTTTAGCCTCTTTCATCTCCTTCATGTATCCAGGGGCATGTACTACAAGCCTGGAGAGCAAATAAGTGAACACTTTAAGAAGTTGTTTTACTAAGACATCCAGGAATTTGAAAACAGGGGACCACAAACTTTGTGGCCTAATTCTTGAAAGGTGGGAAAATGGGAAGGAAAGATTTTTTTTTTCCTCATTCAAGTGAAGAGACTACATGAATCCCCTCAGAGGCTGAGACTTACAGAGCAGTGTCCAAAGCAAAATAGCAGGGGGGCCTGGCTTGACCAGGAAATTGGACAGTCTGTCCTAGAATGAGTAGAATGAGGAACACAAACCAACAGATGTTTAAGCAGAAATCAGGGTAGAAGAGGAGTGGATGATGTGCATGAGCAAATGCTGACAGAAGGAAACAGACTGCTCCACATGATAGCTAAGAGATTAAATTCTCAACCATATTTAATTTCTACCTTTCAACCAGATGAGTGGAATTAAAAATGAGCTTACTGGGATGATATAGCGGTAAGAATCCCATTTGGAAGGCCAAACGGGATGAATTCAAAGCCTGACTTGGTCATTGTCAATGAATATGATGATAATACTGACCTCAAAGTATTTGAAGGAGGATTAAATGAGTTAATTTATGCAACCGAAATTTTCACACATCACTGGTGGGTCTGCAAATGAAACAACTCATCTGAAAACCAACCTGTCAGTTTCTCATAATGATAAGTATCTACGTCATTTATGAACCTTCTAAATATTTATTCAAGAAAATTAAAACATATATATACAGTAAAAGCACCTTACACTAGAATGTATCTCTCTAAAAGTATATATAAAATATCTAACATTAGGAGTGCTTTTTCCCTGAACTATAGAATTATGGTGAATATTTTCTCTCTTTAGGGTAATTTTAGTAAATTAATTTAAAATTTTTTTGGTGTATGGAATAATTTTATTTGTATTTCTCTAACAATTATGTGATTTTACCACTGGAGATAGATATGAGGAACACGGGAGAGATTTCCTTTGTCTGCAAATGATTGGCACTAATAAGTGACTTCCTACAGTGTTCTTTTACAATTTCCACGGTGTTGTGCTGGGTAAGCATAACAAATACTGAGAAACCATTAGGTTCTGAGAAATTTCTGGGAAGAGAAGACATTTAACCGTCTCAAAAAAAACAAAAAACAAAACAAAAAAAAAAACACTGTAAAGTAAATGCTATTATTTCAATAGAAGAAATAGAGACAAGTCAGAATTAAAGATCATTACTTTGCCTAGTTATATAAATAAGGGTTAGAGCCAATGTTAAAAACAACAACAACAAACTAAGTAGCTGAATGAACCCCCAAATCCATGTTTCCTTTATTATACCATACTGTTACATTCATTTTTGCTGGGTTTTCTTTGTTTTGATATGATTTAGTTTTATCATAAATAGTATTTCCTTAAAACTTCCCATTTATTGGGATATAGGAGCTCAGTTTTTGTTTTTTTTAAATTACCTCTTTCCTCTGCTTTTAATAGGGAAAAGTGATGTATAGGGGAAATGGTATCCACTGGTGTCCAAAGGAGCTTCACTGATCTTTGCTCTTGGTTGCTAAATTTGTCTAATTCTTGACCTGTAAGACTTGTCATGCCTGCCTTGTGTGGGATTATATGTAGGTGCCATTTCAGAGTCCAGAACCACAGACTTTTGCTGTATATATCCAAGTTCCAACCTCTGCAAGTCTATTTGTGCTAATCCAAAGGCCTCCCTGTGTTCCTTGCACTTCCATGCCTCTAGCCAGTCACCAGCGATTATCTTCCTCTCTTTTATACACATTCAGGCCATGGGGATCCAGGAAGCTGCTATAAAATCATATATTTAGCTATATCTACTTGTGATACACCATTATCCCACGGCTTTTAAACATATGTGAACATCTAGGTCTCTGCCTAATGGTTTTAAATAAGGTCTTACTATGCCTGGGGATACATGTTACAAACTCACATATACTTGGGCTCCAACATATCTGTCTAGACTATGATGGCCCTCTCCCTCATGTCATGCACCTATGAGCCCAGAGGCCAGGGAAAACATCCTTAAACCTCCCCCTACTCTCTCTTTTCCTCCTTTTGTTTCCCTGACTTGCCAGTCAATCCCTTAGTCTGGAAAGAACAAATCTTTCTTTTATTTATTTATTTCAATGTAATTTTTAAAATCTATTAAAGATCAGCAAGTTTAAATGGCTTAGGCACCAAGAGAAAGAAAGGAATTATCCTATCAAAGAAATCCTCAACTCTGCTCTTCCTGGGATAGTTTAAACAACATTTAAATAGTATTAAACAATATTTAAATGAAATCAACATATACTTTTTCTCTCAAAATTTCTATTTTTAAGCCTATTATCTTTCTGCAAAATCTCATTCATACTCTCAGAATCTAAAAGTTAGTTGAATTTTGTATTTGCATTCTTTCTAGATTCACTGTAAAATGCTGTCTCCTACTCCTGCTATAGGCAAATGAAGTTTTAGGATAACTGAGGAGAGGGTTTCACTTAAGTGAAAGCAAAAGACAAAGAAAACCACATAAATATTTTATTAAAATGAATGCCAATTACTAAATATATTTCTTATTGTCAAAAATTATGGCTGGGACTTCTTCCTAAATGTTCTCCTAAGTGCCATATTTTCTATATCTGAGTGACTTTGCATTATTCTTCTTCCTGGAAATGCTACAGCATCTTTCATTTTATTTTACTTATATAACTAATATAAATTTCTGAAAGTTTAGTATGTATTATTTTTGGTATAAAATTTTCTTTACTGCTTTAAGGACTGAATGAGCTCCTTCTTATAAATGATTTGCAAGTCTTCCTAAGTAGCAGGTATGGTTCTGTCTTTGAGGAACTTCAAGACAAATGTGTATAGATAAGCTTTTACAAAGAGCCAGATGGTAAATATTTTAGGTTTTGTGGGTGATCTCCATCACATTTCTTGTTCCCTTCACCTTCATCCTTCTTGTTCTCCTTCTCCACTACTTCTTGCAATCTTTTAAACATTCAAAGACCATTCTTAGCTCACAGGACTTGCTGCAATTTCCCCAGTGTGCTATAGTTTGTTGACCACTTTTCCAGATCAAGGGGGTAGATAATAAATACACAAATACACAAAAGTGTGTGTGTGCACATAGGAAGTGAATGTTGAAATAAGAAAATGAGTGCATGCATCTGACAAAGGTCTATTATTCAGAATCTACAAGGAACTTAAACAAATTTACAAGAAAAAAGCAAACAACCCCATCAAAAAGTGGGCAAAGGATATGAACAGACACTTCTCAAAAGAAGACATTTATGCAGCCAACAGACATATGAAAAAATGCTCATCATCACTGGTCATTAGAGAAATACAAATCAAAACCACAGTGAGATACCACCTCATGTCAGTTAGAATGGCGATTGTTAAAAAGTCAGGAAGCAACAGATGTTGGCGAGGCTGTGGAGAAATAGGAACGTTTTGACACTGTTGGTGGGAGTGTAAATTAGTTCAACCATTGTGGAAGACAGTATGGCAATTCCTCAAGGATCTAGAACCAGAAATATCATTTGACCCAGCAATCCTATTACTGGGTATATACCCAAATGATTAATGATTATAAATCATGCTGCTATAAAGACACATGCACACGTATGTTTATTGCAGCACTGTTCACAATAGCAAAGGCTTGGAACCAACCCAAATGCCCATCAATGATAGACTGGATAAAGAAAATGTGACACAAATACACCATGGAATACTATGCAGCCATAAAAAAGAATGAGTTCATGTCTTTTGCAGAGACATGGATGAAGGTGGAAGCCATCATTCTCAGCAAACAAACACAGGAACAAAAAACCAAACACCACATGTTTTCACTCATAAGTGGGAGTTCAACAATGAGAACACACGGACACAGGGAGGGGAACATCACACACCAGGGCCTGTTGGGGGTTGGGTGGTAAGGGGAGAGAGAGCATTAGGACAAATACCTAAGGCATGTGGGGCTTAAAACCTAGATAACAGGTTGATAGGTGCAGCAAACCACCATGGCACATGTATACCTATGTAACAAACCTGAATGTTCTGCAATGTATTCCAGAAATTAAATCAAAATTAAAAAACAATAGAAAAAAGAAAATGGGTGTATGGCTATTTTAAAAAGATATGTCAGAGAAATGACTTCATTCGGAAAAGGTGATGTTTGTGGAAACATCTTGAATGTAGTGAATAAAATAATGAGTCATGGAAAGAACCAAGAGATCTTATAGGCAAAAGAAATATCAGGTAAAAATTTTGGGAGCTGAGAAATAAAAACAAGCAATATGTCTTGAATGGAGCGAATAAGTTAAACTGTAATAAGAGATAAGATCAGAGATGAAGATAAAGATAATATTATATACAGTGTTATAGGCAATTATAATTCTTGAGGATTTACTCTAAGCGTAATGAGAAGACACTGGGGGGCAAATGCACCTGACCCAGGAGTTAGAGAAGCTTAACGATGGCATTTAGTGGAAGCCAGAGGGAGTGCAGGCCCAGATGCTGCTCAATACACGTACCAACAATATGTGTCAGCAGGTCTGGTACCATGTCCATGCACTGCTCCAGCCCCTCACACCATACTAACCTAAGCATTAACACTCATCTGCCACTTAACTTCTGCTTTACCAATTACATGCTGCTATGGTCTGAATATGGTTTGTCCACAACAAAACTCATGTTGAGGCTCAGTCTTCAAAATGGTGGTGTTGAGAGGTGTTGCCTTTAAAAATGATTAGGTCATTAAAATGGATTAATGTCTTTTTTATGGGACTGGGTTAGTTCTCATGGGAATGGATTTGTTCTCTTGGAGATAGATTAGCTCCCATGAGAGTGAGTTGTTATAAATGGGGTTGCCACCATGTTATTTATTTTTTTTGCATGCATTCATTTGCCCTTCCACTTTTCTACCATGTTATAACATAGCATGAGGCCCTTGCCAGATGCAGCCATTGGATCTTGAACTTCCCATTCCCAGCCTGCAGAACCAAAAGCTAAATAAACCTCTTTCTTCATAAATTACCCTGTCTTAGTCATTCTGTTATAGAAAAAAAAGTACTAAGACACATGCAAATTTCTAAGAGTTCTAGTAAAATGAATGAATGAATAGATATGTAGAAGACATATGGGTAGATAGATTTCTTGCCAGTATATAAATGCAAAGCACAAAAGCCAAGAAAGAAAAGAGGTTTCAGGAAGGAGAAACTGATCAATGTGTCAAATGTTTTGAGTGGTTGTTAGTCAAATGTGGACTGGAGGACTGAGAACTGATTTAAATTTGGTAAGTATTGAGGGCTAGGAACCTTGACCAAAATGGATTCAGGGATGTTGGGGAGATGAAAACTGAATCACAGTGGATTGAACAGAGACATATATGACACAGCAGAAACAAGTCTATAACTTTGTTGAGAAATTTTGCAACAGAGAAAAGCAGACAAAAAAGAGGCATCTACTGGAAAGTGTTTATTTTTAAGAAGGAAAATATTGAAACAAGATTTATTCATATCATTAATTAGAGAGGTAGAGGTTAATGACAGACAAAGAGGGAAGACTGTGAGGACAAATTTCTGATTTGATTCTGATTTGATGGAAGGTGAGAGAGTGTTGGCCCTCTCTTCTCTTTTTTTATTGAGATGGAGTCTTGCTCTGTCACCCAGGCTGGGGTGCAGTGGCCCAATCTCAGCTCACTGTAACCTCTGCCTCCCAGATTCAAGAGATTCTCATGGCTTAGCCTCCGGAGTAGCTAGGATTACAGGAGTGTGCCATCATGCCTGGTTAATTTTTGTATTTTTAGTAGAGATGGGGTTTCACCATGTTGGTCAGGCTGGTCTTGAGCTCCTGACCTCAAGTGATCTGCCCTCCTCAGCCTCCCAAAGTGCTGGGATTACAGGCATGAGCCACAGTGCCCGGCCCTTCCTTTTTATCTTAAGTGTTCCCTTCTACTATAGTCTTCACTTGTACGAATAATTTGTAGCTTTGTTTTGTTTCTATAGCTTTCTATTACCTTCATGTGATAGGGTAATTTATCCTCAACTAGGTTAAAATCTCTGAAACAAAACCAAACATAGTACATTATTTTTGTAAGCAGCTATCACCTTTTTGTTTGATTATGATTATCATGTTGACTATTTGAAAAATGTATGTATGTTTAAACACACACGTATATAGATATAGATGAAGTCCTTTTTATATGACTTAATTATCTTAATTAGGATATTATAAGGAATAATCAGGACCCAATGTGTTGAACAACTGAGCTGTGATTTTTTTCATTTGTGTTTCTTCTGTATAATATAATATACCTTCATGGAGTCAGTCATAAGTACTAATAACTATTTTTGAAAATACATTAGTATAAATATGTTTTGTCATCAGAATATTCACTAGTAGCTAAAGATGGCAATGGTTAAATTTTATATAGATGTTCTCTGATAAGTCAGGGAATATCATGATGTGAGATCCAGCTTATGAAGCCAGTTGTTCAGTGTTCAAATATATGCAGCAATTGGTTGTTCTATTAAGTGCAGGGAGTTCAAATGCCTAGAATAAGTGTTTAATTATGAGTCAAAAGTAATTTAGTGGTGCCTGAGTGTACATTTTAATAATGGCACACCAATTTGCATTTAAATATTCACGAGTTCACTGCCTTTTGAGAAAGTCTATTCAGTTATAAAATAAGCTTTTGAAGACACGTGTCTGGTTGATTAATAGCTGGGAATAGCCCCAATGTTATACAGATAAGCTATTGACACTACCACATGTGAAATTACACAAAAGTTATTTTATCAATGTAATTTTTAACCTACTGAAATGCATAATTTCAGTAGGTTAAAAATTGACACATACAATATCAAAAATGATTAACAAAATAATAAAAATTCACAAATAAAATTATCTGTATTATTGAAATATTTAAGCATCATAATAAATTTAAAAGTAAATGCTTGCAAATCAAAACAGAAATGCTATTTTTTAATTTTCTATTACACATTTCTTATCTATAATATAGAAAAGGAGAAGACATACTACATTTTACCCCTTAATCTTGGCTATAAATACAAAGAGCAAAAGTTCTTTGTTTACAACTAGCAAAGTGTATAAACTAATTTACTGCACGGATGCTCATAATTGATGTTTTCTACTCACTTCAGATCTCCTATAAGTACAATACACCTGTAATTTTCTTGAGGCCATCTATAACGCATACCAATGAAAAATCATATCTAATCAACAAGAGCAAAGATTGTGATTTGTGCAGTCCAATGCATTTCCGTGTTATAAATGCAAATTTGTACAAACACTATCTCTAGTATCTTAAGGAATACTGGGAATAGTTAATGCTAAAAACAACCACAGGATTAAAACTAAATCTCAGTAATATTAAGAACAAAATCCGATGATCTATAGCTAAGACTATAGCTTATTTTATGGAAAATACACTTATTTAGTTCCCATTTGAAAACTCTATTGTCAGTTTTACTTTGGCTTCCAAGTCCTATCACTAAAACTTAAAATATATGTCTCCTATTCTATTGAAAATAGGGAAATCGAGTAAAGCTACAATAATTAGATCTGGACGTGGAGAAAAAAATAATTTATAAATATATTGTTTCTTCATTATTTTAAAATAAATGTTACTTTCCTATATTTTTAAAATAATTATTACTCGTCTATCTTTGGCTCATTCCCTGAAACGCATCTGCCCAATACTTCCATCATATGTAATTGTTAATAATCAGTGTCTTCTGTGATGGGTAGCATTATCTCTGCAGTGTTTGAATGTGAGAGAGATGACAAAGTGATCATCTTGCAGCTCAGTATTGATTATACATCTGTTCTTTATACCACGAATAAATTGCAGTCCCACCTGGCAATATCTCTATTATTGTCATTCTAGGTACCAGAAATCCAATATTTCGATTCTGAATAAATCAATTCCACTTTGATTTCTGGGTGTTAGGATGGTATTTTAGCTAATCTAACAAAATAAATCACAAAACATTTTTGTTTTGATTTTCCACTTTTAATTGTTTTGTTTTGCTGCTTATCAAGTTTCCTTTGACCACTGCATTCTTACCTAGACCAAATGAGAAATTAGAGAGATAGGAAGACATGAAGACACATTTTCTGCCTTTGATGTCTAACTCTTACACATGCTAATTGTGCACTTGACTCTATAACTCGTGAAACATCAGATACGACCCTCCCCATAAGGTGTCTGACTATTACAAGAGTAAAAGTCCTTGCAAGTGCTAATCAGATAAGCCCTGTCAGGTAACAAGAGTGAATCTATAAAGTTGTACATAATTATCAACAAATGTTCAAAATTTATGTTTCCTAGATGATTAATATCATGTTGATGCTGACATTCAAACAGATGTTAACCAAGATGTTCTGCCACAGCATACTGGACTAGAGCTTGAAGATTCTCTTTGTGGTCACTGACACAGCCATTGCAATGGGGAAGTCACTTCTAAATTGTTCATTTCAAGCCATGATGTAATGATAAAGAAGACAGAAAATCTTAATAGCATTGTGTTGCTCATTTTGCTTTGAGCTCCTACAGATATGAATATGTGACAACACAAAAGACTCATGGTTAACATACAATAACCATTATCTGTCAAACAGATCCTTTGACAATCCTGTTCCAGATGAATCAGATAAAGCATCAGTACCAATAACATAATATTGATAAGGAACATATTTATTTCCAAGAATCAGTAATACACATAAATAAAAATGAAAAAGAACTATGATACTTCAGGCTAAATGCAACAAGTAATCGCCCATTTATTCATTTAATTAAATTCACCCATTTAATAATTCACTCATTGAATTACATTCAACTTAGAATGGGTTGAGTTCGAGCAAAGAGTGCAATTATAGAACCGTCTTTGTGCTTTATCTAATGCTGCTTAAAACAAAAGTAATCAGCATCTATTGCATAGGTTTTATTAGCCAAACACAACTTGAGGTATGTTACAAGACAGGAGGGCAACAATGAAATTTAAAACTTTTAATTATATTATTGCAGAATTGCTATTAATATATTTTCAGATATTTATAAAGTGGCCAACTTTACTTCTATCTTGAAATTAATTTAAATGTTTCCATAGTTAAGGTAATACATTTTTTAAAAGTAAGCCTTTTAACAATAAGAGCCTTTGATGTTTCATGGCATTCAAATTTCTTTTCATTAGTAACTTCTGTTGTCTTTTTTAAAAAACTTTCAACCTAATATTTATTTGTTCCTAATTTGTAGAACTGTTTCAAAAAGTAGTAAATAATGCAATTTTAATTATATAAACAACTTATTTGAAAATTTTGAAAAATTATCAATGAAAATACTAAAATGCTAATAGCATCACCTCTCAAAGATAATTTTTACTTCTCAGTATTATTTTTTGATGATAAAAATATATTTTACACAATTGTTAGATCACTAGTAGATTGTGTTACTCTTAAATGTCTCTGGAAATCAGTTAATATAAATGAATAAACACACTTCAAAGGGCCAAATATCTAATTATTTAAAATTGCATATACATTGAAATAAACTCATAAAATACTTTGTTGTGTATCAGAAAAAAAAAAAAAAACTATTGGAGAAGAATTCAGCAATTCCAGAAAGATTTTAGTGGATATGAAGAAATAATTGAGTGCTTGACATCTAACTTTGTAGGTCAAAACCTGAAAAGGCAACATCTGAAAATAAACTGATATAAAATTGTGGAATTTTTGTTGGGTGTTAGACTGGGGGTTTCATAAAAAAAAATTGAGTATGTGACCTGAATTTCAAAAGGTGCAAAGAACAAAGGAAGAGTTAGTTAAGAGCCAGAAGCCAGTTTAGGCCCTGGAATCTTGAAATAGTGGACGGATAGGATCAAGGTCACCTATGAACACAACCCAAATGGTCAGGGAGGAGGTGAAAACCTAAAACAAATTAAATTCTAGCTTTCTAGTTATGAGAAATAGATATTGGGGGCATTTAGGTCTTCCTGAGCTAAAGCTTAATAACAAGGTTGAGCTAAAGCTTAATAACAAGGTTAAGCCCATGAACTGACTGACTATAACATACTATATAGAATGTATTACCTTGTTGAATTAAGTGATCAGTAGTCAGTTTACTTTTATCCCATTTAAAAACTTACCAAGTGATAAATAAGAATGCTGTGCACTAAGACAAAGTTCAGGACACTCGCTATCTATTCCAAATGGGTTTATTATCTGTCATAAAATACTTTTAAAAGTTAACTATATTTGATTTGCATATTATAATATTTGTGCATATATTTGCAAATCCAAATGTACCGTCAATGAAAGAAAATTATATATACTGGTTGTAATTAGCAATAAACTTTTTATTTACAATGTGGGGTATACACATTAACAATGAGTTATTCACAAAAAGACTATTGCAAATGTGTGTGTGACAGAGTACAACACTGCAAGTGTGAGGTCATGTGGAAAAGACACATTTATGATTATATATTCAAAGGAGCATTCTGAGGCAATATAGAACATTAAATAAAACTTAGAATTGCATCTCATATATAAACTGGACAAAAGCTACTGCAAAATGAATTAAAACTTTAGTTAACAATTTTTATCGTTTAATTTTAACTTTATGCTTATTTCCAAATTTTATGTTTAAATTAGTATATTTTTCTATCACTAACATATTTTAAATATTTAGAGCTATTTCAAAGGCTTTTATGACAGAACATGTGTTACTGATTGTTTTAATGTGGACCTTCAAACTTATGTGCGCAAAATGTTACTCCAGTGGCCTGTCCATTGCTGAAGAACATAAGGTTGCTAAATCATATAATTGTTTTGTCTTTAACTCCCTATGAAGTAGTAAGGAGTAAGATTACATGATAATATAGAAAGTATGTTACTAGCAACAACTAAAATGAATATACAGCTTAGTGCACAATTCAGTGAGTAAGAAAAAGGTATTTTAGGAAAATAATAAAACCTTAACTTTTTATCTTCTTTCACCATAGCAGTAGAAAGCAAATTATGTCTCATTCAAAAATCCTCTTTATCCTTACATTGGATTTGAAATATCAACGATTATAAAGTTGTACGCTGTTGAAGGGTGTGATTGAGGGGCATCTTGTCCTCAATGCTGTCTTTTTCATGTGGATATTCATTATCGTGCATAATCCACTGACTGCAAAGTAACTGACAGCCAGGTTGTTGCTGAGACAGGCCTTGTTCATGTGTTTCTGCACTATTTCAGACTCTGATCCATTAAATCCATGGAAGGTCACAGAAAGACTGAGGCATTTAAATTGGGTGTGTGTATGTGTGGTGTGTGTGTATGCACATGTGAGTGTACGTGTGTACAGCAATGAGAGAGAGAACAGTATCTTTTGTGTAGTTAATTTTTAGAAAAGTAGGCCGGGTGCGGTGGCTCATGCCTGTAATCCCAGCACATTGGGATGCCGAGGTTGGTGGATCACGAGGTCAAGAGATCGAGACCATCCGGGCCAACATGGTGAAACCCTGTCTCTACTAAAAATACAAAAATTAGCTGGGTATGGTGGCATGCGCCTGTAATCCCAGCTACTCAGGAGGCTGAGGCAGGGGAATTACTTGAACCCAGGAGGTGGAGGTTGCACTGAGCCGAGATGGCACCACTGCACTCCAGCCTGGCAACAGAGCAAGATGCTGTCTCAAAAAAAAAAAGTAATCATTTCCAAGATATGACCCAACTATATCATTATAACCATTATTAGTAGAGTAGTGAATGAGCTGCTGTGAAAAATAGACTCAAAATACACAACACAAACACCGAAGATTTTTTTACATTTCTTTAAATGTTTATATAGTGATCAAAAGAGTTTGTTTCATGGTCAAATTTTCTCTGTACAATAATCCAAAGACTCCATCATTCATAGAGTATCACCAGCATCCACTTGTTGCAGGGGGTGGAAAAAAGAGGATTTTGAGAAGGAGTAACTGCTCTTTAAGAGTTTTTTTCTTTCTTTCTTGAAATGGTGTACATTGCTTCTCACTATCTATTTAATAGATCTCAGGCATAAAAATCTACTAAATCAAGAGAACATGAGAATGTAATACTATATGAACGGGAAGATAAAAAGATTTTTAAAAGACCACTAATATTCTTTGTAATCATCATTGCTTCTGGTTTCCAAATATTCCTACAATCTGTCTACACATCAAACATACTTATCCATATCTCCAAATAGAGAATAACTGCATTTAGTTATTGCATCTGGTTCATTGTCCAGAACATCTTGATCAATGCACATTCTCTATAAGCTAGAACCCTGCAAACTACAAGAGAAGTTATATACACCAATCCACACATAGTTCATATATCTTGATGAAGGAAGAATAGCCACCAAAAATATCCATTTGGAAAAGGTAAGAATGAGCTACATAGAGCAGTTATGGAACCTGGCTATGCAAGCATCAAGAAGATCCATTGTTTGGGTGGTTGAGGTTACTTTTTGATCAGACCCCTGATTATCTTTGAGATAAATTCCCTTATCTACTTTATGCACATCTATTGGCTGTCTCTATAACATCCTTCCTTATATATTATTATTCATTGTGACATCTAGCATCAGTTTGGATGACTATACCCCCTTGACTTCCATTCATAGCCCATTTTCTGATTGTGCATGTTTGGTGACAGTGAAGTTGTTTCATAATTACAAGCCTTGTGTTTTCATTGGTGATAAAGCACCTCAAAAACTTAAAAGGTTTCTAGTCTATTAACATCATATGTAAATAATTATATCTAAACATATTTCCTAGAAACAGTTAAGGCTTTCTTATATCCTTTCTCTCTCTCTCTCTCTTTCCCTCACTCCTCTTGGAAAAAAAGACTTTGATGAGAAGAAAACACGGGTGCATGTGTCTTCTTGATAGAATAATTTCATTTCCTTTCAATATATACCCAGTAATGGGATTGATGAGTTGAATGGGAGTTCAATCCTTAGTTCTTTGAGAAATCCCCACAGGGAATCAACTCAGGTGCCTATCAGTGGTGGACTGGATAGAGAAAATGTGGTACATATATACCATGGAATACTACACAGCTATTAAAAAAGAATAAAATTATATTCTTTGCAGCAACATGGATGCAACTGGAGGCCATTTTCCTAAGTGAATCAACACAGAAACAAAAATCCAAATACTGTGTGTTCTCACTTATAAGTGGGAGCTAAACATTGGGTGAACATGGACATAAAGATGGCAACAACAGACAGGGAGGACTACTAAAGAGGGAAGAAAGGTCGGGGGGTAAAGGATGAAAAACGTCCTACTGGGTACTATGCTCATACCTGGGTAATAGATTTATTCGTACTCCAAACTGCAGCATTACACAATGTATCTTTGCTACAAACCTGCCCGTGTACCCCCTGATTCTAAGTCAAAAAAGAAAATAAGTCAAATAATAAAAGTCAGAAAAGAAAAAGAAAAAAAGTCCTTTCTCTTATCTCTGCTACAATGCTGAATTGCATTTCGCTGAGAAATAGTTAAAAATCATTGTAACTCGAGACATTTGTATTCTAATCTCCTACCTTTTGGATCTAGAGGCAGGCTGGTTTTGTGTTATTGTGGACAATCCAAATAAGATAGGGTACTCCCTTTTATTTATGCTTTTAAGCCAATCAATTTTCATCTGAGCTAATTTCTCTTTCTTGAATTTCAACGCTACAAGGAAAAACAAAGTAGTATTTTAGCTCTTTCTGTCACTTTTGCCTAGAAAAGTGTCCTTAACTGGAGCCAATTTTGTCCTCAGGGGCAATTTGGCAACGTCTGGAAAATTTCTTAATTGTTAAGACTGTGGGAAAAGTACATTGTCTTCTAGTGGGCAAGAGATATTGCTAAACACACAATAATGCACAAGATAGTGCCACACTAGAAACAAGCATCCTGCCCAAATGTCAATATTGCCACTGTTTAGAAAACCTGTCTGAGAGCTACAGCTCAGGAAGTATTTGCTCTACCCTCTAAATTATCTCATGAAATGATTTTTCCATTTTCTGCCACTATAAACAAATGAATATACATCTCTCTTACCTGACACCTAACTACTGAAGCCAGAGTATGAAGGCCTGCCGTCAAGCAACTGATGCCAATATCATGTTTAGTTGTTGTTGTTTTTTTAAATAATGGTACTACTACACTTCGAGCTAATAATTTCTGTATTATTTAGGGTGAAATTAACTGCCTTAAAAATGGGCCTCATAATATGAAAGTCATAGATCAAATAAAATAGTAACTGACGTCTTGTTTACATAAAAGTCCAGAATTCTGTGGCTCTGCCATCCACAGGGACATCCCTTGTATAAGGCTAGTGAAAGAAAAAAGAAAAACTGGAAAAGGCACTTCTCCTTTAAAAATATCTGACCTGAACATGGGCACATTACCTCTGCCCATATTCCATTGGCTAGAACTCAGTAATATGACCACACCTTTACTACAAGGGAAGCTGGAAAATATCGTCTACCTTGTTCTCAGAAAGGGGAAATGGATATTTGGAGAATATCTAGCAGCTTCTAGCACAATGACCAGTGATGATTTTATTGTTTTCCAAGAATGAAAATTCTAGGACAATTTCAGAATATATACTGTGTATTAGTTTCTCAGTGCTGTTGTACAAAATACCACATATTCTGCTGTTTAAAAACACCTCAAATTTATTATCTTACTGTTTTGTTGGTAATAAGTCCAGAATCAGTCTCAAGGGGATAAAATCAAGATGTCAGCCGGGCTGTGTTTCTTCTGGAGATCCTAGACAGCATTTCATTTCCATGACTTTACAGCTTCTAGAGGCTGTCTGTATTTCTGGGCTCACAGCCCTGCACCACTATCAGCTCTCATTTCCTTTTTAAATCTCCCTTTCTCCTTTTCCTTCCATTATATCATTACCTTTTCTGACTCTGATTCTCCTATATCCTTCTTATATAGGCTTTATTAATTATATTGGGTGCAACTGGATAGCCCAGGATAATCTCCCCATATTAAGAGCCTTACCTAAATCACATCTGTAAATTCCCTTTTGCCTCATAAAGTAAGACATTCACATGTTTACTGGGATTGTGACATGGACATTTGGTGGCGGAGTGGGGAGCAGGGATTATTTAGCCTACCATCAAATCCAGTCAAGCAGGGACATATGTGCTTTCTTCACTGTTGTATCCCTGGTATTTACTACTGTGCTTTGAACGAGCTATATGTCTGATAAATATTTTTAAATAAATGAAATAATCAATATTTAAAATAATATATAATGTAGCAGGACTCGCAGAGTCCACAGTGCATTTTTATATGTTGATAATGAAAAACTTGTTATATTTTACCAAAATATTTTTGTGATTGAAATTAAACCCTGCCTATTTTAGAGTCTGTTTATAATTTTGATGTTAGAGAAAAGAAAAACTGGAAAACCCCTTTTGACAATAGTGCATCTATTTGGATCTATCTAGAAAGAGATAATTCACTATATTGGGAGAAGTATGGCCCTTTGTTGCAAAGCTAATTAAGCTATTTTTTATTATATATCGAGCTGACATTCATCTTCATATAATTTCCTGCTTGCCACTTATTTTTCCCTTCTGAATAAACATAAAAGAAGACAATCTTTCATTTACCTAATGTGCCTTCAAATAGCTCTGAGTAGCCCATTTACTCACTTCATTCTTTTCTATGACAAGATCTTTAAAATTCTTGTGTTTAGGTTGACTTTTAGATCTTTCTAGTTTGTAAAGAAACTACTTAAAGTTGGTGACAAATAAAAACAAAATGTTCCAAGTTTTGTGAGATCAATATAGTATAAAGTGATAGTATTATTTACTTTTATCAGAAAAAAATAAGCAACCTAAGTATGTACTCAATCATATTTTGTTTATATTATTCATAAGTATATTTTTACCTCACAATGATCTCCTGGTGTAGGAAAACAGCCTGTTAGTTTAATACAAAATAGGTTCAAGCAATTTTTAATCTAAATGCAGATCTTCCATGGGGCCATGTTGAATGTTACCATGCTGCTTGTGACTGTTAGTGATAGCCTACCAAAATCAATCTGAATTCGGGTTTTCCTAGGAACTCATTACCCGGCACCTACTACTGTCATTCTTTATATTTCATAAGAATTATTTATTAATATAGTTTTTTCAAGTCTTTAAATGTTAAAAATGGCATTACTTTAATAAAAACTATCAGTGATATCTGATCCATCCCTGTGACTGTGGGCTCAAGTAGAAATACAACTTTCAAATACCTTGGATGATTTGGATGGACACAGCTGACATAACTTTCAGAAAGATGTAAGCAAAAGACATGTCTGCCCCATCAAAATGCCAAAACCACACAGTGTATTTTAAACATATCTCCACATATGAAGAGCTTAGAGATGTATTGTAGCTTATTTATTTATTATGTATGTATTGAACACTATAATACATTACATAATCATTACATAAAAATAAATCTAAAAATAAAATTACAGTATAGAATTAATATTATAAAAATTATTTTTTTTTTGAAAAATAAACTTAGAATGGTTTTGACTTACTCAAAAGAATGGAAATAGCCAGGCGTGGTGGGTCATGCCTGTAATCCTAGCACTTTGGGAGGCAGAGGCAGGCAAATCATTTGAGGTCTGCAGTTTGAGAGCAACCTGGCCAGCATGGTGAAACACTATCTCTACTAAAAATTAAATGGGCATTGTAGTGGGCGCCTGTAATCCCAGCTACTCAGAAGGCTGAGGCAGGAGAATTGCTTGAACTGTGGAGGCAGAGGTTGTAGTGACCTGAGATCATGCCTCTGCACTCCAGCCTGGGAGATAGAGTGAGACTCTGTCTCAAAAAAAAAAAAAAAAAAGTTAAAAATCTAAAATTTTCATATTTTAATATGCAGAATTTGGTCATATAAAGTTTTTACTTAAACAAGTCTTTGGGTATAAATTCTATTAATTTGTTCTGTTATCTTATTACAGACTTACAAAATTAGCATAATATTTTATTTTTAGTTTTTATGATACAGATATCCAGAAAGAGAAAGAACAGACTAAATAAAAGGATGTGCATTAAAAGTAAGAAAAAAAGGAAAATATCTTAAAATATCCTTAGACGTGTTTGCTACAATAAAAACTAAATAAAACAAAAATCCAGCATTAAACGTATTGTCAGATGTCACTTATGTTTAAGACATAAAAGACTCAGGTATATAAGTCCTCAGAAAGTATAGCTACATAAAACATCACCAGAATTTGCTTATATTGCAGCCAACCAAAGACAAATTAAAAAAGAGTGTAAGACTACTAAAAGGATCAAGAGAATTTATACCAGTTAATTAATTTATATTTAAGTACCAAGTATAGATTCTCAAACAAACACTAAGGTCAAAAGGCATCCTGACAATAAAATCTGCACAAGGAAAACACAGAGCAATCTTATCATGATAAAGAGAAAAGTGGAAGAGTAATGTATAGAAATAATATGTTAATTTTCTTGTTATATCACGGGAACAGAAAACTAAACACTGCACGTTCTCACTTATAAGTGGGAGTCGAACAATGAGAACACATGGGAGGGGAACAACACATACCAGGGCCTGTCATGGCGTGGGAGACAAGGGGAGAGCATTAGGACAAATACCTAATGTATGCTGGGCTTAAAACCTAGATGACAGGTTGATAGGCGCAGCAAACCACCATGGCACATGTATATCTATGTAAACAAATCTGCACATTCTGCACATGTATCCTGGAACTTAAAGTAAAAAAAAAAAAAAAAGTTATATGACAATAAAAGATGTTGCTTGAATCTTGATGTTGATAATTAGAAAAATTTGTTTTAAACAAAACAACTATCAAAATACAAAGACTAAATACATTTCTGAAAATTACCAAAAAATAGAAATATTACATGGTTTGCAGAGTGAAAATAAAAAATAGAAAGCTTGGATATCATGAACAGAAAGTATTTACAGCTAAGTTCTCTATTAAGAGTAAAAGTTTAGAAGTTAGTTCAAAAAATAAAATATGACTGTAGGAGCGTATAGGAGATAAAAAAGAAAATTTAAAAATAAGAGATTGGAAGATGAGACGGTTGCAGAGGGAAAGGAGAGCTAACATTTTTTTAGTTCATCTGGGGACTTTACTTTTTAATGTTTTATACCCCATGTTTTCCTTCATTTTGCTTTACCATTTCATTTTATTGGAGCCCATCTTCCACAGCTCTACCAAATTAAAAAAAAAAAGGAAAACATAAAAATATCCAAATTTCTCTTTAATTTCCCATTATTGAAAATGTCTTTTATTTAACCTTACCCTTGAACTATATTTGTTTGGACATGAGTCTTTCTAGATGGCAGTAGAAAGCAAGAAGACTGTAGGAAGCAGGTCTTAGAAAAATGAGAAGAAGAAAGAACAGCAGAAAAAGAAATAAAAGGTTAGATATAATTTTTTAAAAAGAATGGTTAGAATATTTGAGTATTCGCAAAGGTGTCTGAGCATTTTGAAAGTTTATGACGGGCATATCATGCATCTGTAAGAACACTTGAAACAATTAGAACACTGAGCAAATAAAAAATAAGGCAATTATTAAATCCAGGAAACAAAATTGAAAAGAAATTTTAATTAATATATTATTTGGTTTAGTTCTGCTTATATTTACATAGTCATAGTAGTGTGAAAAATTGTGCTGTTGTGATCTAGCAATATGAAGAGGATAGGGGATGGAAAGAGGAATGCAGAGCAGCTAATGCCTTGGCTACTGAAAGAAGTTAGAGAATCTCAATGTAGTTGAGCATTTTAACAACCAGTCATAAATATGAGATTTTTTAAAAAGAACTCTGACTGAAAAATTTACTTTTGAGATTCTGCACTAAATTAGTAAAAATGTTTATATTTTTGTGAATTAAAATAAAACCTTAATGTAGATAATAAATTAAAAATAACTGGAGACCCAATGGCTTAGACTCAAGTCCTGAAAGGCATTGGTTTCATTTTGTTAACTTGTAGGCAGGTTTCTATTTTTTATAAGGTTTGAACTCTATTAAGAGATCAGTTATAAGGACTTAAACCTTCAAAAGTTTTTTTCATGATACTATTTTGTATGTTCACATGATAAACATGTGATAAAATTTTAGTCTTTGTCATCACCACCAAATCTACCAATATACCTACAAGCATGTCTTAATCTTCTGCCAGAAGATATTACATAAGAACAGTGACATTATTAATTACTGACTATTCCTTTCTAGCTACTGCATGAAGTAATACTTGGTTGGATGAAGCTCAGTTAGAGAAATATTGTATTTGTATTTCAGTTTGAAGAATGACTGAGAGGAAAGTACCCATCCTTGAGGACTATCAAATCAATATAGTTATCATTTAACAATATTGCCTTTAATAATGTCTCCTTGGTATTGACTGAGGGAGTTAGTAGCAATAATTGAATTCAGTCACATATTTTAAAAGAGATATGCAATGGCATTCTTTCCTGAGAGAAACTGTACTTTAGGTAGATACTGGGAGAATATATGTATTTAGTAACTATAAACAGAAGACACTTTAACCAGAATAGCTGGCTAGATGGAAGTCACAGTCTATTTAAATTAAAATCACCATTATTACTTGTTTGTTCATTGGTTTGTTGGTTTAATGAATGAACAAGTACTATAATGACGATCAGGGTTAAGTTCTATGTTGAAAGAGCTTCTCTCCAACAGCTTTTTTTATTTTTTAAATTTCAACCCTCCATGAAAGCATTTACAGAATATTGAAATAATGTGTCAGAATTGGACATGCTCAGGAGCCCAGGCGGTGAGGGTCTGTAGCGAGGCTTCTCATCAGACTAAATGAAAACCAATGTTTAGAAGAATGAAATTGACTAGAAAATAAGTATGCTTTTCAAAAAGGGTATATTGTGTTTTAAATAGCTACTGAAACAAATTTAAAAGAATTGAAAAATGTGAAGTATCTATTGGGTAATTTAACAAATTAATACTTTTAATATTTGCCTTGTATAATTTAGAGAGACATATGTCATCTTAAACATTCACAGGAAAGCAGGTATTTTATATCCAGAGTGGTGAGATTTCTATTTACAACACTGTAATTTCAAAATTTTATTAACTGTTTTCAAATCTTAAAACAATATTTTATGTTACTATTTGAATAATAACCTTTTTCTGAAAAGTAAAGAATGACCTTTTACATTTCAATTATTAGGGCATTCTAATATTACCTGCCCACTTACACAGAGCTGTCATATTCAGTATAGCTGGTTTTCTAATTATTTGTATCTAAAGTTAACTTTTTAATTTTATATTATATGACAAAAATATTCAAGTAGAAAATTTTCATAATGCTTCAGGCAGTTTTTTTAAGGCTTTCAGTATCATATGCAGTTTCTGCTTCAGCAACTGTTGGTACCTTTTTAAGATTGTCAAGATAGAATCCATGAACATATATAATGAAACCTACATCTTTTATTGAAAGACCATATAACTTGCATTCCTTGATGGATTAAAGAAAGCTGTATCATAAGTTGTGCAAATTGAGCCTCTGCTACATAGCTTACCCAAATCATAGCTCTGCCATTTGCCTCTTATGACAGGATAAAAATAAGAGTCTCATAAAAACAAAATAAAGAAGACAGTCTGTCATTCTTTCCCAGGAAAATATTTGTCAAGAACCTTTCAAAAATAATTGGGGAGAAAATGCGTTAGGTTCCACAACCCACTGACTCATTTTAAGGTGCATCTGAGCATGTAAAAGAATGTTATTTTTTTATGATCAACCTAGTTGTAAAGTGATATATTGCCAATTTTTTTCTAACTTGCTTTAAAAGAATTAGTTTGCCTGATTTTAAGTCTAAATATTTATTCCATTAAAAAACCTAAATTTTTCCTAGGCTGATTTTCAAAGTTCTAGTCTGCATATTTTATTGTCAAATTCATTGCTCTGTGGTTCATTCTGACAAATATCATTCGGAGCTCCATTCTATTTTAGATAAGTGTAATCTATTTTTTAGTTTTTAATTTCTATGCTAAGTAAATAGATATATTCCTCTGATAGTAGGATTATAATGTGCATAATTTGTCTGTAAAAGGAGTTGTAACATTTCAATCAAACAATAATATTCACCAGTCTATCTTGTTTGTATACTTAATTTCTTTTTATCAACTGTGATCCATAGCAGCTCAGAAACATGCTTTTTCACCTGTCTCCTACAGTGCCTTGCATATAACTCATCTGAGTTTATTAAGTGTAATATATAAATATATATATAATTTTTTTCATAGAGGTGTGGTTTTGGAGATAAAGCTGGCAACAACATTGTTAACCATTTATATTATATTAGGGATGTAATAGCTCATTAAATTTGAGCTATCCTCTTTAACCAGATATATTATCACTTTTTGATGTAAAGTTTTATTAACAAGAAGGCTAATTTTGTTAAATGAAAAGCACTTCCAAGTTCAGAGATTTTTAATTGTTGTCATCTAATTTTACAATCATCCACTTTCGGTCAGTGTTAACTACTTCAAGTAGAGTGTGTCTAGGAGTAACAATATGGCTACCAATTTAGGAGACATGCCTGTTAAATTCTGTTAAGCCACTGTTAACTCTCTTAACCCATTAGGTCTGTCCCATCTGCTATGAGTTCTATTGTTTCAATAACATTTGTTAACTGCCTACTACAAATGTGCAAAATGCCCTACTATTTAGAAGAAGCAAGAGGATATAATGCAAAAGAATGAATGAGACAGGTTTTTCTCAGTAGCATATTTTCACATCATCTCTTTCTCAAATACTGGGGCCAAAAGTTAATAGGCAATTATTTTTAACCAAAAAGCAAATTTCCCCCCAAATTAACTTTTACAATATGATTCCAGACAAACCTAACTTGCTAAAACAGAAGTATAGTACTTCCTAGGGCTACATGAATAGCACAATAAATACTACATAGCAATTATTTAATGAGTATTTACCTCAATATCCTCAATATAGAAATACTATGATTAGTAGCCTAAGCACTCGACTGATAGTCAAAATTCCTGACTTTATTCTCTAACTGGATTGCATTTTCAAAGAGAATGCTACCTTACAATTTTCTCTGTTTGGTTAGTATTGATTTATAAAAAGCTTTAGTGACATCGAGATCCATAATTATAGTAGTTTAAACAAGATAGATACATCTTTCTCTTTTAAGTAGCAGTCCAGAGGTAAACATTTCAGAACCTCAAAAACAACTCTGCCATCCTCAGCATTTAGGTTTCATCTCTGCATCTATAGTGGCTGATCCACCTCTCACTTTCCCCGTCAGCAGAAAAAGGAAAAATATAGGAAATTAAAAATGTGTATATTTGAAGGGCATAGCTGAAAATGCAGAGCTCACATCTTCTCACGTTACATTGGCCAGTATTTCTTCATTTGGCCATATCTACCTTTAAGTAGGTTAGGGAAAAAAATGGTCTGGTTAGGAATCGGTAAAGGGGATTTAAATTAAGACTATTAATGTCAAAGGAAGACCAATGAAAGAAATGCTAGTGGACAAGCAAAAGTCTTTGTCACATCGTGTTTCTTACCTGTATAAAGTAGGTCATATTAATCCTTTGTATACATATTAGCTTCTTATTGAGTAGCATTTAAGTAGATTAAATGATAAAGAGCATTGTCAAAATCCTAGGGTTTTTCCCCTAATTTGACTACTACTGGTTACTTTAAGTATGATTTTGGTGAAGATGCTGTTTCTACAGATGTCTTGAATGCCTCCTTGAGACCAGTTTTGGCAAATGATGGCTTTCAGATTTTCATCCTCAGAAGCATCCTCTTTTATTTTTCTTTCTTTTTTTCTTTCTTTCTTTTTTCTTTTTTTTTTTTTTTTTTTGGTAAATTGTCATGAACAAGTTGGGATAAAATACAATAGTAAATAATAAATAACAATATAATCATATATTTAGATATATCCAAGTTTCCTTATCCACCCATGCTTTTAATCATATATGTAATTAAAATTTTATAATTTAACAAAATTTTAGTTTAATTTAAAATTTTATAATTTAATTCTTATGTAATAGCTATTGGTTACCTCCTCAGTGTCATGTATAGTGTCAAATGTAATATCACTCCAGGACAATGGAGAAAATAGGAATTAATTATGTTGGGGTGGCATAGCAGACTTCCCATAAAGGCAAATGCTAAAAGATCCAAAGGTAAGATTGAAGGGTCGGTATATGTTTGACAAATGGATGAAGGTGTAGCTAAAAAAACGCGTGGTAGAAAGAAAACATTCTCAGCAGAAGAGAATACATTGACAGTAGTATTCTTGGTTGAAATTCTATGGTATCTTGGAAACAGTGAGTTTAATATATACATTGTATGTACACAATATATGGTGCTTAGGGGATACTGAAGAAGGGAAAGCAATTCTATCTCTACAATCTCAGTTCCCTTACATTTCTGTTCTTTCACCTTTCATATGTCTGATGGACAGACCTCTGTGTTGGATAAGTAGGTGGAACTGAGGCAGATAAATGATTTTTCATATACTTTTCCCCTTTCTAAATCTTTGTTGCTTTTCACAGCAACAACTGCTGTCCTGTTTCCCTCTTCACCTCCTTCAAATTAGGAAAATCTGCTAGCGTGATCCATCTAAAATAAAGATTTTTCTGTGTACATTTGATGATTAATTTTTTGCCAATCACTCTATTGCATAGAGGATAAAATCCAAGGCACTTTATAAGAAATAAAAATATTTCCATATTCTCACAGCTGCTTACTTTAGAACTTTATTTTTAATGTCTCTGTAACCCCTGTGTTGTCTCACAACGCTTGTCTCTGAGGATCCACAGTCAATGCATTCTTTGCATTGTTTCCTCTGTCTTGCTCCCTCATCAGCTAAAGACTGTTCAGTATTTATAGACACCCTCTTTGTTATGTTATATTCAACTATCATCTATTCACTATTTTATCCTCAGTAGTATACACAGGGCCAATAAAATATTAAGCACAAAATAATAATAGTTAAATGTTGAATAAATGCTTGGAATGCTGGAGCATTTTTAATTCTTGGAGAATTTAAAGACAATTTGCATGACTATTTCCCATGCGGAAAAGGACAGTTGAAACTGGTAGCTTAACTAAGTAGCTCCTAAGTTCTGTTTTGAAGTTGAAGTTATTTTTAATATGTAGCTAATATTTCCTTGAATTGTTTCTCCATTTGTGACAGATGGTTATCCTTCTTTATTCTTCCCACTTCTAGAGTGAGCTTTCACTAGGAAATAATGGAAAAATTAGTTTTATGTACACACACAAACACACATACACACATACACACTGTTGTTCAATTAGCAATAAATGGAGTGCTAGTTTTCCAAATTACATAAGCACACTATGTTCTCTCATTCTGTTCATTATGGTTTAATGTTGTCTTTATATTGACTACACATTGCATAACTCAATGTGGAATGGCATAAAGAAAGAAATGAGCTAGAGGGTTGGACACAATCACTTTCTGAAACCAGGAAATAACAAATAACATACACCTGGAAGAGTGTTTGCTAGAGGGTATATAATTTGGACCAACATAATAGTGATTTCTAATCATGCATTATGAAATGTGAAACTTTTAACAACAAGAGTTTGTAGTTTGGACCTCGGACCTGGAGGAAGGAAGGGTCATGTAAGAAACAAAACACCCAGGAGATCATCCCTCTACCAGGGAACAGCAAAACAAGAAAGTTAAAGGAGACACTTAATTGGCATAGCATTTTTGCTTAAACCTATGCAGTGGAGTAAAACAGAAAGGTAAGACTGAATTGGAGTAAGACATGTAACAAAAATACAGTAACCATATTTGCAACTTCTGACAAATATTGACCGATCAAGGAAAAATAGTTATGGATTTAAAAAAAATTCAGTAACTAGTGGGGCTTTCTTTTACCTCTGCTTCTTGCTTAAGTGCCTTAAACTTCCTGAAGTAGATCATAAGTTGAAATCTCAAAGTGCATGCAGAATTAAAACATATACAGAGTATGACATAGACTAATTCCCCCCAAAATTCATATGTTGAAACCTTATCTCCAAAATGATGGTATTGAGATATGGGGCTTTTAGGAGATAATTAGGTCATGGGGGTATCACCCTCATGAATGGGATTATAACCCTTATGAAAGGGACCCCCAGAAAGCATCCTTCCCCTTTCTTTCCTCTTTGTGAAGTCACAGCAAAAAGATGGCCGATTATGAACCAGGAGTTGGGCACTCACCACACACCAAATCTATTGGCACCTTGAGCTTGGAACTTCTAGTCTCTTCCTTCCAAATCTCTGTTGTCTTTGAGAGCAACAACCGGCATCCTTGTTATGAGGAACTATGAGAAATACTTTCCTGTCATTTATGAGCCACCCCCTCTATGGTATTTTTGTTATTGTAGCCCAAAAAGGCTAGGACAGAATGTAGTCCAATACTCTAACAGCAGACAGTCAATCTGTAACTTGTTTTTCACTTCCTTTAGAATAGGGAAGATAAGGAATCAATAACAAGCCTTCAAATGTAAATTAAACAGAAATAGTCAGTCAATATCAAAGATTAACTTGAGGTAACCAGTTGTCATGGAAGATTCAAAACATAAATCGGTTTTACAGATAGTTCTTAATTTATGAGTCAGAGAAAGGTCAACCACATTAGTCTTCAATGAATAACAAATTCAGATGACACTATTCCTGATCAGAAAAATGCTAAATCAATAGATGCTGAAATGCTGAAAAAATAAATACCAATTCAGTAAGAAAACTATTTACGTATCTTTGCAAACATAACTTTGTAAATATTAATAAAGAATACATTTTAGAAGAACTTCAATAATTTGATGAAGGTATTTTAAAAAAATAAAGCAATGCTTTGCATCTAGGGAAAACCATGAACTTAAAAATTTTACATAAGTTAATATCAAAAAGAGATGATAAAATACAAAATAAGATTAACAAAAAAGCTGGTAAGCTTTGGGTTTTAGTTTAATAGTTATTTTTTAGTAGACTTTTTAAAATTTCTCTTACTCTAAATTAGTTTCTAATGGTATTCTTTTTTAGCAAGCAAATTATTTATATATGTAATTATTTATTGTTTGCCTCTTGCAATAAATTATGAACTTGAAGACCCCTATCTAATTTGCTCATTTTTCAATGAATGTAATCTTTAAAACTCGTATAGTAGGTGCCCTATAAATATTTAATTAAACGCATGGTTAATGTGGAGGAGAGCTAGCATTTGTAAGATACTTTGTTGATTTTTATATTTATACGAGCTGAAAAAACACTTAATAACTTACCAGCAGTTCAAGATACAGGATTAAGTGAACATTTGAGTGCCCTCTTTTCTCAAATACAATTGAAATTATAGTTAACTAGAAAGGGGTAAAAACTCATAATAGCAAGGATAGAATAATACAGCCAGAGATAATCTCTGTTTTCACTATCAGCAAGAGCAAAGAATGGGACAGAGTTCAGGGGCAAAACTGTGCAATCATTTAATAAAAATATTCAAGAGAGTTGCTCCGCATGATAAAATTTGTAAAAGCAAAGGAAATGGTGGGAGCAAGGAGAGAGAAAGAGAAAGAGGCATAAAGAATGATAGAGAGCAAGACAGAGAATATACTTGATTGATTGTGACTTTCAGAACGTTCTTCATAAAGCGACAAATGAATCATGATTGAAGTCTCACTTCCTGATTATGCAGCAAATTATGCATAGTAATTCCTATATATAATACTTGTTTCCTTTTTTTCAGATTATATGATAAAATCATAGAACCTATGTAATAACAATATTACCCTGTACTCAGCATAGATATCAGAATTTCCTCTAGGTATTTTAAATTAGAAATAACTTAATACATGTTACTCAATAAAACAGAATGACAACTGGAGGAGTAGATTCTAGTTGGCACATACATGTTTTATTTCCAGAACATGATCAAACTGACCTCAAGTTAGTTAGCCAGCCACTCCCAAATGGGGCAATGTAAAGTAATTTATACCAATAGGAGAGATAAATGGAAGGGTGGATGAAGTAGTGTCTTAACTTTGTATAGTAAGAAAATATTGTTCAAACTGAACAGAAGAAGAAGAAAAGATTATAATGCATTATTTAAAGTTATAAGTGTCACAAGATAAGAACCAAAAATGTTAATAAAACTCCTAATCAGGTAAGGGAGGAAGTTAGGAGAAGTAGAATGATGAATACATAGGTTAATTATTTTATGGTAGAGAAACAAATAATATAAATTAATTTAATCATCAAACTATATTAAAGAGAGGGTTTTTTATATTATTAAGAGTTTGGGAAAAACACATAAAGACAAAATCCAGAAATAATTATATTTGCCTCGTCAAAGTGCAATTAGAAATACTGCGAAGTGGGGGCCTATGATTTCTGCTTTCATGGTTGCCAAACTATAAAGGTTGGTTTATTACAACATTTACGTTGGATTTTGATCTTTTCAGTACAAATGTTGAAGTGTTAACACAAAACTTAAGGATTAGAGATCTGTGTCAATGGCAAATATTTAAACGAAAGCTCAGATATTTTGTGTAAATATTAAATAAATGATGGCATGTTAGGATAAAATGAACTGCTGAGGTTCACTGCTAGAAAATGAGTCAATCTTTATTTTCACCATTGTTTTTAAACTAACGTGAACATTTTGAAGAAATCCTTCATGAGTTTTAACGAAACCACATAACTTACTGAGACCAGTGTTCTCATATCTTAGAAGTATACACACTCAGAGGTGTGCATATAATAGTAACAATAGTCCTTGCCTTTAAAACTATGTAAGCATTAGACACATTAATGAAAATTCAGAAAAAATTTCAGCAGAAGAGTTTTTCCCACTTTCAGGCTGGAAATTAGAGACTACAAATTGTGAATACATTTTTCTTAAGAATGTTGTAATAATAACATAAATATGTAATACTAAGAAAGGGAGAGAAAAATAAAACTTTTACAGAAAAAAGCAGAAAAAACTATTTTAAAAAATCATTTGATTTATGTCATGTATATAATCACATAGAGAGTATTAATCTTTCTAACATTTAAAATCTTGGGAAAAGTAATTTTAAACATGGAATTTTATTGAGTAGTTATAGTAAATTTTGAAATGTCACACCTGTCATGGACAAAGTCTTTTTTTACTTCAATGAAATAACAATAAAAAACTTATTTTGGACATTGGATTAAAACAAATATAATTGCTAAAGTATTAATTATACTTTCTATGTTTTAGTTTTACTTTTGAAAAATTTTACTAAGATTCACAGAGACACCTGATATTCAATAAAATAATTTGGTAACGACAAATATTTAGCACTAATTTTTGTTATTTGATTTTTTGTTGTTGTTTTTAAATCCTTGCAGTCTGTGCGCTGTTGACACACAAATGGCATAGATTTAACAGAAAAAAACAGACATCTTTTAATGTAAAACTTGAATATTCTGTATATGAACATACTAATATTATGAGTCTATGGAAAAGCATAATGGATTTTGCTGCTTCGTCTCACTGAAAACATTTATTACAAAGCAAGTTCAAATACAGTTAAATCTCAGAAGTTACAAAGAATGAACACGTAATTGCAGGGAAAGCCAATAAAGCTAGATTTTAGTGTTGTTTCACTGTAATTTTTTGTATCTGATAGAATGTATGTCTTAGTCCATAGTTACAAGCAAGTCAGGCAATTTAAAATATATATCAATTGTGAGATAATGTCCCATACTTGACATGCTTGACAAGGAGGAAATGCTGGCACGCTACACAGTATGCTTGAAAGAAAATGATGTAAGTTTTATTTATGATTAAGAAATCAAAAAGATTTCTTGCCCATGCGTTCAGATTCCTGGAAGCAGATAAGAACAAGCTCTCCAGATATCAGATCATGAGTTAATCTTCTTATTTGAAAGTGCACATACAAATAAAATATATATTCATATGTATCATCTATAATATATGTAAAGAGAGCAAGAGACACCCCACCCCCATCCACAGGTTTGATTTGCTTCTGAAGCCCTGTGATCTCAGATACTTGGCAGAAAGTTCCAGATAACAACTCCAAAATGTACAAATTCACTATATTTAAAGCAATATATATGTATTGTAAGTATTCAGTAGTTTTCTGACGTAGTAACATGCTAAACATTGATTGAATTTTGTACTATTAAATATGTGTAAGATTCTTCTCAAACAATACTCAGAAATAAATTATCATAAAGCCTAGGATAGGAATTGTAGCTTCCCTAATAGCATTATTAAGTTATTTTTCATTCAGATTATAATGCGATTCCTTAATATTTGAGAGGATCTTCATTTTTTCCAAATAGAAAATATAATACATTATATTGAAAATAATATTTTTTAATATTTGATGTGATTATGAGAGAAATAAGTGAACAATGAGTACCAAATACAGAATTAAAAATGATCATTAGAGATATATAAATAACATGATACATTATTTCAGAATACATAACTAATTATGATATAAAATTAATAGAAAACTCAATGCTTGCTACTGAGAAAAAACATTTTTCATGCATCAATGTTCATAAACAATAACAAATGATAATGAAACTTAATACACTATAGTATTCTAATAATCAATCTAAAAGGTAACTGTATAGGATATTTTCCATGACATTAAATGTTCAGGTTGTCAAAGTTTACACAGTACACCACTATTTATACTTGTAAGAAAAAGAAATAATATTTGGGGCATGATATGTGGTGATCACCATTCTAATACATGAGAATAAGGAAGTGATAAAGTCCCTGCTCTCTTAGAGCTTATAGTCTCATGAAGAAGACAATTTGAAAAAGATTTATCAGTATATCAGTTGGGTAATGGAATAGAGAATAGAGTTATAATCACAGGTGATTCACAGGAGGCTTTTCTAGGGAGATTGTATTAATATTTGAGCAATGACTTAATCTATTTGTGTTATTAGGGTGGGTGAGGTGACAAATCCATTGAAAAGAGGGATAGCTGGCCGGGTGCGGTGGCTCACGCCTGTAATCCCAGCACTTTGGGAGGCCGAGGCGGGCAGATCACGAGGTCAGGAGATCGAGACCATCCTGGCTAACACGGTGAAACCCCCATCTCTACTAAAAAACACAAAAAAACTAGCCGGGCTTGGTGGCGGGCGCCTGTTAGTCCCAGCTACTCACCAGGCTGAGGCAGGAGAATGGCGTGAACCCAGGAGGCGGAGCTTGCAGTGAGCCGAGATAGCGCCACTGCACTCCAGCCTGGGCAACAGAGTGAGACTCCGTCTCCAAAAAAAAAAAAAGAAAAGAGGGATAGCTGATGAGGATCTTCAAGATTGAAGCAAATACACCTGGTGCAGCAGTTCAGCTAAAGGCATTCCAAGAAATGGCAACTTCAAATGCAGTCATTGTAGTATGACAATTATTTATGTTACTAGAATTGAGCTTACCATTTGGTGTGCCTAAGTATAAGGTATGGAATTTTGAGAGATAAAGTTAGAAAGGGAGCTTGCAGTCAGATGGTCAAGGGCATTTTGTGATATTCTAATGATTTTTTTGTTTGTTTGCCTAACATTAGAATCAATGATAGGATCAATATTTTAAAAACTTAGGAAAGAAAATATTTGACTTGAGAGAAAACCCTGGAAGATCACTTGCAAGGTTATTTTGGGGACCTGAAAAGTTGCTTATTAGCATTTAATAATAGACAGTGAAAATGGTAATAAAAAAGAGAAACAGGTTTAGAAGAGATTTTTATAAATAGGACATACATGACTATGTAACTTACCTGATGTGGAAGCTAATAAATAGGAAAATGCAAAGATAACTGGGGAACTATAATGAAGGTAATTAGGTAGTTAATAATAATCACATACAATTATCAATATGCTTTGTGCTTTCTTAAATATCTTTAGATATGCATTCCCAAAATAAATACATTTTACTATTGTCCTCGTCTTTAGTGTGATACCAGCATGAATATATCAGTAGAACCACACTTTAAAACCTTGTGAGGAAAAAATAATGAGATATTTACAAATAATCCTATGAAACTATAGAGTATGAAAGTTTACATAAAGGAAGAAAAACATGCAATACAAGTTCAGAAGAGGAAAATAAGTATCTGAAATAAAGGTAGCAAGGAAAGTTTAAAAGTGGAAAGTAAGGATTACCAATGTTTATTATGTGCTATTCACTTTACAGTTAGTATCCGTTGAACTTTAACACCAAAACCTCACGAGACAGTGAGGAGAGACTCTTAAACAATTCTGCATAACAGGCAATAGTCATCACAAAATTCCAGGTAGCAACACTTTTTTCACTCATACTCTAAAGAGATGGACTTAAACACCTGTCATTGAGCCAAATACATCAAGGCTTCCATGGCCTAATCCTAAGAAATGATTTGTATAAATTTACAAATTCCTGTAACAAAGGCTAATAGCAAAGACATGAAGTGCTCTATAGTAATTTTCTATATCAAGATAATTTTTGCATGCATGATATAGTATAATATTTATCAGAGAAGAGAGTTAGCCTAACAATGCCCTAGATGTGAAAAAAAAATTATTGTTTCATGATTTCAGTCATTTCAGGTGTAAAAGAGGCCAGGTTACTGTTGATGGCAGAGATAGTTTGTTAACAAGTATATAAATTAGGAGTCTACTGATAAATATGTGATGAGGACAGTCATGGGCAAACCCAGTGAGAATTTGTACTTTCATTTTAACTTCCATTAATAGAATAGAGTGAATAATATTGTGCCCTTATATAAAAATGTATAGCTCAAGCACAAAAGCATAATGGAAGGAAAATATTCCGTAATACTAGGCACTAATGTATCTAAAGGAAAGAAAGAGAGTGTGATGGTTAATTTTATGCCAACTTCACTGAGTTAGGAGTCCACAGGTATCTGAGAAAACATTATTTATAAGTGTGTCTGTGAGGGTGTTTCTGGAAGTGATTAGCATTTGAATTGGTAGACTGAGTAAAGACGATCCCTCTTTACTAATGTGGGCAGGCATCATCCAATCTCATGAGGACCCAAATAATACTTAAAGGCAGAAGAAGGGGGTGAACTCACTCTCTGTGGTTAAGTGGGACTTCCATCTTCTCCTGCCCTTGCCCTTTCTGTGGTTGAGCTGGGACTTCCATCTTCTCCTGCCCTTGGACACCAATGATCCTTGTTCTCAGGTCCTTAGACTCAGATTGGGACTTACACCATCGTTTCCCCTGGTTCTCAGGCCCTACTTTCCTGGTCATCCAGCTTGCAGACGGAAGATTGTAGAACTGTTCAGCCCCCTTAACCATGTAAGCCAATCCCTTATATTAAATCTCTTTTTATATATCTACATGTATATCTATATGGTACCTATATCTATATTATATCTGTATTTATATGATATATCTATCTATATATTTGTTCTGTTTCTCTGGAGTATCCTGACTAGTACAGAAAGTTTAAATTAAATTATATTTTATTCACAAGTTGAAAGCTATTGTAAAGTTATTATGATTTAAGATAATTAGCATTTAAGCATTTTAGAAAAGAAAATGCAATTAAAATAGATCATAATATGATAAAAGCAAGATTTTGACATTGCAAAATTGTTTATTTCATTTCAATTATGTTGGAAGAAGTCCAGCTGTTTTTCTTAATTGCAATTTTCTCATCAGCATACACTATTGATCTTTAAAATCAACCAAGAAAATATTATTAAGGTAACTGCTTTGTTTGGCATCATAAACAATAAAAAACAACATGGCAGAAGTAGAGTGACTTTTTACTGCTAGAGTCAGACAGGACATAAACTAAGTGCTGATATTGAACTCCCTTCACCATGGTGCTCAATTTCTGAAAGGACTTACTTTGACAGCATAGTCAAATGGGTTACTAGCTAAGCCAGAGCCAAAAAGAATGAAAAAACAAACTAAATTTGTATCCTCAGTATTATAGCCTAGATTTAAAAACTCTATGTTGTTGTTTACTACCTTAGTCTCAAGTTATACAATCCATTTGAGTGAATGAGAATTTTTCTGCCCAAACTAGGGTATGATGAAGAACAGATCAACTTGAAGGTGACATTCAATTGAAGGAATATCAGTCAAAGCCTTATTGCCTCACACCCATGAAACCATCACACAAGTCATAGGAGAGCAGTTGAGTAACTGCTTAACTGGCGCTTGATGTCTCTTGCCTCCCTTTCAAGATATGCCTTAAAAAGAATTCTTCAGAAGCTGTCATCTGCCTTGTACACATGCAAAGATAATGCTGACATCTCACAGCTAAAGGCCTCCTTGTTGCAAGCTAGGGAGAGATGTCACAATGCCTTATTTTATCAAGTTCATACTAAGAAATACCTTTTATAATTGCTTTGTTTCCTTTGAAATACTGTGATCATACCTCATGCTTCCTGAATACCTCGGATTCTTCCAAAAGCCCAGGACTATCAGGTCAGCCCTCTAATCTTGAATTCCCAGTGGCATCCTGTTTTGTACATTTTCTATTGATACTAAATATTCACTACCCCTTACCTCTCAGAATATTCCTTTTCAGTCCTTTGAATCCTCAATTTATGATCCGAATATGCCCAGCCCATTTTCTATATGTTCTTTAACTTACTTTTCTTAACTGATTTCTGGGAGTCCCTAGAGAACATTTTTCTTCTTTGTTCTTTTCATAAAAAGTTTGATTTTTCTCCTTACATTTCAACATAAGAATTTGAGCTCTTCTTTAGTTCTACAGAATTTTAAGCTATTTTCACTTTTAAGAGTGCCCTTTGTATAGTTAATTCCTTAAACTCTATTTTGAGTGTGTGTGTTTGTACAGATTATTTATCCCTCCATATCTCTTAGCATTTTATTTTATAATTCAAATCCATTTCTCTCTCTGCAGTAAATTGTACTTAATTTCCTAGATAGCTCTTCCAATTCATTTATTTTATCTTCAACAGTGTCTAGATTGCTAATTAACTTAACTAAAAAGTAGTTATAAAAATTATAATTTTTATTTCTTAGAATCAGATTTTGTTCTTTCACAAATAACCTGTTCATTTTAAACAATGTTTCATTCCTGCTTGATAAGTTCTATTTTTAAATATATTATTTTTAAAAATGTAAATACACTTTTAAAAGATACTCTTTAAGTTGTTCTAATATTCATAGTATGTAATATCTGGTATAGAGATTCTCCCATCTTGTAAATGTTCTGGGCGTTTTCCATAGTGGTCAGTTTCCTCATAAACCCTACAATTTTTCTCCTTATTTTTAGAAAAAGCATTTTCTGTGGAAGCCTCAAGTATGATTGTATAGTTATGCTTCTATTTATGGGATGGTTTTACAGTTGCCTAAAATATATTTATTTGACATTTGACTTTTCTAGACCACTTTCTGTTTGTATCTTATCTGGAAGTTTCCATGTGAAATTTGGGTTCAAACGTGGTACCAATGCAAGATTATTGTTGCATCTTTTCAGGGTATCTTTTTCATTCAGATCAAAACCTGAGACTTGCTAGAAATATTTTTTTCATTTCTGCTCAACAATCTTTAGCAATTTAGTAATTTCCCAGTAATTTAGTAATATCCCAGCATCTTGCTTTACGCAGGGAGCCTAACTCTAACTATCTATGGGACATGTGTCATAGAGCCTCAATATATACTCCTGCAAGAGAACTACAATCCTAGTCCTTAAGACACAGCCTAGTAACCTTGCGTGTCTTATTATTGGTTGTGAGTATCTGAAACTGATTCTTTTCCTTTCTTCTTTTAAGTCAAGATACACATTTTTTCTTACTTGTTTTAAGTGTATTTAGTAGTTTGATATATCTGGAGAGAAATCTGGAATCCCTGTATCTGCCAACCACCGCAGTGTAAGTTTACTCTTACACCCATTTATTTGTAGATTCTGTCTCCTCAGTTCCACTGAAAATGTTGATCATCTGTGGTCTCCATCTTGTGATATCCAATAAACCTTCCTCATTTTTTATTCAACTTGGCCCCTCAGTGTTATTGATCACAGTTAACTGTTCCCATTTATTGTGAAACCCTTTCTTCTCTTCATTCTGTAGAACCACATTTATCTGAATTTCTTTGTGCCTCAATGGCGTGTCTTGGTGTCTTCCTAGTTTTTCCTCCAATTTCTTGGCTCTAAATATTTCAATGTTAGAAGAGATTTTATTCTTTTTTCACAATGTTCTTTCTTGAGATTATTTCATCCAACCCTTTATTTTAAATATTTAATTGGGGGGGCAAGAAAAATTATATATCAAATCAAAACTTAGGCCTGGTACAGTAGCTTATTTATGTAATCCCAGCATTTTGGGAGGCCAAGGTGGGAGGATTGCTTGAGTCAAGGAGTTCAAGAACAGCCTGGGCAGCATACTGGATACCATCTCTACAAAACATTTAAAAATTAGCTGGGCATGGCGTCATGCACCTTTAGTCTTTGCTACTTGGGAGGCTGAGGTGGGAGGATGGTTTGAGCCCAGGAGGTGGAGGCTGCAATGAACACTGATCACACCCCTGCACTCCAGACTATGCAAAACAGTGAGACCCTGTCTCAAAAAAAATTTTTTTAACTTATATTATTTTATTTTTCTTAGCATCATATCATTTATCAGAATACATATTTAATTATTCTACTTCTTTTCATAATGCCACTAACCCAGCCCAACCATAATCATCTTTCACCTTAACAAATGTAAAGGCTTCTTAAATGGTCTTTCTGTTTTTATTTCCCACCCCATCATTTTCTAAAGAGCAGTCAAAATGATCTATTTAAAAACATAACTCAGAAAACATCTCAATTACTTATGAAAGTTCAAGATTTATATCATGGTCAGCATGAAGTATGTCACATCTTTGTTACCTCATTTTCTATGCTTCTACTCTTTCTGAATCATTCTTGCATATTAAACTTCTTCCTCTTCTGTGAACATGTATTTCTCATTTTTCCCTCAGCCTTGGCCCTTACTGTTTCCTGAATGAACTGCTTTTTCAGAGGCTTTTTGCATAGCTGCTTTTTTTCTTATTATCCAAGCCTTGAGTCTGCAGATAGGCCTCTCCTGACAACATAATCTGAAATAGCTACCATGCTTCTGCTCCACTCATTCTCTGATACCTCATCTGATAATTTGATGATTTGGCACTTTATCTTTTAGAAGGTTATTAATTATTTATTAATTGTCTATTAATTCTTGTGTGCATTTGGCAGATTATAGCTTTCAAATAATTAGTCCATAATATCTAGATTACCCAATTTGCGGGCATAGAGTCTATCATTATCTTTCTTTATTATCTATTTAGGTTCCATGGAATCTATAGGGACACCTCCTCTTTCTTTTCTTATATAGTTACCTGTCTTCTCTGTTTTTTTTCTCAGTAAGACTGGCAAGAGCCATGTTAATTTTATTGATCTTTTCAAAGAACCAGATGTTGGAGGGTTTTTTTTTTTTTAATTTTCTGTCTTGATTTTCTGTTTTTAATTTCATTGATTTGTGGTCTAATTTTTGTTATTTATTTTCTTATGATTAATTTGGATTTATTTAGTTCTTTCTTCTCTAGTTTTCTAAGGTAGAAGCTTAGGTTATTAATTTTAGATATTTCCTTTTTTCTTACTTATGCATTCAATACAATAAATTTCACTCCAAGCATTGCTCTCAGGCATCCCATAAATATTGATGTGTTGTATTTTCAATTTAATTTAGTGTAAAATATTTCTAATTTATCTAGAAAATTTTTCTTTGATCTGTGTGTTATTTAAAAGTGTATTGTTTAATTTCTAAGTATTTGGGGATTTTGTTATCTTTCTGTAATTGAATTCTAGTTTAATTTCATTGTGGTCTGAGAGCAGATATAGTATTATTTCTACACTTTTAAATTTGTTAAGATATGGTTTATGGCCCTGAACATAAACTATCTTGGTTGATGTTTCATGTCAGCTTGAGAAGAAAACATGTATCCTGCTGTTATTGGATGAAGTAGTCTGTATGTGTCAATCATAGCTATTTGACTATTGATGCTCTCGAGTTCAACTCTGTCCTTACTGATTTTCTGCCTGCTGGATCTGTCCATTTTTTACAAAGAAGAATTAAATTCTCCCACTATAACAGTAGGTAGATTAATTTATTTTTTTTCTTTGAAGTTCTATCAGTGTTTGCCTCATGTTTTTTGATGCTCTGTCATCAAGCACTGTATTAGTCCATTTTCACACTGCTGATAAGGACATACCCAAGGCTGAGAAATTAACAAAAGAAAGGTTTAGTTGGACTTAAAGTTCCATGTGACTGGGGAAGCCTCACAATCATGGCAGAAAGTGAAAGTCACATCTCACAAGGCAGCAGACAAGAGAAGAAAGCTTGTGCAGGGAAATTCCCATTTTTAAAGCCACCACATCTCATGAGACCCATTCACTATCATGAGAACAGCACAGGAAAGACCCACTCCCATGATTCAGTTATCTCCCACCAGGTCACTCCAACAACACATGGGAATTATGGGACCTACAAAATGAGATTTGGGTGGGGATACAGAGCCAAACCATATCATTTCCACCCTGGCCCCTCCCAAATCTCATACCTTCACATTTCAAAACTAATCATGCCTTCCCAGCAGTTCCCTAAAGTCCTGACTCATTTCAGCATTAACTCAAAAGTCCACAGTCCAAAGTCTCATCTGAGAAAAGGCAAATCCCTTCCGCCTGTGAGCCTGTAAAATCAAAAGCAACTTAGTTACTTCCTAGATATAATGGGGGTACAGGCATTGGGTAAATACAGCCATTCCAAATGGGAGAAATTGGCCCAAACAAAGGAGTTACAGGTCCCATGCAAGTCCAAAATCCAGCAGGACAGTCAAATCTTAAAGCTCCAAAATGATCTACTTTGACTCAATGTCTCACATCCAGGTCATGCTGATGTAAGAGGTAAGTTCCCATGGTTTGAGCACCTCCACCCCTGTGGCTTTGCAGTGTGCAGCCTCCCTCCTGGCTGCCTTCACAGGCTGGTATTGAGTGTCTGCAGCTTTTCCACGCACATGGTGCAAGCTGTTGGTGGATCTACCATTCTGGGGTCTGGAGGACCATGGCCCTCTCTCACAGATCCACTAGGTGGTACCCCAGTAAGGACTCTGTGTGGGGGCTCTGACCCCACATTTCCCTTCCGCACTGTCCTAGCAGAGATTCTCCATGACAGCCCCACCCCTGCAGCAAACTTCTGCCTAGGCATTCAGGCTTTTCCAGGTATCTTCTGAAATCTAGGCAGAGGTTCCTAAACCTCAATTCTTGATTTCTGTGTACCTGCAGGCTCAACACCATATGAAAGCTGCCAAGACTTGGGGCTTGCATCCTCTGAAGCAATAGGCCAAGCTGCACCTTGGCCCATTTTAGTCACCACTGGAGTGGCTGGAATGCAGGGCACCAAGTCCCTAGGCTGAATACAGCACAGGAACCCTGGGCTTGGCTGATAAAACCATTTTCTCTGGGCTTGTGATGGGAGAGGTGGTTGTGAAGACCTCTGACATGCCCTAGAGACATTGTCTTGGGGATTAACATTCATCTCCTTGTTACTTATGCAATTTTCTGCAGCTGGCTTGAATTTCTCCTCAGAAAATGGATTTTTCTTTTCTATCACATTGTGAGGCTGCAAATTTTTCAACTTGTATGCTCTGCTTCCCTAATAAAACTGAGTCCTTTAACAGCACCCAAGTCACATCTTGAATGTTTTGCTACTCAGAAATTTCTTCCACCAGCTACCCTAAATCATCCCTCTCAAGTTCAAAATTCCACAAATCTCTAGGGCAGGGGCAAAATGCCACCAGTATCTTTGCTACAACATAACAAGAGTCGCCTTTGCTCCAGTTCACAACAAGCTTCTCATCTCCATCTGAGACCACCTCAGCGTGTACCTTATTGTACATATCAATATCAGCATTTTGGGCAAAGCCATTCAACAAGTGTTCCAAACTTTTCCACATTTTCCTGTCTTCTTCTGAGCTCTCCAAACTGTTCCAACCTCTGCCTGTTACCCAGTTCCAAAGTTGCTTCCACATTTTCGGGTATCTTTTCAGCAGCATCCCACTCCTGGTACCAATTTACTGTATTAGTCCATTTTCATGTTACTGATAAAGATATACTCGAGAATGGGCAATTTACAATAGAAAGAGATTTAATTGGATTACAGTTTCATGTCACTGTGGAAGCCTCAAAATCATGGTGGAAGGCAAGGAGGAGCAAGTCACATCTTACATGGATGGCAGCAGGCAAAAAGAGAGCTGTGCAGGAAAACTCCCCCTTATAATAACCATGAGATCTCATAAGACTTACTCACTATCATGAGAACAGCATGGGAAAGACCTGCCCCCATGATTCAATTACCTACCACAACACTTGGGAATTAAAGATGAGATATGGATGGGGACATAGCCAAACCATACCAGGCACATACATATTAATGATTGTTATGTCTTCTTGGAAAATTGACCCTTTTATCATTATGTAGTGCTCTGTTTATCCTAGATAACTTTTCTTGCTCTGATGTCTGTTCTATCTGAAATTATTATAACTACTTCCACTATCTACTGATTACCATTACCATTATATATATTTCTTCATTTATTTATGATTAATTATGTGTGCTTTCATTTTTAAAAGGGGTTTCTTACAGACAATATATTGTTGGGTCCTCTTTTTTTAATCTACTCTGACAAAAATTTCTTAAAATTGGTGCATTTCAATCATTGACATTTAAGGTGATTATTGATATAGTTGAAACAATATCTACTATATTTCTTACTGTTTTCTATTTTTTGCCCTTGTCCTTTGTTTGTATTTTAGTCTTCAATACTTTTTCTGCCTTTTGTGGTTTTAATTGACTATTTCATGTGATTCTATTTTCTTTCCTTTTATAGCATTTTTCTAATGCTATTACTTTCTTTGTGTAGATTCAAGTTTCTAACCTACATCATTTTCCTTCTTATCATACCTATTACAAAGCAGATCTACTGGTCAGAAATTCCCTTTATTTTTGTTTGTCTGAGTTTTATTTCTCCTTCACTTTTGAAGGTAGAGTTCCCAGAGGTGAAACTCATAAAAATTTGAGGACATCCCTATGACTGATTTTCCTAGAGTTTTTATCTCTCAGACTTGTCCACATTGAGACTCTACAGATTCATCAATTACACTTCAGGTTCTCCTACCTTAATACTGGTTCCTGAGATTTCTGCTTACGAATTTCTGTTCTAGTAGGTTGTAGTTCTCTGTATCTTCTTGTCTCTTCAATCTTTGGAAACAGTGGGTTGTCCTGTCATTTCACTTCTCTTATGAATCTAAAAAAAGTTTTTGATTTTTCAGTTTGCTCATCTTTTTACTTGTTGTTGGATGGAGTGAAGACTTCAAAGCACCTTACAAGGCAGAGTGGAAACTGGAAGTCTTCCAAAACATTTTAAAATTCTGTATATAATTTTAATAGGATGCATGTTACTAGTACAATTGATTCACGTCCTAACATTGAATGAAGCCTCAGAATTGAATTAATTAGCAGTAGAAATAAGCAGGTATTTGAACATATTGAAAATATAAAAAACAAGAAGAAAAACAAATAACTAAAATAATTATGCTGTAGAAACAAAATAAAATATCTCTATAATTTAAACTTCCTGAATTAATTAGCTATCTCTAAAAGTTTTGAAAATTTCATTATTCTTTAGAAGAAGTGTTTCTAACTTCTTTCATACTGTTCAGTATTGCTACAGGGACAGTGCTTAGTCTTAGCTATACATTAGAAAACAACTTGAAGTAAAATTAATAACTTTAAAAGTAATAACAAAAACTGTGATTACTTTTGCACCAACCTGAATAATTAGATTATGCTAGCAACATCCATTAACTGTCATTTTTAATAAGGCCAACATGATTTACTTATATAGAAATTAAGCAAACTATTATTTCATACCTAGTTAGGTTTACCCGAAGTGAGTTGGGAGATTATATTGGTATTATGTTCTAAAATCCAGATGTAGAAAAGTAATCAGCAGTGATTACATTTAAAAACTTACATTATTAAGAATACTTTAGCCTCTCTTCACTTGCATTTCCCATCTGTTTTTTTTTTTCTGCAGTCTGTGTAATTCTGCCCATACTACCTGATTGTGAAATAGATATGAAAGTAATGGGTTTGCAGCACCAAAATTTATTAGCCAAATGGCCTAATATCATATGTCTTTGATCAACTGAACACTTTTTTTCTAAAGGAAAAAAAAGTAGGATTAGTCAAAAGAGCTCTAATGGGAAACTTAAGTCCCTTTTAAAAACTTTTGTTTGTCTCTGTTTAATGCTGGACAAACCAAGATTTTTGTTTCATGTAACACATTTTTATTACATACTGATTAAATTACATGTAAAGAAAGAAAAAGAGTAATCTGCATAAAAAACACAAGAAGCTAATTAAAGTGTTGATGCATTATACTTCTTTCTTCCTCAGTTTATAAGTTTTTTGTTGCAATTACAACAAACAGTGGCTTAAAACAGCATTTATCATGTTTCAGTTCTGGAATGGGTCTCCTTTGCCAAAATCAAGATTTTGGTAGGGCTCTGTTCTCTGTGGAGGCTCTAGGGTCAATAAATTTTCTTGCCTTTTCCAATTTCTAGAGGTAAACCCTATCCCTTGGCTCATGGTTGCATCCCTCCATCTTCAAAGCCAGCAATGGCCAGTAGAGTCTTTATCATACTGCACATTCTAATTTTCTACTTTCATTTTCATATCTCCTTCTCTGTCTGTTTTAAGGACCCTGTGATTACATTTGGCCTGCCTGCATAATTCAGTATAATTTCCCCATCTAAAGGTCTTTAAGTTAATTGCTTCTGCAAAATCATTTTTTCCATGTTAAAGTAACATATTCACAAGTTCCAGGGATTGGGACATGGATATCTTTGGTAGTTTTTATTCTGCCTACCACACTAGTGTTCTAGGTATATTAGTTTCTCATGTGTACTGGAATCAGAAAAAAAGACAATGAAAGTTCTTAGGGAGAGAACAAATATAACTAATTTTATATTTTCAGCAAACACTTTGGTTGCAATGTTGGAGAACCAAATAAAGACTGAGAAAGAATTAGAAAACCATTGCGTCACCCAGATGAAGAAATAAGTGTTGTTTAACTAGAGTGATGGTATTGAAGACTGTCTTAGTCCATTCAGGCTGGTATAACAAAATACCATAAACTTGGTAGCTTAGAAACAACAGGAATTTATTTCTCACAGTTCTGGAGGCTGGTAAATCCATAATCAAGATGCTGGCAGATTCTATTCGTGCTGAGGACTCACCTTCTGGTTCATATAGGGTGTCTTATCTCTATGTCCTCACACAGTAGAAGGGGAAAGGCAGCTTTCTGAGGCCTCTTATAAGGGCTCTAATCCCGTTCATGAGGGCTCTGTTCTCATGACCTAATCACCTTCCTTCCACAGGCCCCACTTTCTAATACTACCACCTTGGGGATGAAGATTTTAACATATGAATGTGGGGGAGACACATGCATTCAGGCTATAGCAAAGATGACTGTAGGAATGAAGCTAAAAATGTAGGGAGATATTCGGGAATTAAAATGAAAGAATTTGTTATAGGATTGAATGAGGTGCACAAGTAAAGCAGAGCTATCCGGGGTGACTATGTGGTTTCTAGCTTTAGCAAATGGATTGAGAAAATGGAGGGTGATGTAATTCAGTAGGAGAGGGAACAATGAAGAAGAACTCAAGGAGATCTTGATTATCTGTTTTACGTATGTTAACCATGAGTCATCTTGCAGGTATCTTGCAGCATTAAAGTTCTGAGGTGACATCTGGGATAAAAATGTAAATTTGTGAGTTATCAAAAAACATGCCAAAGGATGAAAATTGCTTTAAAACAGGAAGTATGCTTTTTAGTATAATTCCTGTTTCAAAGCGATTTTCATCCTTGGGCATGTTTTAGGGCCTTAGAACAAATCTTTAGGAAACTGAGCATTAAAAGGCTGGATAATATAGGTCAGAGCAGCAAAAGGATATGGGGATGAGAGCTCAAATTGGTAGGAAGAAACCTAGAAATACATTGCCATAGAAAAATAACAGGTTGCCAAAGGAGAAGTAAACAATTATGAAAGTTGCTGAAAAATACTGTAAGGTAATTGAAAAATTTTCAATGAATTTGTGATATTAAGATTATTGTTTTCCTAAAAAGCGATGTTTTTGTAGACCTGAAACCCTGGTGGATTAGGTTAAGTAATAGTAGAGTTTGAGGAAATGAAGAGTGTTGCTATATTTTTGTTAAGTTTGAGTTTTCAGATGTGATGAAATGAATGGCACCTGCTGGAGTGATTATGTTAAAGACATTTTTTATACATCAAAAAAACTTGAGTATAGTTCATGAGAACAGGACCAGCTTCATGGGCAGAGGAACTGTGCAACTAAATTAGGCTCCATTCTCAGAAATTCCCCACATTGGTTTAATGCTTTGCTATTGCCCTCTTGATATTATTAATATGTCTATATTTGAACTTGTGATTTGTAGGCAGAATGTGATGTAACAACAAACATATGCCAGGGGTTTGGAAACTGGACTTACACAAGGTCCTGCCTCCTGCTGGCTCTTAGCTACCACAGAATGGTTCAATCATTCATTCTCCTACTGCTTGGGTTCCTCTGGGTCCTATATTCCAGGCAATCACCAGATAAGTTTTAAAGGAGGCCATCATTCTGCTGTCAACCTCTGCCCTTGTGGGGTTTTAGATGTAATCACAGGGAGTGTTGGGATCAGGGTGTGCACTCTGGCACATCTCAGGTGGGACCCGGCAGTGGCAGCATGATTGGCAATAGGCTGGTCCATATTTGTGGGCACAATTCTCTTGTGGCTTGTGACCCAGGTACCTGGTGCATCCAGATGTGGAAGTTTAAAGGTATTTGGTGTTCACAGGCCTACTGCCATAGATTGTGGTGCCAGCAAATGGGAAGTAGAAATGCCAGGCTGTGAAGCATGTGTATGCGGGGGCTGGCACCAGGGGAACCTGGCAGCTATTGGGTTTGAGTAAGCTGGAGTCCCAAGTACTGAGATCTAGGCAAGGGGCCTGGGTAACTGTGAAGATCTGCCCTAGTCAGGCAAGTATCCTCATACTTACTGAGTATCCCTGTGTCGATGGAACCCTTCCTGGATGGCTTCCATGCCTGAGGGATCCTCTCTCCTTTCAACCTCTTGAGTCTGACTTGTATTTGTTAGTCCTGGTCTGCTGGAGCACAAGCAGCTTGTCTGAAGACAAACTATGAAATACAAAATTGTGTAACTGGGTGATTCTGCCTATAATTTAACTGCTCTATTTGCATTTAAAGCTAGCATTCCATATAAAAATGAATGGAATGGAAAAACTCATGCTAACAATGTGAATTTTTAATTTTTCTTTGCTTAAAACAATGTCAGAATAGCAAATACCATGAGAAGTCAGAAAAAAAACTTTTAAAAAGGGGAAAAACTTTACATTTTAGTACCAAACATGCTTGCCCCACCTCTGATTTTGAACAAGAAGCTCAAATGTTCATTTTGCACTAAGCCCTGCAAATTAGGTGGCCAAACTGCATGGGAAAATCAAACCGTGGGCAAAAGCTTGTAGAGAAAGTAAATGGAATCATCAATTCTTATGTAAGATTCCTGCAAAAGTTGGAAGATAGGAGGATGGACCTAAGACAGAAATATCAAGTTAGCTTTTCATGTGCCCCATAACTGAAGAACCGAGCCAGGTACTGAATTTGGAGGATTGCTATGGAAGTCATTTAGAAAATGAAATTCTGAGACGAAAAATAAATGAGGAATTCCTACATAAAACTAGAATTGTGCAGTTTGTTAATTAGAAAACCAAAGAAGGAAATGTCTTCTGAAGAGTTAAAAGTTTATTCTTCCATTGACAAGAGGAATAATATTAAATGAAGCATTTACTCATGTTTACTTATCTGTCTTTAACTGGAAAATGTTTCACAAAATTAAAAATAGCTTAAGGTTTCCCAGCACTTTGTGAGGCCGAGGTGGGTGGATCACCTGAGGTCAGGAGTTTGAGACCAGCCTTGCCAACATGGTGAAACCCCGTCTCTACTAAAAATACAAAAATTAGCCGGGCGTTCTGGCGAGTGCCTGTAGTCCCAGCTACTCGGGAGGCTGATGCAGAATTGCTTGAACCCGGGAGGCAGAGATTGCAGAGACCCAAGATCATGCCATTGCACTCCAGCCTGGGGAACAGAGTGAGGTTCTCTCAAAAAAAAAAAGAAAAGCTTACAGTGAAACAATTAATGATGCAAACAGAACAAAGAGAACCTAGACATCTAGGTGGAACTTAGGGATTACACCTTACGAGGCATTTAGATGAGCTAATTACTTATTAGCTTACTCTATTTAAGTTAGATGGAAGGAAAACATTCCCAAGAGACAGATTTGTTAATTACTAAAATTAGGCATTATCAAATTGAAGTAAAATGTGTTTTAATCCAGATAGTCTCAAAGGGAATAGATATATTTCCAACTGGCTGGGATAATTCCTTTTACACAATTCCATCACGTTGAAGTGATTAAATCTTTAGGCTATTATGAATTTTGTTTACTAAGTATTTGTATTCCTTTTGATTACCAATTGATTCATTTTAAGACCATTAAATTTTATGAAGGCTTTTTGTCTAATTGTTGTCCCATTTATACAACTGACTGTTATAAAATACCTTTGGTAAGTTTTTTGAAGTTTCTCTGACAAAATAGATCAAAAGACTAAATCTCTTCATTCTGCAACAACTTATTTCCATTTAATAGTTTATTAAAATAAGAAATCCTGTAACTGTTATTTGAGTTTCAAGTTTTATATATATATAAAGAGATACAGGAATGTGCAGTCCATAAAGCATGTGAAATGCATGCAGGCATCATGCAAAACTTTCTTTTAAGACATATTGAGGCAACCATTCCCTATCTGATGCTTACTGAGCTACATTTTAATATGTAGATTTTTTTTTTTTTAAAGTAGACTCTCGGCCAGGCACGGTGGCTCAAGCCTGTAATCCCAGCACTTTGGGAGCAGGTGGATCACGAGGTCAGGAGTTCAAGACCAGCCTAGCCAACATGGTGAAACCCCGTCTCTAGTAAAAATACAAAAAAATTTAGCTGGGCGTGGTGGCAGGCACCTGTATTCCCAGCTACTTGGGAGGCTGAGGCAGGAGAATGGCTTGAACCCAGGAGGTGGAGGCTGCAGTCAGCCGAGATTGTGCCACTGCACTCCAGACTGGGCAACAGAGCAAGACTCCGTCTCAAAAACAAACAGACAAACAAACAAACAACAACAACGAAAAAAAAAAAAGAACTCTCCTGGGCTAATCTTTCTCAGTTTTCAGTTAGTGGATATTTAAGGCAAAGATAAATGACCTCTAAATTTGTTTACACAAAACAAACACAAGGATACACACACATACTGCAAACATAATCAAGTAAAATTATAATACTTTTGATAATTTCCATAAGCAGATATTTATAAAGTAAATATGTGAAAAAATGAGATAAGGTAAACAGTAAAAATATGTTCACTTTTACAGAAATAACTTAAAAATATAACAATAATCACAAGATGAACAGGAAATATACTTCCAGATTATCTATGAAAACTTACGAGGCTTAGATGCATAATATAAATATTCCCCATTTCCCACCACTTGTGTGACTGCTTGATTAATAATGGTATATGTTCAATGGTAGCCTTCCTCTGTCCTGTGTTTTTATGATTTGTCTGCTCAGTGGTGACCACTGCTCTTAGATGTGTATTTAAACCCAAATTCGATGATCATGTAGAAGCTACTGCTGACATAGCTACTAATCAATAACATCCCGATGTTGCTGTATCAACCATTTATCTATTCAATAATATTTACAGAACATCTACATGTTCTAGACAAATAGGAATAAAAATGTGTCTACCCTCATGGAGCTTATATTCCAGTGAGGGATATATACAGTAAATCAGTAAATACTTGCTATACGTTAATGCTACATAGAAAGTAAAATATAGGTAAGCAAAAGTTTATGATGGGAATGTTGGGAGCCCTTTTAGACTGGGTGATATGGTAAGCCTTGCTGATGAAGTGACATTTGAGCAAAGACCTGCATGAAGTGAGGGAGAAAGAATATCATATACATAGAATCATACACTATGTAGCATTTGAAGTCTGGTTAACTTCATTAATTTTATGCATTTCAGATTCATCCAAATTATTAAATGTATCAGAAGTTATTCAATTTTTATGATTACTGAGTGGTATGCCATGGAATGAAGATATGATAGCTTATTTTTTCATTCCTTACCATGAAAAATTTGGGTTGTTTCTCATTCAGATGATTATGAATAAAGCTGCTATATGAAATCACAGACATGTTTGGGGATGAACATAAGATTTCATTTTACTTGGACAATCTATGAGTGGGATTGCCAGGTTATATGGCAAGCCTACTTTTAACTTTTTAAGGAACTGCCTAATTTGACTATACCATTTTGTATTATCACCAGCAATATATGAGAGTTCTAGTTGCTCTACATATTTATCAGCTATTTATGTTTTCTTTCTGTTTTGTTTTGTTTTCGCCATTCTAATAATTGTGTAGTGATATCACATTTTGTTTTCGGTTCCATTTTTCTGAATGACTAATGATGTTGAGCATCTTTTCATGTGAGATTCTTTTATCTCCTTTGGTGAAGGCTCTCTTTAACTTCTTATCCACTTTTATTTGTGTTGTTTCTTATTAATGAGTTATAAGAGCTCTTTATATGTTTTAGAAATAAGTTTTTTTACCAGATAGGTTATTTGTAAATATTTTCTCCCAGTCTATGGCTTATCTTTTAATTCTCTTAGCGGTGTATTTGAAAAAATTTTATTTGTATGAATTCAACTCATGCTATTTTTTTTCTTCTATGATCTTTGCTTTTGTTGAATCAGTCTAGTGCTGAGCCTGTTGAAGGCATTCTTCTTTGATACCATGCTTCTCATTTCTATAAATTTTATTTTTCCTTATAATTTCCATCTCTCTGCAGAAATTACCTATGCATGTTGTTCACCTTTTATATTAAGTAGTTAACATAGTAGTAATAGGTACTTTATATTCCCTACCTGATAATTCTAACTTCTGGGTGGGAGCTGAGACTGACTCTGTCTCCAGAATGTATGTTGCTTATTCTTCCTTATTTAGGTGTCTCCTTTGTTGTTGTTGTTGAAAGTTGACATCTTCTGTAAAGCAGTGAAAACTGAGATAAATGGCAACTATTTATTTCTGGGGCCACACCTGTTTTGTGGTAGACCTGTGGTGTGAGTAATTGAATCAATCCAGCCAGCTGAGCTGAGTCTGGGATTTGTTGTTTCCATGGTTGTTACCAATTCCCCACAGGCTTCACCTTCCTCTAGAGTCACCTTGTGCTTAGGATTGGGGATGATTTCCCAGAGTGTTTTTCACAATATCTTCCCTACCTTCAGCATAAAGTCTTCCTTTGCTTGTTAAAGAGTTTATTTTTCCATGCTCTTGTGCCGCCCCCATCCCCAGTAGTAGATGGTTATTGCTTATTATTGAATTTGTGGGCCTGATGGTGGTGGTGGTGGTGCACGGAGGTGGGAGAGTCAAATTTTGTTTTTCTGTTTTATTGTCCATCTTAGGCATGCACTGTGCCCCTGTGTCTTGGGGAGAGTGCTTCTTATTTATCCTGTCCCTCACTAAGACGTATAAATTTTCTAATGGTTTCGGATCAGGACATTTTCCTCTCCTTTTTCTCTGAAATCCAGTTGTTTCTTAGCCTGTTTCCTGATGTTGACTGGATTTACTATTTTCTCATCAGTTTAAACTTTTAATTGGAGATAAAGGAGAAACACCTATCTAGGAAAGGCTGGATATCTTTCTCACTGAGGTTGCTTCTCATTCCCCTACCCCAGCACTCACACCTGAACAACATGAGGAAGACTTTTTCTGGTCCCCCCAGATTTTTCTCATAACCACTTGATTAGTTCACTAAGAGACTGAAAGTCCCTGTGAATTCCCCTTGGGGGTACTGTTCCCATGGGCACCTGCGTGTTGTTTGCCCCAAAGAATCAAGGGTTTGCCTCCTATCTCTCCTTGATGTCACTCATCTTTGTTTAGATTTTGTGTAAGTTGGATATTTTGCAACCTCAGTGCCTTGATGGATTTAACAGAAGTTGTAATTGTAGAATAATCTATATATTGCTGTTATTTTAAGGGTGAGAATAATGCACTTTCTAGCTTTCCAGATCTATATTAATTTACTAAAACTACCGCAACAAATAAACTTGGTGGCCAAAAAAATTCTCACAGTTTTGAAAGGCAGAAATCCTGACTCAGTTGTCAGCAGGGTCATGTTCCCTCTGCAGTTTCTAGAGAAGAACTCTTCCTTGCCTCTGCCAGCTTCTGATACCTTGGCTGTCCTTTCGGTTATGGCAGCATAACTCTAATCTTTACCTCCATCTTAACGTACTTTCCCTTTGTGCCTTTCTGTATTTTTTTTCTTCTTATAAAGACACCAGTCATTGGATTTAAGATCCACTCTGTGTTATGCCATTCTTGTATTGCAATAAAGAAATACCCAAGACTGGGTAATTTATAAAGAAAAGAGGTTTAATTGGCTCAAGGTTCTGCAAGCTTTATAGGGAGCATGGTGCTGGCATCTGCTTGGCTTCTGGGGAGGCCACAGGAAACTTACAATCATGGTGGGAGGCAAAGGGGGAGCAGGCAAGAAAGAGAGAGTGTCGATCTAGTCACTTTTATCGCCTGACCAGATCTCGAGATAACTCACTATCACAAAGATGGCACCAAGCCATAAGGGATCCACCTCCAGGAACCAAATGCCTCCCACAAGGCCCCACTTCCGACAATGGGGATTAGAATTCAACATGAGATTTGGGTGGAGACCTGAAATCCCAGGTGATTCATCTTGAGATCTTTTACTTAAGTACATCTACAAAGATACGAATTTCCAAATAAGATCACATTCTGAAAGTTTAGGGGGTGTGAATCTTTGAAGGACATTATTCAATCCACTCCAACTTTGTAATAACTGAAATTCATTGAAGCTTAAACTATATGGTAAATATTACTAAGTGATTAGAACTTCTTCATTACTAAGTGATTAGAACTAAACTTCATAGAATTGTTTAACTTCTTTAAAACAATTGGTATGTTTTAAAAATTTTTATGTCAAAAATCCCTGGTAATACCTTACATTATTTTATTTATCGAACAAATATATATTAAGAAGGTACTGCATGGCAGACACTGTATTTGATGTTGCAGATGTAGACAAAGTCCGTTTTCATCGACCTTGATTTTGCTCCTTAAAAAAAAAAGTATAAGTTTCTCTTATCAAGTTACATTTTCTACAGCTTTGTTTAAAATGTAGGATAATTCACTATCTCCTAAGAAAGACTTAGTTTTTTACAATTCCACAGAAAACATTAGTTCTTCTCAATTTTTGTTATTTTGCTTGTAGAAATGGAAAAACCTACTGACTTCAATTATTTAACAGAGTGATGGAATGAAACTTTTGTTTCATCTATTCCAAATTAAATGACCTGAAAAAAGGTAATTTTCTGTCATTCTAATAAGTAACATGTTTCCTAATGAACTTGTCATTCTAATTATTTTCACATTGAGTTGGTTCCCAATCAGTTCTTAGGGCATTTTTCCTCATATAATCTAAAATAGCTGAACAAAAGCAATATATTATGTGTCTTAAAACCATTAAAGATAAAAGATGTTTTCAATCTGCAATGGTAAATAAGAAAAAGGCAAAACATAGTGGATTGAAAGGTGGAATACTAATGTAATATTGATCTCGGTTTTTTTAACTGTGGGTTAATTTCATCAAAACCAGAATGCTTTGAGTAAGCCTAATATGCAACAAATATTACGGTGTATAGAGATATTTAATTCAACTCAGAAGTTGATAAAGTTTATACAAAATAAATATGCTAACATATAATTGTTTTTCATGCATAACAACTTCTCTTATAATAGTGAATAATTAAAAAAGAATACGTACATTAAGTGTGTAAATAAAATAAACCTATGTATCAAAGTAAGGTATGATTAGTTAATTGAGTTCTAAAATAACTTGAATTTCCAGATTTTTGATTTTAGGTCTTAAAATACCTTATAACATGTGATGGCTTATATGTGCCTTTGTCTCTACTTTTTTCCACTTCTCACTTACTCAGAATCAGTATTTTAAAGCATAAAGTAACTGGCCATATTATTTAATAGACTAGCTTCTCCATTAGAATAGACTAAGAATCCAATAATTAACTCACACTATATGAAACTGAATTTTCCCCCATACACTTAGACTTGGTGATTTAAGCTTTCTTAATGGTGTCAGTGCCAGTTTCATAATAACTGTGGCAACACTAATTCAAAATCAAAAGGACAAAATTGTATTTTTTTAACTGTTGTATTTCATAATGTTTTATTAGATTGGTGCAATAGAAATTGTGGGTTTTGTCATTACTTTTAATGCACTTTTCTTGCATTGCTTTAAAGAAATACCCAAGACTGGGTAATTTATAAAGAAAAGAGTTTAATTGGCTCATGGTTCTGCATGCTTTACAGAAAGCACGGGGATAGCATCTGCTTGGCTTCTGGGGAGGCCTCAGGAAACTTACAATCATGACGGGAGGCAAAGGGGGAAGAGGCACATCACATGGCAAAAGGAGGAGGAGGTGAAAATTGCATCACAAAACCACAGTTACTTTTGCACCAACCTAAATAATTGTCTGCATAAACTGTGATAGCATGAGGAAGTGCAGATATATCTTTTTTTGAATATTTTTGTTTGACTCTGTTTGCCACATAAAGACTAAAGCTCTATTAGAATTGGCTATTAGAGAGTAACTAGTTTACCCAGCAGGGTACTTTTCAGAAGTTTGGCAAAATAATTTTGTCATATGAAATATCTTAGAGTTTTGTATGTCCTGAACATTAGCCTTGAGACTATCTGGTTTTATTTCAAAATCCTGATCCAAAATCTGGAACCAATATCTTCATTAAACCAACTGATTTCAGATTAATAAACTATACACTAATCTCTTCACAAATCCTTCAGATGGCTCAAAACAATTTGAAAGTTGCCTGAACTTTGTACTCTCCATGGAGCCATTGGTTAATATTAACATTGAAAACTTTGTCAACAGTGATACAAAAACTTGTTATTGAGAAAGGTACAAAAGGGTAACTCATCCCCATGAATAATTTCTATGGCGATTTCTTAAATTTTTTGAACAAATCAAAAGAAATATCTGATCACACTGATATATTACCAGAATATTATTATTAGCTATTATGTCTTCATAAGTCATGAGATAATGCACTAAATCCCTAAATGAGAAAACAGCCCTGTTAAATGTTGATCATCAGTCATATACTGCTCATTTTTACTTGGATTTAGATGACCCAGAAAGGCTTGAATCTATATACCATTTGTCTTACATGTTATCACACACTGAGTTGTAACACTGAAATAAGGAGATCTCCTAATGAAAATGAAAATCAGTCTCTAATTGCTTTGTCAGTTTTACAGGCCCAGTGATTAGATTGACTCCACTTTACCATTTATAGCAAATTATCCTATTTTGTATAAACTACAATAGTAAAAAGTTAAATACGGAGAGTGGCACGTAAAGGTAACACAGTGGAAGTAAGATGACTTTAAACCCCTAATCCCACAATTTCCTGTTCCCTTATCCATTCTTTTTTTTTTGAGACAGGGTCTCACTCTGTCGCCAGGCTGGGGTGCAGTAGTGTGATCTTGGCTCACTGCAGCCTCTGCCTCCTGGGTTCAAGTGATTCCCCTGCCTCAGCCTCCTGAGTAGTTGAGACTACAGGCATGCACCACTATGCCCAGCTAATTTTTGTACTTTTGGTAGAGACGGGGTTTCACCATGTTGGCCAGGATGGTCTCGATCTCCTGAACTCATGATCCGCCCACCTCGGCCTCCCAAAGTGCTGGGTGAGCCACCGCACCCGGCCCCCTTATCCATTCTTGTCATTCAGACAATTACTATTTCACACACACTCGTACATTAATACAACATTTTAATTAAAAATAATGCCATATAAAATACAGTTTTCTAAAATTCCCTGTTTTACTTAACATCCTGTAAAGATTGTAATATGTTTTGTGGATTGTTTTCATTCATGATTCTATGTAGGTACTTCTATCTCACCTTTTTAATAGTTACATAGTATTGCCTTGCATTAATTCATAAAACTTTATAAAATCAATCTACTAATAATGGAATCCAGGTAGGTCATAGGGATTTACTAATATAAAGAGAGCTGAAATTCATTTACAGGTTTATTATATGGTACATTTGTATGTGTATATAATAATTAAGATACATATTTTGAAGAAAAAATACTGAATCAATATATATGAGCATTCCAAAATTCGATAGGTATTGCTATATTGCTTATAAAAATGATATACAATTTAAAATCTTAAAATATTAAAGGCAGTGGATATGTATGATTTCCTATCCAACTTAGAATATTGCCTACATTTGTATTTTTGTGAATCGTACATGATTAGGATATTATTTGAAAAGGACACCTTTTAAGTATTAAAAAGCCATTTGAAGGTACTTTAACTTTGGCTGTGGAGGACTAACATACACAATAAACTCTAAATAAGCTAGAAAAATATTTATGTTTCAAGGCATCAGAGATCTACCCGGATAGTTTGCACTCAGAGTGAAGATATTGAAAAGAAGGCGCATGAAGAGATGTGACTGAAACTTTTTCAACATGAGGCATGTGCCAAAGCAGCACAGGGTCTGAAAAACGAAGTAGACCTATCATCAGTCTCCAGGGCATGGAAGAAAAAATCAATCTCAGGGCCTGCTACGGTAGAAGGGACATGGCAAATTCTCCAGGCTTTCAGATGTGACCAATTACATACCAGGAGTAACGACGCATCAAAACAGGCAAATGCTACAACCACTGAAACAGAGCTACGAGTAAGCTCAATTCCTCATTGGAATAAGCTAAGCTTTCCTCTGGAGAAAGTTAGTATTCAGAGTCACAAATTACTCCCAGCTTTTTTTTTTTTCTTTTAACACAAAAGGACTGGCATTCAGTAAAAAGTAACAATGATACCAGAATGTAAAATTAAATTATTAAAAACCAGAAAAAACATAAGAAACAGTAGAAATGGACCTCCAGGATAGTTGTATAATAGATGACAAGATGGACACTTTTATTGGAGGAATTGAAATCCAGAAAAAACAGAAATAGAAACTTCAGACATTCCTCTGTAGCAGTAAAAGTAAATATGATGGATCCAAACATATTAATTTGGAAAGATCTCATACATATTACTGAGTATACATAAAAGAAAAACTGAATTATATTTAGTTGTAATAAAACACTGCATCTTAATTATATTATTTACAGTAATATACAATAGTATGTGTTTTTGACCATTAAATGCACTGCAAATGCAAATGTGTAGAAATAGAACTGTAAGTACACAACACAAACCACTAAGTTTGGTAAGTTAGAAAGGGGATTTCAGCAGATGCTGGTCACTTTATCCATATAATCAGATTTGTTTACAAAGTGAAGGCATATCCTTTATGTAATATGAAAAGAATTGTTATACTAGAGAAATACCTGACTATAGGCTCTCTGTACTTAAACTCAGTGTCTGCCCTTCCTTGAGTCAGGGCAATGACAAATATAACAGAGGTCAGGTGTTGTTCATATTCTCAACTGTAACATTTTCATAAAGAAAAATCTATGTGGTGGGAAATGTTTAGTTTTCAACCTGTAGTTCTAAGTAAAGTCCTTTTCAGAAGGATGACTTCCTGATTTAAACAGAATTAATGAAATTATAAATATTTACAGAAAATGGCAGCTGTAGAAGACAGAAAAAAGAGCAGTTACTTTTTAAATATTTAAGTAACTTTCCTGTGATAGAGAATTTTAATATCTGAAAATTACTGGTTTTTCATAGCATCATATGAGTCAAGTTTTAGTCAACAAGATGTTAATGTGTGACAGCAGGATGCAATGGGGAGTAGAAATGATTATATTCTGCATGTGTATCAGGGTCTTTGACTCAAGTTCTTGGCCTTGGTAAAGAAATATAACCGATCTGGCCTTTGTTTACTTGTTCATGAAAAGAAAGGTAATGTGCTAATTCAGAAAAAGTAGAATTTGGAATTGAGAGCAAGAAATTTGGTAAAGTAATAACAGAGCTATAAATTCTCCATGTTACTTTGTTACACGTAAGAAAACAGATATACAAAAGTATTGGTCCTGCATTTACTCCCATTAGTAAATTCACTTATAATTATATATTATTAGTATTTCATGACAACAATTTTATAAAACCTGTTATTATGAATAAACTGACTCACACAGAAGATGTAGATAATCAAGATGAAATAATTTTTGTTGTTTATATTTCTGAAGCTGGTTCTCTTTTCAGAAGGTGGTGAATTGTGAATTTAGTTGTATCTAGTATTCTAAATAATATTTTTCAATACTAAGTGATAGCAGGATACTCAGATATTAAAAGCATGTTCTCTTTGTCATTAATAGCCTTGGACAAATATTTACCATGAGGGTTATTTTTCTTCTCTACAATGTGATGATAATGGTACCAGTTGCATTAGATCATCGAGAGACAACTCATGCAAAGCACTTAGCACAGTTCCTAATCATAGTTAGTACTTGGTAGATACTTGTTATAAAGAGAATTATTTCCAGATATATGATTGTAAGTATTTCACCCACTTTTATATCATATGTTCCAAATATTCTTTCCAATATAAAAGAAATATTTTAACAAAGCTAGTGTCTTCTTTAATATAGTCAACAAAAGAAACACCTGTGATCCTTAGGGGCAATCTGTAATGATGTATGTAGTTCTAAAATGTTAATATTGGTTAAGGGTCTCTTACACATTAAATTTTCTTGACTTTTTCATGAAAACATTTACAAATGTGTAAACAATGAGTACATTTGCAACTATTTGAATTTCAAAAGTAATCAAAACATTTGGCATCATCATTTTTTTCCTGTTAAAGACCAATTTTATGAATGTAACTTATGGCTTCTAGGAGGTTTGAAATTATCAATAGGGAAATAATTAGTAATTAATAAAATCAATTATATACTATATTATTTAATACATTAGTGAATGTTTATTATTTTATATATTACATATAATAATGAAAACTTAGAATCAGCTTAAATACCCGGAAGAGAAGATGGTTAAATACATTCGAGAACAAAGATAAAATACTACATAATCATGAAATTAATATTTCAAATGACTATTTAATGACATGTAGAAGGAATCAATGGTGAATTTTGTGTAAATGATGAGGGACAGAGAGGTGTCATAGGTAATTTCTAACTTATTGATTTGCAAAGTAAATGCATTGGGGTTGGAGATCATGAGCTCTATTTTGGTCCTACCTGAATAGATATGGCTGAATAAATTATGCAGGAGCTAGAGAACAAAACTGGGCTAAGAAGAAAATCAGTGGCATCAGCATACAGTGATAATTACAACCATAGGCACACCTGAGAAAATGTAGGGAGCTATGCTTTAGCTCTCCAGGAGAAAAGAAAAGATCCAAAAAGACTTCAAGGGCTTCAATTTAAAGAAAGCTGAAAGGTGAAATGTGGTTATTTTGATTAACATGGCATGTCACCATTCACAAAATAAAATGCACAACATCGCACTCGCTGTTTATCTGCAGTTACTACAGAGTCATTTTCCTATCCCTGTCTGGCATGAGTGTAATAGTTTGGCTCAAATAGGATGGATAAATAATTGAGACATGTTGATAGATATTTGATCAATGCCTGTAACACATGCTTTCCCACTCGTTGTAAAGTTCCATGCAGTGCATTAAGAGATAAGTAAATACATGCCTAATTCCAAGGTCGCAAATTCTCTACACACTTTATGCTGTGTGAAGTCTCTTGCCTAGGACTGGCTACTTTTGATCTGTTGTTTCATACACAGTCTTCATCTGTGCTGAGCCTGTAGATTAAAGCCTCACTTAAATGTCTGCCTGACTATTGTTGCTGCTTTTGTTTCCCCCAGACACTGATTTTCCAGAATAAATGATCTCATGTCTCCAAAGTGAGCTTCCCTTATACACAAATTTCATTTTTTAATCTTCTTAATTTTCTGAAACTTAAAAAAAATAAAAAAGACAAAGCTGAAGACAACATATTGGTATTTAAGAAACACTTTTGAAGGCAGAGAGAAGAAACAAGGGGAGGGGTCCCCTGTTGATACAAACTGCCCTGGAACCATTCTGTATTCATTCTTCCCCTCACTTAAGATGCAATCACAGTGTCTCCTGTGAGACTTAATTAAGCTACGGGCTCCCTCTGGCTGCCGCCTCCCATTTCTGACGTGCCTCATTCCTCTGAGAAACACAGAAGAATTTTCGCAGCTTTTCCTTCCTTCCTACTTTCTTTCTATTCCATTCTCCAAAGTATCAACCATTCTTGAGGATTTTGGAGGCTCTTTTTTTTCAGTAATTTTAAGAGAAAGAAGTGGTAAACAGAAGAAAAAAATGGATTAACACTGGGAAAATGTTACAAGCATGCAAATGGTACTAGGATTTTGTTTACTTTGTTTTCTCTTTTCATCTTGCTTCTTCAATAATGTATCTCTTGTTTTTATTTGGCAAAAAAGGTGTATCCATTTTTGGTATATCATTTACCCTCTGAGCTGATGATTGTTTTGTTTTTGTTTTCATTTCTGTTTGTTTGTTTTTAATATATGGGATTCTTCACTCCTCTGTAGCTTTAGACTTTTTAAAGAGAGGTGCAGATACCATCTATATTTGTTGAGCGCTTACTATGTGCTCTACACATAAGATCTTTATGTGTATCAACTAATTTAATTTTCATAACAAACACATTTTACAGTGAGGAAATTTAGGACCAGAGGAAATTGTCCCCATTCATACAGCTAGCAGTGAGAGATAGAATCAGGATTCAATGCTTGAACTCTGACACCTGTGACCTAGATGTTACCCACCATTCCCTGTTGTAAAAGTAGCTCCAAGCAATAACATTTGGTAATCAGCTTGAATGGTAATCTTATGTGAAGCTAAACTTCACTTCAGAGTAAGTTACAGCGAGTACTTCCAATGTTTCTCTCCAAACATATTCCAGTGAGATATTAACAGGTATTACAAGGGGAAAAGAGTTGCCCTGTAAGGCAAGTTTGAAAAGCTGAGATTAAGAAATACCAGTTTGCTTTCAGGTCTTTAAAACCCTTAATCTGGGCTGGGCACAATGGCTCATGAGGTCAGGAGTTGGAAGACCAACCTGGCCAATATGGTAAAACAACGTCTGTACTAAAAATGTAAAAAAATTAGCCTGGTGTGGTGGCACATGCCTGTAGTCTCAGCTACTCAGGAGGCTGAGGCAGGAGAATCGCTTGAACCTGGGAGGTGGAGGTTACAGTGAGCCAAGATCACACCACTGCACTCCAGTCTGGGCAACAGAGTGAGACTCTGTCTCAAACAAAACAAAACAAAACAAAACAAAAAAACCTTTAATGTGATAATGCACATGTAACTCTAGAGGTTGGATACATAATGCATTGTTTTCCAATCATATTTGATAAAACATACTTTTGGAAAAACATCAATTCATTAAGAGTTCAAATACCCATTTCAAAAACTCAAATTCAATTGTTTCTCCCTCTCTGACTAGCTCAAGAAAGTGCTGTTTCACACTAGAATATCCTTTCAAATCCTTCCCTCGCATCAAAAATGTTTATTCACAATGTGAGACTCGCTTTGCTTGAATAAGAATAAAAACCTTATTTTCAATTCTTCCTAATGTATTGTCACAGTATGTACCAAGAGAGTTGTTAGTTTGGGTAATACTAGGTACTATAACATATAGTCTCTAATACCTGAAATAAAACAAAAGTATTTCTGGCTAATGTCAGAGTTCAAAGCATTGCTCGATGTGCACAGATCACTGCTTTTCATGTGGTGATTCAGGTATGAGGCTTCTTCTGTTTAAGACCACATCTAATATAATTCTAGCTGTTGAAGGAAAAGTATGGGGAATGAACACCAACTTTTTTAAAAACCTTGGCCTGGAAATGACACACGTCACTTTGGCTCATATTTCACTAGTTTAAAAAAAAAAAACAAGAAACCACTAGTCGTATGTCCACTTCTAGATGCACAAAGACTGTGATGTACTGACTGAATAGCTATTTTTTAGGGATAATTTTAGAGGATATAAGTGGAAATACAAAACTGGGAAGACTATTTATCATCTCTACCATCAGAATTGCATATATTGGCCAATATTGCATCAATTTCTACATTCCTTTTTAACATGCAAAGCCTGTAAAGTGATACAGAAATTCCAAAGTTGATTCCATACATTTTTCAAATGATTACCACAAATAAAATGACCAGTTATTATCACTGCCATAGCACTATGCCAATAATGGATTGCAGACCGAATATTTCCACTGAATAAGGATTTTCTAACACATATTACCCAAAATAGCTTATAAACATAAAGCCTTTTTAAAGAAAATTTTGTGAAATAAGATATATTTACATATAGATTTATATTATTATTGGCTCTGTTTATTTCACAAAACTTACTTTACTTTTTCTAACATCATTCCACTCTTTAGAGATTGGTGAAACTCTATTTTAGATGTGACTAGTGAATCAAGTTAGTACATGATTTGATAGAATTGACCAGAACATAACTGATTGCCTATTGGGGTAGAGTGGACACTAGAAAGAATAGGGAAAGAGGACACGAAGCTGGGGCAGAAGAGGAAACTGAGAAGCGGCTGGGGCTGACTCAGCCACAGTTTACCAAAGAAAATTCATTATAAGGGTAAGATTCAATCTCCAGATAAACAGTCAAAATAAGAGAGCAACATAATCAAAGTAATTTCTTTGTCAACCTTTCACATATCAAGCTGGTCTTTCTCTTCATATCAATTATGCCACACTGTGGATTAGCCAAGGTGAGGTCTCCTATTTAGTTTGTCATCATCTTACCTAGCACTTGGCATAGGGGCTAGCATAAAATACAAGTTTAAATACTCTTTGAAATATAATGTGAATTATGAATGAATGAATGAATGAATGAATACATTGAACTTCAATGGCTAGTTGGCAAACAGAGCACACAACCAAAAATCTGGAGAAATCTACATTAATTTTCCCAAGGAAGAAAATGGTCAGAATGGGCTTATAGCATCCCATTATTCTCTCAAATAGCACCTGTGATATTATGACATAATAAGAAATGCATATTTGGTCTTCTTCCCCAGTTCCTGGCACAGAGCTCCTAACATTTTTGGGCTTTCCTGAGTGATGTGGTGAGAGGATCATCTCATTATTTATAATAAGTCCCTTTAAAATATACCTGAGTTTATGCAAATGAGGTGAATCTTGGAGAATGGGAACTGTTTGCCAACCAATCATGTGATTGGAGGGTTGGAAATTTCAGTCCCACCTCCTGCCCTCTGGGGAGTGGAGAGGCTCTGGAGATTGGGTTCAATAACCAATAGCTGATGTCTTAATCAATCATGCCTGTGTGATGGAACATACACAGAAATCCTAAATGATAGAATTCGGAGAGCTTCTGGGTCATTGAACACACAGAGGTTCTGGAACCAGTAAATGTAAGTAAAGTGTTTCCCTGAGTTCTGGGAGTCATTCTAGCAAATTATCAAACCCAAGAAAGGGGTTGTAGAAAGACCTGATTTGCAGCTGGTTGGTTGGAAGTGGGGAGGCCTGGGCTCAAGACTGGCATCTGAAGTGGAGCCAATCTTGACGGACTAATCCATTTACTTGTGGAATCTATACTAACTCCTGGTAGACAGCATCAGAATTAGACTGAATTATAGGATACCAATTAGTATTTGAAGATTTGGAGACTTGCTTAGTATGGAACAGACACACATTTGGTGTGAGAAGTGCCATGAGAATACAGAAAAAAGTTTGCTGTTTTTTAAAAATTTTCTAGCATCTATAACACAATCCTTTGTAATTGGCCTTCATCTCACGTTGCCTTTACGTTAAATAATGGCAGAATCATTTTAGTTTTAGTCAAAGTTACACCTACAGAATCTAACAGATTTTAGCACATAAAACTTGTTTCTTAAATAAATTCTGCCTTGAGGTGAAATTCCTATCTCAGTTCTTAGATGATTGATTTGGTTTGTTCTATGAAACACGATTTGAATGAATCCTTTTCTAGTTTCCAGACTTGGGACAGAATTCTGACACTAAAATGGCAAAGAGAAAACAGAGAAAAATTAAGAAAGATACTCAGAAACTGTTGTGCACAAGAGGAGAGCAATTGTCAGAGCTTGGGGCACAGTTCTAGAGTCAGACTGGCCTCAGTTGTGGCTTGACGTCCACGCCCAAACTGAAGAGCTGATAATGTTGAAATTCTTACTGATTCAGGTCAAAATTGATCACAGCAACTGAAAGTGAAACTCAGCCTGAATATAGGCATTAAATAGTCTTTATTTGAATCTAAAAGCCTTAAATATTAATTGATATGGATAGATACAGATCATTCTAGTCATTTTAAATTATTTTGTTAAGATGTAGTTCCAACTAGTTAACACATTTTATTTTTAGAGTGTTGTTTGAATTCAAAACACAGTGACTCCCTAGATGGTAATGTTGATAAACATTGTGAAAGTGAATGCTAAAAATGTTTAAATGGAGCTAATTTAAGCAAGCTATAAGTTGGGATGCAAGTCTAAAAATGAAAAGGAATAAAAATATGAAATTTAAAAATATGGGATGGAAAGTAGAAGATGGATGCCACTCAGAGGCATTTCTACAATATAATTGATCAAGACTATGTCCAGAGAGGATTGATGATTTTGCCATCTTCATGGGTTAGAGACAAGAGTGACTTCAATAGACTGAATCAGGGTATATAGGCAAAAGTATATGCCCTGCACTTCTGTTCCAAAGTAAACTAGACCTCAAAGTTCACTCTCCCAAGACTGTTATAGGCAGTCCTCAACTCACAATGGTTCAACTTAAGAAATTTTCCACTTTATAATTGTGTTTTCTTATAATGAGATTATATCCAGATAAACCCATTATAAGTTGAAAATACTCTAAGTTAAAAATACATTTTTGACTTACAATATTTTCAAAGTGCAATAAGTTTATCCAGATGTAACCCCATCATAAATTGAGGAGCATCTGTATATTAGAAGGGTTAGAAGAGAAGGGGTGTGAGGGAGACTATCAAAGCAGAAAACTTTTTCTGGTATTGGGCACATTATTTAACTTCGCAAAGTTTCCATGAAATAAGGATTATTGTAATTTTGAAAAAAGATTCTTAGTCTGAACAGATGAGATATCAAACAAATCATTTTATTACTAATAGAGACTAGTGAAACACTACAGAACTAGTTATCTTTGACAAGTAAATTTGCTAAAGCTGATGTCCAGAATTAGGCAGAGTTAAACTAGCTGTCATAGGCAATGCTAGACCAAGAAATAATACTTGCTTCCTGTAGGCATGTAGCTTCCCTTAGCTTTTGGCTGACATTACAGGAATTCATATCAAAGTTTTTAAATCTCCTCATTTAGAATCTATAGTGTACATTGTCATTTTGTCAAATATCAACTGATTTGTGTAGGGATTTTTAATTAAAATTATTTCATAGTAATTATCTCTTTGATGGTAGCATAATTTATAGTAGTACCCCTCAAAATGTAAATCCATCAATATCATCACATCTAAAACTTTAATATTTTCATATAAGTTTATTTCATAATTGTACTTTCGTTAATGAAGTGTTTGTCATCTCTATTCTTTTTGCCCTCGGCTAATGGAGTTTAAAAGACACTGATACATCACAGCATCATTAGCCTCTAGGTGCTTGCTAGTTCATTGCCTTATTGATGAAGTCACCTTAGGATAAGGACTCCATAACTATACCTCATTGGATACGTACAGGATGAGTCTGCCTTTTGTTAAATTCCAATATATAATAGACTAGTTTATCACACATTTCCTGTGTGTATCTCTTTAATGTTACATGTTCTTTTATAACAAACCAATTTTACTGCATATTTTTGCTTATGTTGTGTCACAGAAATTACTGCTGCCTGGCAAAAACTGGTTATTTTCCCATTTTAGCAGTGCATTTTGTCTTTTCTTGGGATCCCTTATGTTGAAAGTGAAGTGCTACAAATTTGTCATCGCCTTAGCAATCATGTATTGATCTATTTGTTCTCCCTCTGCTCATTTTCTGTGAGTCTAAATTGCTTAAGTACTGAAAGCTCTCAAGGTAGTGACCTGAAATATTAACAGGTTACATCACCTCATTAAGCAAAAGAAACTGCTCTTATTCAAAGTCTATGGATGCTGACATTGCATTTACCCCAAAAAATTAATGTTTGCATGGAAGTGTGGTAGGAAAGATACTCTATACCTTCGGACTGAGCATCCTTTAACTTTTCTTTGGTTATAACAATTTCACCCCTTAGTTATTGCCTTTTGCTTGAAAAGTAAAGATTAATGATGCTAAAATGATACATTTTAATATAATCAAGTTATACTTCTGAGTACTTCATATGTTGATGATCTGGCACTTTTTTCAGAAATAGCACAAGTTCATTTGAAGGAGAAAGACAACCCTTAAATAACAGGCCAATTATTATTTTAATCAATAGCAGTATTATATTTTAAATTAATCTTCAAAAGTCCCTGAAGCTAAAATTTCAAAAGTCATTAATCAATTAAGCAAAATACTACACAGTCTTTCAAAGCAATCTATCTCCTGAAGGTTGTTCAAACTGTCTTCTGAGAATGAAAATTTAACACTTTTTCTTCACTTTGACTATTTAGTTTTATTTTTCTTACACTAAATAGAATTGTATTAGAACAATTACTCAATATGTAATTAATTGCCCAATATGTAAAAAATAATGTGATGGTGTAAATATGAATGATGGTGTAAATTGTAGTGTATTTAAATGTTATATTTTGGTCACAAAAAATTGTAACAGTTTTTAAAATGTCTTTTGTTTAGCAATATCAAGGACAAGGCGCTAAAACAACTTATTTTCTAAAATTATAGACTATCAGAAACTTTACTATTTGAAATATTATCAGAAGGACTGGAAATGCCCTTCTTGTTTAAAGAGTCTTAGCCATGTGAGTCATCTGGACACTGAGAAGCAGCCTTGGGTTTCCATTCAGGTGCACAGCTTCAGACAAGGGCTTTCCAGACATGTTAACAAGTCTAGTTTCCAAGAAGATAACACACTGAGTCTTCCTCTCAGCCATGATGGTAATCAGACTATGATATTCTTACCAGAAACTAAAGCATTGACACAAGCAAAGTCACACAACCCTTTAGCTTTTGGCAATTTTCTTATCAGTAACTTATCCATAATTTATTCTCATCTGATATTTAAGGCAGAACTAATCTTTGCATTCCTGGAATCATTCTTTACAGCTGTTCAGTGTAAGCTTAAATTCTGTTAAAAAAAAAAAAAAAGCCTCTCTCTTCTTACTAAGATATCCAGTCCATAGTACCTCATCATGCGTACTCTCCCTTGATACAGCAAGTTAATAAAACTTTGTTTCACTGCAGGTATGTTCCTGATGGTCTTTATCTGATGGAATTTGTCAAAATTCCTAAGTGATGCCTTCAGCTTGCCAAACACTCCTAAAATGGAAAATGCCAAAAATTTAGGAATAAAGGAGTAGTTTAGCTGAAACAAGATGGGAGGAATGTGTGTACCTGATAAATATCAAATTCAGTCCCTTATCTTTCAAAAATAATCAAGTATAATTAGCTGCTACATAATAAGTTGCTAAATTCTGAGTTTTTCTGCCTCCTCCAAAGCAATTAACATATAATTCTCCATTTTGCTGTTTCTTAGTTGTGACTAAGGTTATCAGGTCCCAACTTTGCTCTAAACATTTCCCAACCCTCTCCATGTTCAAATATGACTATATTGCTTTATTCCTCCAGAATGTTCTTAACGCAAACTAATTGAGTTATTGTTTTTAATCTGGAACATTTTAAGTGCCATAGAACAGGCAGTCTGGATCATTCATTATAAATAGGATTTTACCGAGGGAGAAATGATGTTATTACAGAGCTACTCAGTGAATAGCATGAAGTTGTCATTTCAAATACAGTTGAGACAATACAAGTTTAAAATGCTTTCTCATTTCCCTTGGAAAGAGTAAACATGGAGGCAAGAAACAGCTTGCTACTCGCTATGGCTGAAATATGGTATGCAAATAAGTAATTGCTGAGTAAATTAGAGAAAAATATAGAGCATGCAAAAGACTTTAAACTTGATGTTGAGGCACAGAATATTCTATTAACATCTGTAATATGGAGGAAGATGTAAACTGATTTATGTTGCTGCAATGAGCAGAAGTAAGACTAATGAATAGCAGTTATTGTTAAATTTCTAGTCAACCTAATAATTATTTTTCTAATAGCTACAACTGTTTAGACAATAGGACAGGTAAATTAAACTGAGTTCCTCTTTCTCTCCAGAAGTAACTAAGTAGATACTTAATGCTATGCCTCAGGAATGCCTTAAAAATAATTTCTACTTTCAACAAAAAATGAAAGTTAACTTTAAATTCTATGATCATATGATATTCTCTGTTGGGATTCTAATAAACTAATCAGTGTATTAAGATGGACACAATTATGTCACCTTCACTAAGCAATGCATTAACATATAAGAGAAGCATTTTAGAGTTACAAAAAATAAGGACCATATGGCTTTAAGAACATTTGCCATGGTGCCATAAGCGGCAGGACAAGAGGAGAAAGATTTAACATCAAGGGTACTTTCAAAAAGTGAGCAGCACTATTTTTATAACAGCAAAGACATGGAATCAACCTAAATGCCCATCAACAGTAAACTGAATAAAGAAAATGTAGTATATATACACTACAGAATATTACACGGCCATAAAAATGAACAAGATCATGTCCTTTGCAGCAACACTGATGGAACTAGAGGACATTATCCTCAGTGAGCTCATACAGGAACAGAAAACCAGCTACCACGTTCTCACTTTTAAGTGGGAGCTAAACATCGAGTACATCTGGACACAAAGAAAGGAAGAAACAGACACTGAGACCTACTGGAGGATGGAGGGTAGGAGGAGGGTTTCAAAAAACTTTGTATTAGTTACTATGCTTATTACCTGGATTATGAAAGAAATCTGTACACAAAACTCTGATGAAACACAATTTACCTATATAACAAACCTGTACATGTATCCCTGAACCTAAAATAAGTTAAGAATAAAATAAATGTGATGTTGCATTCTACAAAACATTTCTTACTCTGCATAATTATAGAATAAATATAAATAATGCTAATTATATCAGAAAATTACATATATCATACTTTAGTAACAGATTAGTCTATCATCTAATATTATCAGAAGCAAACATTTGGAATACCTACTAACAACTAGGCTCTCCAAAATATTTTGTACATATTATCACTAACCAATCTGAAAGGCAAACATTATACTCATTTCACAGGTCACAAAAACAGGCTGAAAAAGACTAAGATGATCACAGGGCTAATAAGTGACAGGGTGAGCACTCTGTCTCCCCTTCCTATGGCATAATCATCTTAGTAGACAAACAGCTTAATGACTTAAAAAGTGTTACTTAAGTTTACATGACTTTCATATATTTACTAAGTAAGTAAGTATATTTACTTAGTACTTAGTAAGTACTAAGTAAGATGTGTTTCTTGGCCTCTTTCGGTTATCAAGGAAGACTTATTTTGTGGTTTAATAGTTTTTTTTCTAGTTACAAATGGGAAAATCCTGGTTTCTACAGTCAATTGCTCAAATGCAAGCTAATACTTCTGTCTGGAAATAAATATCATTAAAAAATTGGGAAAAAGGTATAAAACAATACAAATTGAAATACATTATAAAAATAATTTTATATTTAACTCAATAGATTGAAATAACTTTGAAATCTGACAAAATTGGAGAAAAGATGTTAAATATATCTGGTGATGACTCTATAAGACTTAACAGAATGGCAGCTGCTGTCACTTCCAATATTCTAGGCAGTATATATCCCATTTTCCATAGCAGTCACAATTTATACTGTCATCTTGTTCACAGTTCTTCAATATTTGCTACTCCTCTGAAGAACTGGAATTTCTTATAATTCTATGTTTCAGATATGAAAATTATATATTCTGGATTCTATTGTAATTTAATCACTTATCCATTTTTAGTGTGACTAAACAAGATATTTTATAAGAAAAAATTAACAGTAAAATGTAATTGAAGAAACAATGTTGATTCACTGTTACTACAGTCTACTGCCCTTGCAGAAATAACTATTTAAAATGTTTATGTGTGTGTGTGTGTGTGTGTGTGTGTGTGTGTGTGTGTACAGCGACACAAAGCATTGTTTTCTGGTTGTGAAATGCTGTCTCTGCTCCTTGAATCAAAAGTGATTACAAAATATACAGCGTGTATTCATATGCAAGAGTCAAGAAAATAAATATCATAAAAAGGCTTTTGTTTTATATTTTTTGTTATATTTTTTATTTCAATAGCTTTTGGGGTACAAGTGGTTTTTGGTGACATGATGAATTTTATAATGGTGAATTCTGAGATTTTAGTGCACCTGTAGCCCAAGTAGTGTACATTGTACCAATATGTAGTTTTCATCCCACATCCTCCTTCTACCCTCCCCATTCTGAGTCTCCAAAGTCCAGCTTTTATTTTTATAAAAGAAAATTTTATTTATAAAGCTGTTGAAATGAAATTAACGAGATTAATTTGGAGATTAGTAAACACTTGAAGAAGTTAAATAATTCTAACATACTTTTGTCACCTGAATGTTTAACATAAGAGATAGATTACTGAACCATCAAAATGACCAATGAAATGAGGTAGGCAACAGTTTCTAAAGAGCAAGCTAGTTAGTATTTAGGATTTGCAAATGATCTTTGACTGTAAAACCTAGGTGCTAGTCCAAATGATGAATAATACTGTTTACAAAAAAAAAGTTTAGATTTTAGACTGGGGTGAGCTAATTAATATACCATTATCTAAAAAATAATTTATTATAAAATTAATGCAACTAATTATCCAATTCTTCCACCAAGTAAAAGAGAAAGTAAGGTGTTGGGCAACATTAAATATAGTTATGTAAGTGATGGCTAGGGGGTAGGAGGAGGAGCAGAAGGATGGAGTAGAAAATGCAGTGAAATAAGAACACCTTCTATTTCTCAATTTGATTCCAAACAGCACTGGGAAAAGAAGGTTCTTTCTTGAGGCAAGTCATAAAAAGCAAGGCAAGTTGCATGGATTTGATCAGCCATTACTAAATGAATAGAAATATATATTTATATATAGTAGTATAAGAAAGCGAGTGAAAATTAGCTGAGATTTCAACAATTATTTTATAGAATATTAATACAGACAATATTCTATGTGGTCAAATTTGGGTACTTCCCATCTCCTTCCAAAAATATCCAACACTCCTTGCTGTCTTCCACGTGTGGTGGCTTTGCAATGTATTAACTTGGCTCAGCTAAACTACATTCCCCCAAATTCTTTTCTCTGTATGTTTTTGGTTAGGGTAGTGCTCCAGAAAATTCTTGTGGGGATTTTGGGGGTTAAAATGAAGAAGCCGCAGCCATTTCATTGTTCACACGCATTGTCATGTATCTGCTGACACATCTTGTTGTAATGATGCGGTGACTGGGCCTGTAACTGCTCCACCTTCCTTTAGATCTTCCTTCAGCTCCTCCAACACTTGGACCAGGTGTGTGCTAACTCCATGACAAAGCCTCCCATTGAATTCCATCATGAAAGATCAGAAGCAGTGGGAGCTAACATGGGTTCCAGTTTGTGCTTGTGGATTCCAGCTTTTTCTTGCTCTCTCTCATTTTACATCCATCTTACCTTCCTGGCTACTGGCCCTATGGACTTTCAATCTAAATGTCCATCATGAGACATGAAGATAGTTCAGTAGCCAAACACTCTTACAGAGACTGTTTAACCAGCTCTTAAAAATGCATGAAGTCAGATCCCTATAACTAATCTGTGTGTGTGTGTGTGTGTGTGTGTGCACGCGTGTGTGTGTGTGTGTGTGAGAGAGAGAGAGAGAGAGTTTGCTGGACTGCATCAACAAAGTACCACAAAATGTGTGGTTTAAACAACAGAAATGTATTGTTTATAGTTCTGGTGGCTGTAAGTTTGAAATCAAGGGATCTGAAATCAAGGTTGGTTTCTTCTGTTGGCTCTAAGGGAGATGCTATTCCATGTCTCTGTCCTGGCTTCTGGTGCCCTGCAGGCAATCTTCAGCATTCCTCGGTTTGTAGAGGCTTTACTCCTCTGTCACCTCTGCTTTCATGTTCACATGGTATTCTCCCTGTGCGCATGCCTCCGTATCCAAATGTTCCCTTTTTATAAGAACACCAGTCATATCGTATTAGGGACCCACGCTACTCCAGTATGATCTCATCTTAATGAATTACATTTGCGACTACCCTATTTCCAAGTACATTCACATTCTAAGTACTAGGTATCAGGACCTCAACCAATGGTTTTGTGTACAAACAATTCAACCCATAGCAGTCTGTATGCATATAACACATACATATACACAAATATACACACACACCACACATACGTGCACATATATATGCACAAAAACATGCATGTGTACACACACACACACATCTGGTCTGCTTCTTTAATTGAATCTTTGATTAAAGACCACCTATGTCATACAATGTTATACGTTCATGCCTTTGTTCAAGCTGGAAATATCTTCCTGCCATTTATTTCCTGTAGAATGCCTACTTTTACTCCAAAACCCAAGTCAAATATTACCTATAGAAGATTCCTTCCTTTTTACCAGGTCAACACTGGGGACAGAATTAATTACCATATGGTACATAGACACTAGAATAATAGAATCCTTCAGATTGTGAATGGTATTTTAAAATGTTCATAAAAAAAGGCAATCATCCAACATCATCTCTGACCATATTGTCGGTTTTTGGAGGATGAAGAACATGATTTATTAATATTGTGTTGAGAGCACTCTAGTTTTAGAAATCACAAATAGTTAAACAAAATCTGCTGAATTAAACACAAATTGGTCCAGTTGAGTATTTTTAAAACACCAGATTAATTAATTGCAAGCAAATCAAAAGCTATGTTTCTGACTCTCTACAGCCAGAATTTAACACATAATCTAAATTTTATCAAGCAGATACACTCAGGTAACAGTGCATAAACTGAGGTAACTTCTACAAGCAAAAAGATTGGATCCTGAGGAAAGCAGGAATAATGCAGAAATGCAGTTCCCCTCAATAAGCTAACGGAGTTTATAGCGTCTACTCCCTGGTGTCAGAGGAACTGAGCAAAAGCCAGGTTTTTAAGCTGGATGCTCTGTTTCTAGCTGTGTAACAGCCAAGCTTGGTTCTTTAACAAGAAGAATTTCAGAGCTACCTAATCTCTTTCACTAAATGCTACTCTGCTGCAACTTGTTATATGAGATCTTATTTCTCGCAAATAAAAACCCTGAAAGATGATCTATGCTAACAACTTTTTCATTCTCAATGATCTGAACCAAGAGACACCTCCTCTTCCAGATGATGAATATAAGTGTGGTTATTCAGGAACACTGGGTCATATTTAAGATGAGGTTCCAGGGGAAGTTGTGCAAGATAAACAAAGAAACACATTTACAGAGAAATGCAGAAAGAGGGAAAAGCATGAGAGAAACTAGTCTCCAAGAGACAGAGTGAAACATTTGCCTTACTTCTCTATTCCACTTTCCAAAGAACAAGTTTTATTTAACTATTTGTCTAACTTTATTCTTAAGTTAAAAGTATAACATACCCTTATTATACTCTTAGCAATTAAGTTCTATTTTCTCATGTTAGCTTTAGTGACCTACAACCTTACAATCTGAAGAAAGTGAACTAAACTACATTATCGTTTACACCATCCTGACTCGCTAATAGCTGAAACCTATATGAGATTTTCATTATGCTTCTGTTTAACTCTATTTTTTTTTTTTTTTGAGACAGAGTCTTGTTCTGTTACCCAGGCTGGAGTGCAGTGGCGCGATCTTGGCTCACTCCGCCTCCCAGGTTCACGCCATTCTCCTGCCTCAGCCTCCCGAGCAGCTGCGGCTACAGGCGCTCGCCACCACGCCAGGCTAATGTTTTTGTATTTTTTTTAGTAGAGATGGGGTTTCACCATGTTAGCCAGGATAGTCTCCATCTCCTGACCTCGTGATCTGCCCAACTCGGCCTCCCAAAGTGCTGGGATTACAGGCGTGAGCCACCGCACCTGGCCACTTCTGTTTATATTATACACATCGTATATGTATATGGAGGTATATACATATACAATGTATTGTATCTAATTATTTAACTCTAATATACGCATTGTATATATAAAAACAATTTTACTATTTCTAATGATAAGGAGAGAATCTCTTTCTGGAAGTTCCTATGGATTTTATTCTAGCTGCATAAGAAAAATAGGAAAACTTTTCTAAATAGAGAAATGTGTATTTTTAAAAAATGTTTTATATTCTGTCTTTTATCTGAAGATAATCATGCAATGCCATTAGGAAAAAAGTATCTTACAAATTTTAAATGTTTCTTCCTGTTAAAAGAAAAATTAGTAGAAATACAAGCAGAACCCAGGCATTGAGAGTATAAAGATTAAATTGTGATATATATTCATAACAAGCTATTACATACAAGCACAAAAATGAATAAATTACCAGTATATGCAATAGCATAAATGAATCTCCACAACATAATGTTGACATTCTGAAGTCATATGGTATTATCAATTTGTGTAATGTGTTAAAAATAAGCAAAATTAAACCACATTGATTGGGGGAACATAGAGAAGAGGCAAAACTATGAAAAAGGAAGAAATTGTTTCTTATAAAAATTAACATGTATAACTTCTGGCGGAAAAGAAGGATGAACGACCAACAAGGATCACAGTAGGAGATTCTGGGTGCTTACGATTTTCTATGTGTACCCTAAAAGGGGTCTCTGGATACTTACATGGATGTTTGCTTTTGTTCAACTGCATATGTACGTTTTATGCAACTTTATGTATATGTGTTAAATGCTAATTAAAACAAAAAGCAAAATAACTCTAATTCCTTGATGCCAATGATGTCTTAGAGGTGTTAAGTCCTATAGCGAGGACTGTGAATGTGAGTTCTTTCAGCCAAAACTTCAACTACAGTTTTTGGTTTGTTTTTAACTCTAGATACTCTCTCATTCAATCTTCCCTGTCCTCTACCCTGAGGCACAGATTGCCTCTATTTTCCCCATTCTCTGCTTTGGGTAGAGTCTCTTTGGACACACACTTTCTGTAACATCTGTTACGGTGTCTGTCTCTGCTTAGCTTTTTCCCTTAATCAGTGCCAAGGCTGCCCACAGCTCCTCCTTCCTACTGCACCCTGCCTTAGGCCAAGGTTAATTCCCTCAGCTGAGAAGCTGTGTTCCAGATAACAAGGAAGGGGTCCTATGACAGTCTTTCTTCAGCTCCACACACCCCCCACCCCAACCTCTCTGGCAGTTGAACTTGCTCTCTTCTTTGATATTACTCACTTATCCTGTGTCTAAGATCAGCAGATATGACTATGAGGGCTGAAAATCTCAGTTCTGATGTATGACATATAACCCTTCCAAAATTCAGAAGAGGTCTGTGTCAATTCTTGTCATTGTCTCTCATTTAGTATGAAAATCATATTTGGCAACTACTTTTTTCAAAATATGTGATGAAGCTTTAAAGTAATTGTCCCATTTCACTAGAAATTGCATCTCTCTCTCTCCTCTCTCTCTCAATCTCTTCATTGCTCTAGTCATTGTTATAGATCGAAAGATGGAAAGGAGTAAAAACGCTTTTATGGCAACAAATTTAACTGAAAATTTAACTAAAACCCTGAAATAGGATCATTATTCTCCTTTAATTCATGATGAAACAGATGGTAAAGTTTAAGTAACTTAATTAACATCAGAGCCAGTAAGTGGTAGAATTAGAGTTCAAAACCCAAGTTCATCTCTCTTCACAGCCTGTGCTTTTTACTACTATACAGAATGCCCACCAGGGATTGAATTAGCACATTAGAAGATGAGAACTTGCATTCATCTTCATCAGCATTACTGGCACATAGAAAGCTTTTTTTGGTCACTGCTATATTCCTAGTGCCCATGGTGGTAACGGCTTAGTTGTGATTTGCAGAAGAAAGAAAGAATAGAGCATATCAATCTATGCGACTAAAGCAGTGTTTAAATAACCCAGTAAACTTAAAAGAAAAGACTATGGACATGGCAATACGACATAAGTAGAGATTTTGGTTAATTAGAAACCTGTGTGTCATTTTGGTATTTGCCTGCTGCTTCCCTCTCCACAGCCCATCTACCAAGCTGCGTTAGTTCAGATGCCTAATATCTCTCCTAAGTGCTCTGATTCACTCAATCACCATACACACCTCTGTAACATAGGCGACCCCCATCTCCTGCCTTAATTCTTGCAACTGCCTATTGGATCCCCATTTGGGTTTTGTGGGTTTTTTTTCTGTTTCTTACCAACTCACTCTACATATTGTAGCCAGATAAATCTTTCTAAAACATGGAAATCTTGTGTTCCTTCCTTACTTAACATCTGTGGATAGATGCCCATTTGCCCAAGGGAAATTGTTCAAATGTACCTATGGCTGATAAGAATCTTTGTCATCTGGCCATGATTTAACTCTTCCACTTCACATTTCTATTTCACTACTTTTTCTCAAATTCCCAGAGGTGTGGTGCTCCATTTCATTATCTGAAATCAGCCATGCACAGTCTAACCTCCTGGTCTTGCCACATGCTGTTTCTATGACAGGAACACTATATGTCTCTTTCAGAGCTCTAATGCTCTCTAATACAATGGCTATAAACTGTATGTCTCTGCCAAGGGTCTACTCCATTTTAATTTTTTTTTTATCCCCATTGCAGCCAAAATGCCTTGAACAAAGTACACACTCAGTGGATGTATGAATTAAAACAGAGAAGATTTTGTATGTTTAAAAAATAAGATATTATTATATTCCTAAAGTCAATAAAAGAATAAGTGACTCCATTACACAGGCAAAAATTCATTTAAAAATATTACTGTATACTTTCATTTTTACAGATTAAAATAATAATTATTAAAGTTTACTTTGAATATGCCTATATTAAAAGAAGCTCAACACCTCTTATTTAAACAACCCAAATGTTAATAATTTTGAAAAATGTGATCATATATATATGTGTGTGTGTATATATAAAATCAAAATGACAACTAAGTTTTACAAATAGGGCTTTAGATCTAAATCATTCTTTACCACTAAGTAAAAAAAAAAATCCAAAAAGGAAATAATTTTATGACTTCTTATTTTTATAAACTACAAAAAAGCATGATAATCCTATAGACATGTGGTACATTTGCAAAAAATAAAAATACTTGAAATAGTAGTAATAAAGAGAATAGCTAGGAAGCTTTTTACTTTACTATAGTCATGGTACATGAATGACTAGCTGTCAAATTGTTGGTGAAACTGTACACACATAACCTAATGATCTTTCCCTTCCACTGCTGTCCAGATAAGAAAATTCCTGTATTTACAATCATTACTAGATTACAAGTTTCTCTTCCATCTTTTAGTGATCTTCAAAGCCATCACAGTACCTGGGAGACCACATTGCCCATATTCACAGTTGGGCAGCATCAACACTAAAGGGACTAGTTGCTCATCTCAGAATTCAGGAGTCATTTTTGCCCACTGTGTTTTCCCACCTTTGTGTCCTATCCGTCACTGAGTTCTTTTGATCCTGCCAACAATGTTTCTTGCTTCATGGCTTTTCTCTCCATCTCTACTACTGCAATCATCTCTAGGCTGGGCGTCTTCAATAGCCTCTGAAGTAGCTGTTCTTTATCTACTACTAAAACCCTCATATCCATAATCCGCAGTGAAAGGATAGTATTATTTTTAAAAACACAAATATTATTTACTTGGTTGTTCTCTTCCAACCTTAGGTATGTTTATTTGCTTTGATGCTGCATAAAGTACATCATATTTCCAGCTTTGATTGACATAAACTATATGTGCAATTCTCCCAAAGTTGATATGTACTATATCCATGACATAGATTTTATTTAAATTTTGTATTAAATAATAGTTGGAAAATAGTAATATTTGACCTAACCATAACATTAGGGATACAATCATTTATCATTCACATAAAACTTATAATGCATATATAATGTGACATAGGTCAATCAGTAGAAAAAGAATTAGTATTTAATGTTTGAGAAACATGAAGTGGTTATGTAAGACAAGCATGTTATACATTTTGGCATTCAATTTTTATCATAATTCCATATCTATTTTAATAAATGTGGCTTTTTGCAATTACTTATCCCTCATTAATTTAATTAGAGATATATGATATCTCTGCAAATACCTGAGCTAATCTCTTTTCTTCTTGTGGTTACGACTCCATCGATTTAAAGGTTTGTATTTTCTTTAACAGATTGCTCTGATCTCCTGGTCCATAGCATCGTATCAATCACACAATAGCTATAAAAAGACCTTCTTCCCATCAGGACCATCAAACATTTATTAGGCTTTTATATGTGTCCTTGCCCATAAAGTACTTAAGATATGTTACTTCAATATTGTTTACTATTTTTACTTGATAGAGGAACATACTATCACAATGTATTGCTTCAAATGCCCTCTTCTTTGAATCATTATCCAATACTCCATTACACTTGAAGTCTTTTCTATCTCCTACTGAGTTCCTGGCAATGAGCACTTCCTAAGGAGATTTGGGAGGTATCTTTACGAATTTAAATTCTAGTATCTTTTTACCATTTCTATTAGGATATCATTAGCATTTTAAGAGGCAGGATGGATTGCTTAGAATATGGATTTTGAAGCCAAGATCCCTAGGCAATCTCTTATAAGACACAAACAGTTTTCAATCCAGTATTTCCTTTACTTAATTTTATAAAAGAATGTAAGGCAGGTGATACAAAAAGTGCATCATCAATGCATTGGGAGTCTTAGCAACTACCCAAGTACACAGTTGTGTTTTTTGTTTTTTGTTTTGCCTCTGACACATATGAGATCTGCAAAGCTGTGGCGCATGGAGGTGGAAGCTGCAACCTTTATTTCCCGCCCCTCCTTTGCACTGTTTGAGTCATGCAGGTCTGAAGCCTAGATGCTTCCTCATAATTTCCCCAGTGCAGGTGCGGTTTCACTTCACAAACATGTCAACACAACATTTCCATTAATTTTTGCCATATGATTTCCAAGCAAACAGTGCTATAAGACTCTGAGATCATACTAGAAAGAACTTCATCAGCCCTGGCTAGGCTAGAAGTTAATTATTTATTCACAATTTATTATTTGATTTTGAAAAGAAACTATGGTTAAAATAGAAAATGTCTTCTTGTACTAAGTGGAGTATACCTTCACATTTAGTTAAAAATTGAATCTTAGATGTTTACAAGTGAGCAAATTCCTATATTGGCTTTTCTAATGATTCACTAGACAAAATTTTCTGCTCCAGAAATTTTCTTTGCTTCTCAAATTCTCATGGCTATAATATGTTCATTAGAAGTATGTAACTAGGCTATATTGACCTATGTTAGTATATGAATGGTCTTCGAGGAAGGAACGCATTAAAATGTCATCACCAATCAATAACATCTGATTATGTGTTTTATGATATGAATATACAAATAACATTCTTCTAACTAATGAGCTGTGAGCAAACTAAATGGCTCATAAATCAAAAAAATTTTGATGGAGTGGTTCCTGTTATCTAATGCTGCACAACAAACTACCCCAAAATTTAGGGGATTAAAACAACAATGATCTTATTATATTGCATAAATTTATATATCTGGAATTCAAATTATGCTGGGCTTGGAAAATGCTTCTAACCCATGTGGCATTGGTGGAGGTCGGTGGTGTTATTCAATTGCAGAGTGTCTGAGACAGTTTCTTGGCAAGGAGGGCTAGAAGACTGTTTTCATTGGGTATTATTAAAATTTTATGAAACAAAAAATACATAAACTTTATTTTTACTCAGACTTATTACATGAATAAGGAGCATTTACATGAAATGTTCTTTTCTAAGAGTTAATGCTCCCATAGCAATATCTTCACAAACAATGTTGGAAATGTCATGGTCTTTTACATCCTAACCTCAGAACACACAGATAATCTTTTCTGCCGCACTCTATCAGGTGAAATACTCACAGTCCTACCCACACTTACAGGGAGAATATTCAGGCTCCCTGCCTATGAGAAAAATGTCAAGGAATTTTTGTTTTAAAGTAGTAACAGGGGAATTGTGAAGAAATGGCTAGTGTGTACAACTATTTGGGACAGTATGCTTGAGTGAAGTGTCACTAGCCAGGAAAGGAAAGCATAAGGCACACATTGGCATACAGACCAGCATTCTAGGAGGTAGAAAAGTATGACTGACAAATTACCTGTTTAAACTTCCAATAGGCATAAAACTTACACTCAACAGAAACGTCTGTGAATATTAACAAAACAAAAGGCTCATTCCAGAACTGGACTGATAAGAAATTTTAAAAAGTAGTAAGCAGATGATTCAAATAATTGAATATTTTTTAACTCACACATCTAAAAGGAGGATTAAAATGTGTTAAGCTGCTTGTTTTGAGATTTCAGAGTTATATTTCCTCAAATGTATGTGCTTCATGAAATGTAGCTTAAGCCCCATCCAAAATACCAAAGATACCATAATGAATCTAAGCATTTGTGGATGCCAGGGCTTTTGCAATCATTTGTTATTTTTCTACAAACACATTTTATTTATGTTAATGGCAAGTCTTCAGCAAGCAATCTTATAAAGTACGGTTTTATAAAGAGACAAAGATTATATTTTAAAAATTGAGAGTGAGTTTCAAGAACAATGAAGGACAAGGACAGATCCCAAAATAGTTAGAGGGGAGAATACTCTATGGACCTATCAATTTATCCACAAGTTAATTAAGTAGTTTCCTTTCAGTGATACCCAGAGCTAATAATATTCACAGCAGTAATATAATTTGCAAACTCTCAACATTTTTTAAGTCTTCAATTTGTGCTAATAATAGCACAAAATGATTAGGAAAAAATCATGTTGAAATTTAAAATATCTAACTTCTTTGATGTAAGTTTATATTATGGAAATATATATATAAATTTAATATTAATAAGCATGCAATTATATATTTATAATATTGTATACAAGTTGTGTATACCTTACCAAAAATCCTTGGGACCAGAAGTGTTTCAGATTTTGGATTTTTTCAGATTTTGAAATATTTGCATATACATAATAAGATGTCTTAGGGATAGAACCCAAGTCTAAACATGGAATTTATTTCTGTTTCATATACACTTTAGACACATAGTCTGAATGTAATTTTACACAATATTTTTAATAATTTTGTGCATGAAACAATGTTTTGACTGCATTTCAACTGCAACCCATCACATGAGGTCAGGTCTGCAATTTTCCACTAGTGATGTCACTCAAAAGGTTTGGATTTGAGAAGATTTGGGATTTTGGATTTTGGGGTTAGGGATGCTCAACTTGTATTTATTCTCACTAAAATAAACAGTTCATATAATCAGGAATTTCTTCTGTTTCTCTACTATGTCTTAGTTACTAAAAGAGTGTTTAGCACATGGTAGGGTTCAATATGCAGTTATTAAATTGAAACAGATTCTACCATTGTAATGTCTTCAGGTCATAGACACTGGTTTGCCTGCCATCTAGGAAACTTATTATTTTAATCAATGTGTGTGTATGTCCATAAACACATAGCTTTCCTTTTTTCTAGTCATTTATCTCCTTTTCAAGTGCTGTCTTTTCTTCTTTGGTTAATATCCAGTCATACTAAATAAGGATTAATTATCTTTCTCCTACTTTTATTGTAGCTGTACTAGGAGGCATGTATCTCAAGCTTAGGAAATATTTTTAAACTTTTTAAAACCATTTAAATTTACCAGTTCATTCAATTGTATAAATATAAAGCAAATGCAATTTTCTAGATTAATAAAAAAGGATCAACTGTACTTTGCAAGACATTTTTGGGATGAGGATAGACATCCATAGAAGAAACAAGTTAAAAGGCCCTCACATAAGCTACAACCAACCACTCAGTCATTAACTTGGTATTCTCATGCCATTAAACCACTTAATTAGGCAGGTCTTTACTGAATAGCTGTGATGTTTTCAACATCACTTTAATCACTATGGCAAATAAAAACATATAGTACAACTTTGAAGACTACATTCTGAGGTATTTAATTAGCAGAGAACAGTGTAAGACAAGATATTCATATCTGACTTCAGGAGTTCTGAGAATGGGGAGAACAATAAAGACTAGGGCATCAAAAAAATTTCAGAAAAGAAAATCCATGATCTCATTGTGTAGAAAAGAGGCAAAGAAGATAATAAATGGATGTTTCAATTTAAAATTTTATCTCATTTACCATTCTCTTTCGGTCAGGATCATGGAGTTTCTGTAAACATTAAAGCAACTACATATATTAAAAAGTCTTTGCCAATCACAGTGGCTCATGCTTGTAATCCCAACACTTTGGTAGCCCAAGGTGGAAGGATGACTTGAGCCTAGGAGTTCAAGATCAGCCTGGGCAATGAGGGAGACCTCGTCTCTACAAAAACGAAAAAAATGTTTTATAAAAGCTTGATTATGGATCCAATCTACACAATTATTTTATTCCTGCCAATGATTTTGACATTGCCACCGGCAAAAACAGGTAGTTATATCAGTTGATATTATTTTCTAAGTATTGAGTTGATATGGCCTGATAATAGTCTTTGTACCAATTATATAGTGAAATATATACCTAGTATATTCCTAGAACTCTGAAGAAAACCTACACCGATACCTAGTAAGAGCATGAAATACCTAGCATATTCCTGTTCTTACTAGGTATCAGTGTAGGTTTTCTTCAAAGATAAACAATATATGGGAATACAATTCCATGTTCCCTTGTTTGTTAATACCCTTGTTAGGAACTATTAAAATTATCTCTCTTACTTAAAAGTCTTCCTTGCCAGCTGTCAGAGGAATATAGAATAAAAATTTCATCAAATTTATAATTACTGTATTTTGATCTTTCTTTACTTTTCCCTTTTCTATGGGGATGAATCAATCTCTATATCTCAAACAGATGTTTTATACAGGCTTGCGAAGCCATATTCCCATAGGTCTCCTCCTGGGTTCTATTCCCTAAGGTCTGAGGCAAAATAATTTTTCAAATAGCTCAGCAAGAATAAGATGGAAGATAAAGAATTTTCATAAATTTCATTTGTCTACATTTTGGCCTTCTATTCCTTTCTTTTATTTTCTATTTCCAAAGTTTTGAATTTCCAGTAGACGGCTGTGTATATTACAAATAAAAGAACACCATATTTTTAAAACATAATGTACTAAACATTTAAAAGTTCTTAGTACCAACACTTGACACTGCACAGGCAATGGGTATATTCAAGGGTATGTTGATGGACTCATGCATGTTACTGTATTTGCTACAAAAAGAACTATGGAAAGATTGCCTAACAATGAGACTTAAATATTGCATCAATTGTGTCACATTAAATCTATGGCTATATATGAGACCACAGTTCCTCCATCTTAATTCTAGTTTCTTAAATACAAAAAATTACTCTGTGGGCGAGAGACAAAATCTTTTTAATTTAAACAAGCACTGAATGTTTTATATTTCTTAATTTCTGTGATAGGAAGAAACTATTTCTCTGCTATATACTAACATCTTATTGACCTATCTTTTTCTTACCCCTTGGCAAGCCAAGGAAATTAAATTGCCAAGTGGTTTTTTTTTTTTTTTTTTGAAATTTCTGTTTGGTGACATTAAAACTTCCTCTAGGAATACACCCTACACGTTTTCCATTCAGGTAGGAGTCAAGGCCTCTGTAATCAGTATTCTGTTTTATTTTTGCAGAGATCATCTACTTATGGATACTCATTAAAGCACGATGAGTCAGATATGTTCTAGGGTATATTTTAAGTTAATTACATTCTGAACTCTTACCTTTGCTTCTTTAGGCATAAATTTTAAAAGTGTATTTTTTTTTATTTTTTAGAAAACTTTCTTAAGCTCCTTTTGAAAGATATTTCCAGAGGAAATGCATCTGACTTAGGATCTGAATATAAAAGAGAAATATTACATCTTGCAAACTCTCTACCAGGGGTAAAAAATAAACATTATTTTATTATGGCAAAGGGTACATTTCAAGGTCACTGCCTTGCTTTGCTTTTGAAGCTTGTTTAGCTGCTAGGAGAATACACAAAGATTCAAATGCTGCCTTCTTTTAAGTGACACTGGGTATAAAAGTATTTGATCAGAGAGAGAGTACAGACTCAATAAGGAAGCCATGCAATCTGAATTTGTAATGCTTGACAACAAAACATTTTACTGTAGTGTAAATAATATTATGTGTGCAGACTTTTCATTTTAATGTCAGAGACCATATTTTCTATTTAAGAAAGACATGCCAGTCTACATTGAAATGTGAACTCCTTTTTCTATTTAGGAAACTCGAAGATTTGTTTTCCTATAGGACACTAAGTTCCTAACCCCAGAGAGTGAGGTTCAACGAATTCAATGGTTTAATCTCTAGTTAGATGTATGGGAAATCTGCTGCCTCAATACTAATTGCATTCAGATATCATATCAAAATAAATAAAATCATTAACACTGAAATACAGTATTTTGGCAATTTACTAACTCAAATAAGGACAGTATTCGAAGCACTTGGTAGTGTCTCTCAGAAGAGAAGAAACTAATAAACTAACAAAACACCCTTCCATGTTTAGTGAAAGCAGGGCAAGTAGCGTTTGTTTTGTGATTTTAAAGACCGCTTTAGTCAAAAATACCTTCTTTTCCAACATGCCTTTCAATCATGATACCTAAAATCTCCATAGAAAACTCTTTGGGCTTAGGAATTTAATGATCTATTAAGAGCTTTAAATTTAACTAATAGGATGGCCAAAGAACTGGTAATTGAGACCCAGATTGTAGTCCTGTCACCCAGCAGTCTTACAAAGCCCCTTTGAACATCTCTATCTCCATGTGTAGTATGTGGTTATAGGAGACAATATATAAGAACCTATTTAGCTGTCTAGGTTTAAACTTCTGTGAGTCTATGATAAACCTAAAAGTATCTAGGATTGTTAATTTCCACATAAAGATTGCATTAGTCATTAGCATCATGGCTTAAATTATTTGATTAGATTAGCAGAAAGTAGTTGCCTGGTGAAGTAGTGGGGGAATGCATTAGTGACAGATGATACTACAGATGAATGGCAGGGATAGCAATTAGATTCACCAAAGGACATGCCTTTTATCCTGAGTCACCAAATAACATAGAAGATACACAAAATTATTATCATATTGAGCTCCATAACTTACAAATCTCTCCATCTACATATATATATATGTTTGTAAATATACATATATATTGTTAATCGTGTGTGTGTGTGTGTGTGTGTGTGTGTGTGTGTGTTTGTAATTATAAGAACAGTATTCATTTTCCCCCATGGTATATTCTAGATCAAAATATGTTTCTTACATGAATGACTAATGGGATCAATGGGTAAATTAGTGTGAAAACTTGGATGCACAGATATGCCTGAATGAGAGAAAGCCTAATAGACAAAGCTGTTGGCTTTTTCATTGCTCAGTCCTTAAGATAGCAGGACTTTCAAACGGGGACTTTGTGAGAATACTGGTCAATTTCAAAAAGAAAAAGAGAAGTAATTCAGAAAAACATCTGATATTGATTGCAAGCTAGAGAGCAAGTGAATCACACAATTCTCTAAAAGTGAATGATGCTATTCTCCAATGAGAATAGTCAAACATGAAGTAAGACTGGCAACTAAATCAGCTCTAATTAAAAGTGTGATGAGCATGAAATTTGTCTCTGGGCCTCTCCCTCCTACCTCTTTCCCTCCTTTCTGTGCTGTGCTATTTTCTCGGTTTTTGTGGAGTCTTCTATAAATTACCAGGTGTCCATCTCAGGTTGTATACACTAAAGTCCTAGTTGTCTATTAAAGAATTAAACAATATGTTTCTAATGATTTGAGGGACATGGAGACTTCTCAAAGACTTGTAAATCTTCAACTGTAGAAATAATGACTCTAATTTTAGGGCCTGCAGAGAAGCACTGATGGAAATATTTTGGTGCAAGGAAACCCTCATTGATCCTCAAAACCTCTATGTACAATAAGTGTACACTAACTTGTACTGAACTCAGAGTTATGGATGATAATATTGGTGGTTTCTAATTACACAGCAGAAATATCATATATATCTTTGTTAACATGAAGAGTACCTAGCACATGATAGCAATTTAATGATTTTATTGATTCAGCTTAGCTTTAGTGCTCATGGAACAATGTAGCAGAGAGATCACAGGCTGAGGGATAGCTGGGAATCTAAGTTCTATTTCATATGTAGTGACTAAGTAATTTTGAAGCCTTGGGACATCAATTAACCTATTATTTTTCTTCATTAAAGTGTTTATTTGTTAGAGTGTATTATTAAAAATAAGATATTCTTATCAAAGTTATTTCACAAATATAAAGAAATTAGCACTAGGACTAGCTTTATTTAAAATGTCCCCAAATAATAACTATTTTTAGAACAAAATTAAATTATCAAGCAGTATGTTTCATCACAGTATTTTTTGAAATGCTTTGCATGTAGTTTAAACTGAAACAAATACTGCATACCCACCACAGGAGCTAAGATGTAATGCCAGTAGAATGGAAAGGAAAAGAAAAAGTTATGAGAAAACATTGAAAAAGATAAAAGGGAAAAGAGAAGAGAAAGGAAAGAGGAAGCAGTAAATGGAGGGCAATTATATGGAAGAGTGAAAGAATATCTGTTATAACAGACTTACTCCTCTCAAGATTTTTAAACTTCCCTGGCATAGCAAGGGCCTGGACCATAGAAGAGTCATAAGACATAAGACATAAGAGATGAGAGTCTCCATCTCTCAAATACACTGCTTAAAAGACAAAAATTTTTTCTTTCTTCCTTCAAAAAGGACATCAAAATGTAGAAATTGACCTACTTTATTTTAGTCCGTAGCAACACTGTATGGAAAAATGCTTTGGCAGTATATAAAAATAATTCAATCAGTGATTCTTTACATATGTCTGATTCTATTGGGAAGAAAATGAAAAGCAAGTTTGAAGAGTTTCAGGAGTTTGCCTTATGGTTCTATATGGTGTTTAATATTTGATGAAAACAGGAAATTCATGTCAAAGATGTTTTTCATCAATACTGTATTTGTTTGCATAAAAAATCACTGTTGTAATATATTGAGAATATTGTACTGTGGTTACAAAAGAATAGCATCGTGGTTGGAATATAATGTCTTGAAGTCCAATTGCATAGGAATTTTGATGGAGCCATTTGCTCACTGTAATCTTGGGCAATTTTTTAACCCCTTTTTGTGCTTTAGATTCCTCATTTTTAACATGAAGTTTGTAGTAGCATTGTGATACTTAGGATGAGTCAATTTGTACAAAATATTTAGATGGTATAAATGTTTAATAAGTATTAGCTTTAGTTTTGAATTTATTTTTAACTAGAATTTACAAAAGTTAAATTAGGGTTGAATTTATTTTGATACTGTAAGTGATATATAAATATATGCATACATATCTACCTCTCAAATCGAATTTATAAATGTGGAATATCAAAAATCATACTAATTACTTTTTAGTATATCATAGCTTCAATAAAGAAAGATATTAAAAGAAATGAAATAATTCTTACCTTGTTTCTTTGTTGATATTTTTATTTATGTGAATTTAAAGAGAATGCATAGCTTTTAAACCTAGTTCTTATCAGCTGTATCTTTATAGCTTCTTCCCCATCTAGTAACTTGAATTAGTAGATAGAATTGTTAGTTAAAATTTTTGACTCCTTTACCTTTAATTTACTGCTCATTTTGTGTTGAACTATAATTACTCAATTTTAAAATTTTTTTCAGTTCTTATTAGTGTTGAAAGAAAATCATTATCATTCCATTTGATTTCATTTGCAGCAGAATTTTAATACATAAATGTAACAATTTCATAAAACAGATGCCCACGAAGTGTTTTCTTTATGCATTTTATGTATAAAATCACAAGCTTATTTTATGTATATTGATGGGTAATGAGAAAATCTAATGTCAGTGTCTCAGGATAAATCCTTTTTTAGACTATTTAAAAATAATCAAAGTACTAAAACTCACAATAGCGTAAATTTAAAACAAATGCAAAATGCAAAACTTTTTCTTAATATGTTATAAAAGACACAAGGAAAGGAAGCTTGTTTACCATGTACTTCTTTCCATTGATTAAATCACAAGGAAGCAATATTCTTAGGGGTTCATTAAGGATTTCAGATTAAAGAAGCACTGATTACAGATATGTATGCAAGCCATAATTGATTTCTGAAATGAGCTCTCTTTGCTGATGAAACAAAAGCTACTGATTTCCTTCTGTTTAGTAACCATCCTTTTGCTCTTCTGCTATTTCTGCATCTTCAATTATTCTATAGTACTACCAACCTAAATCAAAATAAAGTAAAATAAAAGTGCTTTTCAAATAAAGCCTTTAGATAACCTACCTGAACAATATGAAAGAAAAAAAAAACAGAAAAAAATCCTAAAGATTGCTTAAACAAGATAATTTTTTTGCTCTTTGCCACCCCCTCAATACTCAACAAAATTTGTCCAGTTGTCTAATTCAGATCTTATGGAATACAACAACTAAGAAAGGAAGGAAATAGGGTATAGAGTTAGTTTCGTCACAATGTTCTTCCCCAGCTGATATCAAAATTTTCAAAGTGACTGTGGAAATTATCTTGTTTGATCACGGCTACTATTACAACTTGATCAATTCAGTCAATGTCATTAGAAAGCATGTTTTGCTGTCTTCACACTGCTCTTAAACTCTAAATAGACTGCACACAAACATTCTTTGCTCTGCTGTAGCCCCAACCTAGAACAAAGTTATTGCTTACCTTTCATTAAACATTGTACAGTTACTTGCTTGAGCAATGATGGAGAACCAGATTCCAAATTATCCAGAAGATTCTAAAATTAGTTTCTAATTGCCATCCCAATGCATTTGCTCTCTTCAACACAAGTAAGTAAGGTTATATAAAAAATATAAAAGTAAATGGATTCAATTACATCTCTATATTTTCAGCAATGTCTTCCAAGTTCTAGTTTCTCTGAACAAGACTGTCAGGGTATGTTCTACATAACACAGCCTGGCCAATGGTGCAGAAGCCAAGAGCTATAATGCAGCCTCTGCCTTCCTTGCCAGTTGTGTTCATTGAGTGATGTGGCTACATCTACCAGAAGAGACCTTTCTTTTCTTCTCATTGATATACCCAGAACAGGTATCATTTTGCAGTTCTTCAAGGAAAGGTCACTTTTTGTTCTTTAATTTGTGTATAGGCCCCAAATGCAGATGCTGAGACTTTGCAAAAATTACCAGTTAAAAAACAAAAGTGTTAATTTCTTTTTTATGAGCAGCAGCTAGCCTAGTGCCTGTAATAAATAACAGTTTAAAAAGTGAATAGATGACAAAATGAATGAATTAATAAATAAAACTTTACCCTTAATGTCATAAGAATGAATGAAGGAAGGATTGAATAGAAATATTACCCTCTAAACTTGGCTTTTTATCCTAGCTCTGAACATCTTTGGCAAAATTATTTCTAATAGGACATCTATTATTTCTCTTATTTCATTGAAATATTTTGTCTTGTTTTTATAGTTTTCTACCTGATTATCTACAATCATTGCATAAAATATTTTGCATTGAATTTCATAGATTAATTAGGTTGTTTTAAGTTTTGGCTAGTAACAACTTTGTTGAAATAAATGTATTCTAATTATTTCTTTAACTAGCAAGTAGGAGACATTCTTAGCTATGGATTTTTGAGTTTAGAAATACATGAAATTTTAACTTTAAAAAAATTCTGATAATTTTCTTTGACAAAGGTAATACTGGAAATTATTAATATTTTTAAATTTTTTCCAAATTATATGATGCTATTTTAACTTACATTCATTGACTTACCTATAAATTTATGCATCCTTAAGCTAATTTGTATGTATACTGTGTATTCATTTCCATGTTCATTAAATTAGTCATATTTTTCTAATGCATTTGTATATGGCCTTTCCACAATCCTTGAAATTCTGCAGGAGAAATAGGCTGATGCCAGTCAGAGCTTTATGTAGCAACTAACAAAACAGTAGTAACTCTTGGAAGAAAGAGATGGTGAGTCTCAGTGTTAGAGGTAGAAGTTCTGTTAATGCTGAGATGTGAAGTGACATATTATTCATTTTTAGCTAACTATTTGACTAGCTTATCACTATAGAAGGGCAAAAACAAAATAAAATAAATTGAAATCAAATGTAAATTGCAATGAGCTGCAACTCTTTCTGTCCTTAAGGAAGGCACAGTGTGAGGTTAGGATAGAATAGAAATCCCAATTTTGTTTAATGTAGTCCTTTGAGTATCCCCCAATTTTGAGACAAAACCAGAGATGAAAGGCAGAAAGAAACAGTTTCAACGGTTGACACATTTTCTGATGCCCCATTTTCATGTGGCAATATTAAAACCCAAAGCACAAAAGCACCTCAGTGATTCTCACAATGCATGCAGTGAACTCAGCTGTAGTTGAAACCAGCCTGCGTCACCAGTAACCATCCACTTTTTGTTTGTTTTATTTGTCAAACATAAATGAAGACACAAATACAGTAACTAACAATGCCATCAATTTCATTAAACATACTCAATTGACATACATAACATGTTAATTCTTATTATTTAAGCAACTTTTTAGTTTTTTTTTCTCTCCACATTTAAAGAAAGGGATATACTTTACTAATATCTTTTGTGTGATAGCTCTGCTTTATACAAAAACAAGCCTCTTTTAAAATATGAAGGGCTAAGTACCTGGGGGGTATGTCTCTTATTAATATATAAACTATAAAAGCTTTCTATTTTCTACTTTCTTTCCATAGTATTCCATATGGAAATACTGGCAAATGAAGTTCTTATTCTTATGACTTTGTTTTATCTGTTTAAGAAATGTTCTCTGAATTATTTACTTTGTATTCTCTATTTAAAGATTGATGTGCTACCTTTTGAAGCATGTAGTTAAGGCCATATTTTTCCTGGAGTTTTGCATACTGAGCATATATCTTCTGGTAAGTTGCAACTTTGTTCTTTTTTATGACTTTTATGCATTGTTATTCCATTAGTACAAAGCTAGCTATTGCTACAAATGTCCCACAGAGAGAATATTTCAGTGACTTTCTTGACAATGGTGAAAAGCCTTTGTTGAGCATTTATTCTGCCTCCTCATTCTACGCTTTTAATGTCACTCTCTGTGTTCCAGTCTAATTCACATTGGGTTATTCTTATTCTTTGAGTTTCTAATCACTAGCTCTTGTATCTCTCAATTATACAAATCTGAGCACAGCTTCAATTTGGACTTGCACCAGCTTCATCTGTAACTTGAGTTCAGATGCAAAATAATTTTTGATTTTTGCTACAATCATTACCTTATTGTCAGCCTCAGATAAAGTTGTGAGAAATTTGCTGCATAATTCTGTGAGGATTTTACTTAGAAAAAAAATAAATTTTGTTTAGAATATACCTGTAGGAAAAGATAACATTTAAAAAGTAAATTTGGTAGTTAGTTTGAGGTTTAGGACATGCTACCCCAAAATACAGCATGTTGGCATTTGAAAGAATAGCAGAAGTAGAAAGGCCACTCTCGCCCTTCCCTCTCCCTTCTCTCCCAAAGTAGGTTGTAAAACCTAGAAAGATCACCCTTTGTCTTTCTCTCCCTTTTTCCCTTGAAGCAGGTCAGAAGACTCCCATTCTAGAAGTGCCCTCCCGGTAACCTGAGGAAAAAAAAAAAACATGCTTATCCCTGAAGACACAGGAACACAGAGAAAAATCTGAACTAGCAAGGCTTCCTAAGTTCCCCTCAGTTTCTTATCATTAGATCATACAATTTTGTCCTCCAATCATATTTCTCTACACTTGTACATTCTTCAACAAACCTAGACACAAAAATATACATTAGCCTTTTTCTTTGGGTCTTGAGTTCTTAAGACTCCTGTGTCACATAAGCTTATATTAAATAAATTCATATGCTCTTCTCTTGTTAATCTGTCTTTTGTTATAGGGGCCTCAGTCATGAAACTAACATGGGAAGAAAATATATTTTCCCTCTACAATAGAAGGTAAAAGTATTAAAATGTCTACCTATTAATAAAATTATTTAAGTGTAATGAATATTTATTGCTGCACTAATCTGCAATTTGTGAAAACATACACTACGATGTTTCTATAATTTCATAAGGTAAGTAATAACACCAGAATGTTAATAAAAACTTCTTCCTATAGAAAACCTCTTTGAGGCTAAGCAAAGCACATCGGGCAGTGGGGAAAAAGAGAACAACTGTTGGAAAACCATTTGTTTGTTTGTTTTCCCCAGCACTTCAAAAATATTCCCCATTGTCTCCTGACTGTATAATTTTCCACAATGTGTCTATGAATTCTCATCTTTGTTCCTTTGTATGGAAGTCATTTACCTCTGGCTACTTTAAAAATATTATCCTCAGTCAGGCACAGTGGCTCACACCTGTAATCCCAGCACTTTGGGAGGCTAAGACAGGAGAATCACTTGAGTCCAGGAGTTCAAGACCGGCCAAGGCAATACAGCGAGACCTTGTCACTACAAAAATATTAAAAACATTATCTGGGCTGGGTGCGGTGGCTCACACCTGTAATCCCAGCACTCTCAGAGGCCAAGGTGGGTGGATCACTTGAGGCCAAGAGTTCCAGACAAGCCTGGCCAACATGGCGAAACCCCGTCTCTACTAAAAACACAAAAAATTAGCCTAGTGTGGTGGTGTGTGCCTGTAATCCCAGCTACTTGGGAGGCTGAGGCAGGAGAATCGTTTGAACCTGGGAGGCAGAGGTTGGAGTAATCCAAGATTGCACCACAGCACTCCAGACTGGGTGACAGAGTGAGACTCCATCTAAAAAAAAAAAAAATTATCTGAGTGTGGTGTTGCACACCTCTAATCTCAGCTACTTGGCAGGATGAGGTAGGAGGATCTCTTGAGCCAGAGAGGTAGAGGTCGCAGCAAGCCAAGATCCTCCCACTGCACTCCAGCTTGGGCAACAGAGGGATAGCCTGTCTCGAATAAAGAAAAAAGAAAAAAGAAAAGAATAAAAATATTCTCTTTGACACTAGTTGTTTTCAATTTCATTATGATGTTCTTAGGAGAGGTTTTCTTTGTGTTTATCCTACTTGCCTTTCTTTAAGTTATTTTTGTATCTACAGATTTATAATTTTTATTGAAATTAAAAAGTTTTCTGTTATTATCTCTTCAGTTTGTTTTTTCCATGTCTGCCTGTTTGTTTCTACCTCTCTCTTCCATCCACATGGTACAAACTCGATATGTTAGACAAACTTGGTATTGTACTAAACAACGAGACTCTGTTACTATTTTCAGGCTTTTTCCTCTCTTTGCTTCATTTTGCATAGTTCCCATTGCTGTGCTTTCAAGTTCAACCATATGTTTTTCTCCATTATGTAATCTATAATTAATCCCATCAGTGAATTTTTATTTCAGACATTGCAGTTTTTATTTCCCTTTAATTGCTTTATATTTTACTTTTATCTCATTATGTTCAAATCTTACTTTAAATCTTTGAGCATATTTTAATATTTATTTGTCTATAAATTCTATCATCTTTCTCAATTTTGGATGTATTTTTATTAAGTCATTTACTTTTGATTTTTGGTCTTAAAATGTTGCTACTTCACATGTGTAGCATTTTATTATTATTATTATTAAGTGCCAGACACAGACATGGTGAACATTACGTTGTTGACTGGATTTTGTTCTATTATGTTAAAGGATATTGAAGTTTGTTTTAGGAGGTGTATTATTCTGTTCTCATGCTGCTATTAAGACATACTCAAGACTGAGTAATTTACAAAGAAAAGAGATTTAATTGACTCACAGTTTCATGTGGCTGGGGAGGCCTCACAGTCATGGTGAAAGGCAAAGGAGGAGCAAAGTCACGTCTTGCATGGTGTCAGGCAAGAGAGCTTGTGTGAGGGGATTCCCCTTTATAAAACCATCAGATATAGTGAGACTTACTCGCTATCACAAGAACAGCATGAGAAAGACCCACCCTCATGATTCAATCACCTCCCACCAGGTCCCTGCCGCAACAAGTAGGAATTATGAGAGCTACAATTCAGGATGAGATTTGGGCCAGGACACAGACAAACCATATCAGGAGGCATTTATGTCAATTGCAGGTCAAGTAGATTCTTTGATATCCTTTTTGAAAATTTTTGTTAGGGCCAGGCGCAGTGGCTCATGCCTGTATTCCCAACAGTTTAGGAGGCCAAGGCAGTTGAATCATTTGAGTCCAGGAGTCCAAGACCAGCCTGTACAACATGGAAAGGCCACATCTCTACAAAAATAAAAAAAAAAACACAACAAAAATTAGCAGGGCTTGAGCCTAGGACATCGAGGCTACAGTGAGTCGTGATGGCACCACTGTACTCCAGCCTGGGAGATAGAGCGAGACCCTGTCTCAAAAGAAAAAAAAAGTTAACGTGAATCTAGTGTACCTTTATTTTACGAATAATTTAGCCCACTACAAAGATATGACCATCTGAGACCACTGTTAATAAACAGTCCCAAGTATTTACTGAGATCTCTTGAGTTTGGCCTATAAAAACTGCAACAATTCTAAGCCCAGCTGAATGATTGGTGCATGGCTTCTTAGAAAATGTTCTTCGCCCTACAGTTGTTCTTTGCTCAGACTTGTGGAATTTCAACTCATGTATGTGCAGATTTGTATTTGGCTGGTTTTTAACAAATCCTTATGGATATTTCTGGAATTCTTTCTCTACATAGCTCCCTTATCTCTGGTTCTTTATCCCACACATCTCAGCCATCTCTGCCTTCCCAAATCATACTTCTCCTCCTCAATGGATATTTTGCTCTGCTTGTTTCTTTCAGTGTTATCTTGAAAGAGCCTTCAGGCAGAAAGTCAAGGCAAAGTTGGAGGGTTTATCTAATATGTTTATTCTCTTATGAATCACAATTTTGCCTCTCCTGTCGTCAGTCCTGTGTGTAAAAACAGCTATTTCACATATGTAGTCCAATTTTTAAATTGTTTGTAGTAAAGGAAAATCTAATACCAGTTAGTTAATTTCTCATGGTCAGAAGCAGAAATCCTCCTTGTTTTGCCATTTTCTTTTATTGTTGTTTTCTCTAATTTAGTTAAACATGGAATTTTCTCTTGAATCTAATTTTAACCTATTAATTTTTCATTTAGTAACATAATAAGAAAAGGAAGATGCATTATGGTAAGTTTTTGCTTACCATACCATGACAGTATTGTTGTTAGGTGAGACAGACCTGCCTCGGGCTACAGATTGACTGCTTTTAGCTTCAAATTTATTTTTGATTTTAAATCTGCTTGTGTCCCCAGATTTGCCTTGGACCAGTGGCTACTTGAGTCATGTTATTCTCATGGCAGGCCCCTGGTGCACAAGAGGTCAAGCCAACTGTTCCAGGAGCATTTAACAACTCTTTTCTCATCACACTCAACATCATTTCATTGGCCCAAACAGGTAATATGGCCAATCCCAAAGTCAAGTTGTAGGAAAGTAGATTCCTCCTACCATGAAATATGATACCAACCCAAAATTGGAGTGAAGAATTGCAGACAACATTTCCCAAGACATTAATGGGTTTCTGGCACATTTATAATAGCAAAATTAAGATAGCCAGCACACATACCATATTGCTCTAATATTTTTCTTTGCTTAACTTAATATGCAGTAGACAGTTGAAAGGGACTTAACAGTTTTTTAGCCAATAACTTCATTTGATAAATGGAGAAATTGATGACCCAGAGTATTGAAGCACTTTTCTAAATTGGCATGGTAAGTCATTGATATCGGATGTGGAGATAACTGACTGGACACTGCTTCTAAATTCAATGTTACATTTACTTTGTTATGCTATTTATATTAACTTTCATTATTCCAGTGCATTTCTATCAGACAAGATTCAGGCAGGAAACAGATGGCAATCTCAAAAGGGTTTAACAGAAAGTTAAATGAGTTTAAAGAGAATGTAACAAAGAAATTCTTAGCAGAGATGGGAGCAGTTTTACAAAATCAACAAGAAATATTTAACAACTGCTGGAGATATCACCACTCCCAGGTCTGAAGGAACAAAAAGTGGCAACAGGATTCTAGAATCTAAAAGAGCTGAAGACAAGGGGAAGAGCTTTAGCCTTAGAAAATTGCAACTTGAGCAGCATCCCAGAACGGAATCCCTACCGTGAGAAAGGAAGGGAATGAGGGGAGTAATTACCTAAAAGCCTGTCTGTCTCTTCCTGCTCTTCAATTTCCTGTCAGTTTATCCCACTGACTGAACACAGCTGAAAGCCAGTAGGTAAGGGTGTGCCTGTGAGGTAATCAGAGAGGTCAGTTTCTGGGCTCGGTGCAGAATAGAGAGGAATAGAAAGAGGACAGATGGGATACTGACCTGTGATGGAGAATAACTAGTAATGCCTCAATGCTTAACTTCATGTCATTTACAGAATATTAATGGTGGATTCACTTAACACATGTTTATTGAATCACTATTGTGTGTCAGGATAATTTTCAGGCATCGAGAGTGTGGCATTGAACAAAACAGATGGAAATTCTTTGTTGGGGTGTATATTCTGAAATGAACTCAGTCTGCAAGCAACATAAACAAGTAAAATTATATTATGTTACATGATGATAAATGCCAAGAACAAACAAACAAATCAGGGAAGAGAAATAGTAAATGTCAGGGTGCCAGGGTGGAAAAAAATCAGTGAAATTTTACAATACAGTGGGCAGGGGAACCTCACCAAAAAGACAGCATTTGCTTAATGACTTGAATGAAGTAAGGGATTGAACAATTTAAGTATTTGTAGAATATTCTAGGCAGAGAAAATAAACTTGTACAAGCTGTAGTGTAGTATGTTCAAGAAACAGAAGGAAACCAATGTACTTCCAGCAGAGTGAACAAAGGGAGAGTAAGAGGAGATGGAGACAGAACAGTAGTAGGGCCTAGAGGAAGCAGATCCGTGAGAACTTGAGCATCGTGTGAGATGATCTGACTTGTATTTAAACAAGAAAACTCTTACTGCTGAGTTAAGGACTAGACGAAGATAGGCAAGAGCTGATGCAAGTAGAATTTTATAAAATATTAATTACACAATAGGTTTTCCAGAAACATAGTTATTTTTTGTCATCTAATTCAATAGCATGAGAAAATATAAAGAAAAATGTGGTGATTTTATAATAACTAAAGTGAATAAGTAATTATGTTCTAATTAATTTTTTTTAATTCAGATTTTTACTTATTGGTTTCTTTGAAGTGAGGCATCCATTTACTGAATGCAAGGAGTTATTGACTAACATGAGCTGATGTAGGTTTGTAGATAGACCTGAACTATTTATAAATGTTTGCAAAAGAGACAGTTTAAAGTAAATTCCAGATATTTAAAGACACTTTTTAAATAGAAGGGTTGAAAAAGACCTTTTATCCCTAACAGATTAGTGCTATAATAGTTAAGTAGATAAGACTGAAAGAGACATAAACAGAAACTCTTATCTTCTGAAGATGGTTATTTGGTCTTACTCTGTAACTAAAATATATTAAAATACTCATCCAAAATTATCTATTACCAATAACATAATGAACATATGCATTTGATCTAGATATTTTTCCCACATGAAAAGATTTCTGACTGGTAAATTTTTTAGGAAAATTAACATAATAAATAATCTTCCAAGTAATGTACCATGTGATAAGTATTTTTATAAACATCAGTAACAAAATAATAACTCTACTGTTTTAATATTTCATGATAAACTACAGTCCCAAGCTCTCTAGAATCATAACAAATGCAAATATTTGACAGAAAAGAATTGGTAATAGCCAACGTTATCTGCAAAAGGAGAGTATAATCCAAGCCAACTCCAAAGACACCAATGTCATTCAGTAAGCTGGTTTCATGAAACTGAGATGAGAATTGTTGTTTTGAGAGCAGGATGGGAGGAACTGGAGAACATACAGCCATGATTTGGCTGTCTCTAGCTTCATCTGATGCAGATTTAGTGACAGTATGCCACAGAGAGCAAAAAAGAGGTTAACAGCTGTTTCATGTTGCATATTCTTCCATTTTGAAAAACCTTCTGGTTTCAGATTAAAAACTGTATCTTGGAAATCTGCAAATCTAGATAAGTTCTCATCCAAATATAAGCATTTCTTGTAGAGCTCTACCTGTTTAGAATGCATTAAACTAAACCTTAATAATATTCTTTTTATAGCTTGTAGTTCATAAAAAAACACCTCTCTTTTTATTTTCATATTATAAGAATTCTTAACCTACATATATATAGGTCATTGGAAGTTAATTATTCTACTGCATTTCTTTTCCTCAGTTTATTTAAATCCCTTCAAAATTCTACAGATAATATCTGGGCTTCTTTATTTTTATTTTTTTAATTTCACATTTCTCCAAAAAACTCTTCTCAAAAAAAAAAAAAAAAGCTTTTTGTGCAACTAAGTGTTCAGCTTTTCAAAGCACAGTTAAGCTGAGGCTCTGGTATTTAAAAATTTCTATGGAAACTTCTGTGTATTAGGGATAAAACATAGAAAGAAATTTACACTTTTTTTAGAAGTGGTCTCTCTTGAACTTTAGGGTATCTTTGTAGACCTAGGAATATCTTATGTGGCAGGGATCCAGCTCAGCCCACTACAAGAATTTTCCATCCTCTCTGCATAATAGATTCCATAAATAACTCTATTGGCTTAAGAATATGAGAATAGTTCCTCCTACTCTCTAAATTTTTGTTTTGTTTTTTTGAGACGGAGTCTTGCTCTGTTGCCCAGGCTGGAGGGCAGTGACGCGATCTCGGCTCACTGCAGCCTCCTCTTCCTGGGTTCAAGCAATTCTCTGCCTCAGCTTCCCAAGTAGCTGAGATTACAAGTGCCCGCCACCACACCCAGCTAATTTTTGAATTTTTGGTAGAGAAGGGGTTTCACCATCTTGGCCAGGATGGTCTTTTTTTTTTTTTTTTTTTTTTTTTTTTTTTTTTTTTTTTGAGACGAAGTCTCGCTCTGTCGCCCAGGCCGGACTGCGGAGTGTAGTGGCGCAATCTCGGCTCACTGCAAGCTCTGCTTCCCGGGTTCACGCCATTCTCCTGCCTCAGCCTCCCGAGTAGCTGGGACTACAGGCGCCCGCCACCGCGCCCGGCTAATTTTTTGTATTTTTAGTAGAGACGGGGTTTCACCTTGTTAGCCAGGATGGTCTCGATCTCCTGACCTCATGATCCATCCGCCTCGGCCTCCCAAAGTGCTGGTATTACAGGCGTGAGCCACCGCACCTGACCTGTTTTCCACCTCAATGTGACTGACAATGGAACACCCACTGCTTTCAGAGGAAAATCTCCCATAAGATGTAATGTTATTACAAGACTCAAAATTGGCATTCATAACGGTCAAGGATATGTTGCGAGTATCTGCGGGGACTAACAATCATTTTGGAGACCGAGAGACTCTAACTAAAGTTATACCCAATTTACATTATTGAGCAGAGCATTTCTAAGTTGGTCTATGGCATCTTATTCAGTTTTATGTTGACATCACAATTTTGTTTTAGTTTACAAAATTGTTGAATATCACTATTTACTTTATTATAAACATGGGATGAGTCAACAAAAGCATCTGTCATCACTCCTACAGAAACCTAAAATTGCTACAAACTATCAACAATCAGTTCTCCAATGGAATAAAATAAAAATGAAAGTAATTTCTCATCTTCCACAGGAATCCAATGGCATATAGATTGGTCACATTGGCTCTGATTCTGGATTCTGTGTGGGCTAATTTTCCCATATCTGCTAAAATGTTTCGATGTTTATTAGTATTCTCTGGTTCAAAAAGGCTAATTTTTACCTGCAACCTAAAAGTATTAATATTTCAGTTTCTACCAAAGAAATTTTATAACTGATTAAAAGCCTGTGCCCTAAATTGAGTACCCACTCTCTGTCAATGCTCAAACCATGGTCAGCCAAGTTTTTTTGTGTGTTTGTTTTATAACACAACAACGTATCTCAACATCTAGTGACTTCAAGAAGAATCAGTGGAGCAACATCACTAACAACAAATCATTTTGGTATTTTTACCTATTCTCGTAGCTATAAAAATTGCATTTTGTGATTTTTCTCATCTATCTAAAGTTTGACTAACAAGAATTCTGAATTCAACAAGTTGTCCTCTAGGTTTGACTTTTACTTTGAATGTTCTGTTGTATGACTTTTGTTTCCCAATTTACTATTTCTAATCTCCTATTTGTATTTATTGTAGAAATGTGTAATTTTCTTGAAGGGAGCAAAGTGAATCTTTCTTTTGCATTTCCTCTACTAAACTATCCAACAACTTGTATACACAGATGTGGTCACGATCATCATCAAGATAATCTCCATGACCACTTCTGTAGCTGAGGAAAAACTAAGATTATATTTTCCTCTCCTATATCTCCTAGACTGTTTTTTATATATAAAAAGTATTCATTATATTCCTGAACAAAATTATAAATCAAAAGTTTTTTAATATTGCAAATGGGCCACACATGACCCGGAAAGATTTTGAGTAAAATTTGTAGAAATAATATTTATAACATACATTAAATCTTAAGTGTATAGCTGTGTTATTCAGATAATAATGATCATAATTATTAATAAAAATCATAAGAATTTTAAATTTTGAATATAATTTGCATTTAACACAATTTAAAATATTCCATTTTCATATTTTTAATTATAAGAGCTTTGTAAATCTAATTGTACATTTAAATAGGGGAGTTTAGTAATCTATAATAATATTCTGATTATTACCAAATCTTTAGCAATCATTAATAATCAGACAGTATAATGAGTAAGAACTGATTACCCAATTGCTTTTTTTTAATCTGATTATTTTCTAAAATAATAAATATGTGAATTTTGGTATTTTGCCTATTCTCACAGTTATAAAAATTGCATTTTGTGATTTTTCTCATCTATCTAAAGTTTGACTAACAAGAATTCTGAATTTAATTCAACATGTTTTCTACTCTATTCTCACCAAGGTCTGATTTTTGCTAAAGAAGATTGTATTTTTTATGTAAATACTACTGTCTCTTCTCATAAAAGGACTTCACATTCTCTCCTATTGACTTTTGTTGCCCCTACCTGTGAAAAGATTATGATGTTACATTCATTGATATTACTGTCAACCATAGAGTATTAGTTTATGGAAGACTTGGCATTTAAAAAAAAATGTGCATTGGCCATGTAACTTCTATGGTAAATGGAATGTGGGTAAGACTGATGGATGACACTTCTGAAAAGAAGCATTAAGAATCATTATGAGGCTCTGCAATCACTGATTTCTCTCTTGTTAAGCCAGTTTATCCTAAATACTCTCTGAAAGGAAGAAGCCACATAGACCAGTGTCCAAGGTGACCTATGAAATCATTTAACTTGAACTAGAAATACACATTTCTTGATTTCTTGTTGTAAGCCACCAAGATTTTTAGCTGGATTTTCATATCAGCATATTCTAGCCAAAGAAATTGATATGCCTGCATTTGGCTGCAGTTAATGCTGGGAAAAATTTTTACTTTGTGCAAAAAGATTTTAGAAGATATACATATACATACACATATAAGACTATTACATATACTTTACGTATAACATACGTTTGATATGTATTTTATGTCTAATTTTACATTTGATATACGTGAAAATTACATATATATTATTCCTTTAACTAAGTAGAGTAAAAATTTTTTCATTGAATAATCATTTTGCTAGTTGTGGGAAATTTTTAAAAATATGGAAGTATTAATCATTAATATGATGACATTAGAAAGATCAACTTGCAACTACATATCAAATACTATTTCTTCTATTTCTGTTGTTAATTATCCAAGTTAATGTAAGCTGTTTTCTGTTATATTAGCATCAGATGACTAAGGCAAATTCATGAATTTTGCTATATCTCTGGAAGTTTTTTCTTAAACTTACTGCGGAGTAAATTTTCAATAAATCTATGACATCAGCTATCCATTTCACTTTGAATAAATTTGCTAAACGTTTTACTTGTTGAAGTTATGTGACTTTTTCTATCTGCAATGAAACAATAGATTGTTTTTTATATATAAAAAAAGTCTAGGAGATGTAGGAGAGGAAAATATAATCGTAGTTTTTCCTCAGCTACAGAAGTGGTAATGGAGATTATCTTGATGATGATCGTGACCACATGTGTGTATACAAGTTGTTGGATAGTTTAGTAGAGGAAATGCAAAAGAAAGATTCACTTTGCTCCCTTCAAGAAAATTACACATTTCTACAATAAATACAAATAGGAGATTAGAAATAGTAAATTGGGAAACAAAAGTCATAAAACAGAACATTCGAAGTAATCTCTTCGAATCTCTTAATTGCTAAGAAATGTGCTTTTTTATATTTGCTGTTTTCAATGGTAATTTTTACTGGAATTTTAGAAAAGAAAAATAGAACAGAACAAACAAATCACAGCATATCATATGTACCAAGAGTTTCACAGAACTTTGTCTCAATTGTGAGCATGTGTTTATTGGGTGAGAGTACAAGATGTATTTTCCACTGTGGGCAATTGTGTACAAATTTGGAAAGCCACAAGTTTAAGATATGTAAGATACATACGTGTGCACATGGTCCTTTATCATCTATTTCATCAGCTATGTCCTTGATGCTTACCTAAAGCTGTAACTATGTACCCTATGTTGAAAATCTACCAGGTACCAAGTTCTATGCTAGATCATGCTGATAACCTCTTTGTTCTCCAGATGTACATAGTTCAGTGCAGTAGTGTTTTAAGTTGAAAATCTTTGGAGTGTCAATGTGCCAAATCTGAAACTATCTCTGCAGATGACTGAAATGCTTCTTCCCCTTGCAAACCCCATCATTCCCTGTATCCTCAATACAGCTTTCCCACTACACGTCTTAACTAAACCAAGTATTTACAAGGTGCTTGCAGAGTATGATCAAAGATAGGATTTTTTAAATTAAAATTTTGAAATCAGATATGTGTGTGTATATATAGAGAAAAATATACAGATACACAAACATATAGATATATATCCACATATATGATTTATGTATTTCTACTTACTTATATATCTATGTCTAAATCTCTATGTCTATACCTGTATCTTTAGCTCCAGCTATCTGGAGTCTCATTTATCTTCTATGATTTTAACTTAAGAGTAATATTTTAAGAAAGTGTTTGTTGACTGAATGTTTTCATTAGCCATATATTATGTAGTACCTTGTAGTTTGCATATGTATACATGTACATATTTCATACATCATAGTTTGCATATGGTATATGTATCAAATGTATATAGTCTGTACATATATTCTATATGTACACATATTCAATATATCATATGTATATAATTTATTTTGTGTACATGTGCATACTCCACACGTGTAATTACTATATAAATTATGATATTTAAACCACAAATGCACAATTTTGGATTCATTGAATCTTACTAATTAAAAGGGCCTTGACTAGGCTTCTTAGATTACAGATAAAGAAGCTGATATCTCAAAAGTTGAAATTATTCCCCAGAGTTAATAATGGGAGAAACCTTAAGCCCAAGTTATGATTTCAATTTGATGTTCTTGCCACTTTATCATTCTCTTTCCTTCATGAGAGTCTAATAGGTCATTTCTAGAAATTCCAAACCTCAGTGGCTTTAAACTAATGCACATTAGTCTATTGGCTGTTTTAGAAAAGCCATCATTTTGTCTTGAGGTATCACCTAACACAAATTACTTCATAGTGGAGTTCTATACAAAAGAGTGCATACTATAAAGATTAGTTTATAGGTTGTTAAATTATATCAAATAAAAATGTGTGAGAATATTAAGGTTTAATTAACTTTCTATTTTTAATCTTTCTGGCTTTTTAAACATAAATGTATCACTTCACCACCACTGCAATTCCTTGCCAGGCTGAAAATATGAATAAATATGAATAATTTAGTACATGATGAAAATGTACTGTAGAATTCTTTCATTTAGTATATAAATATTGAGTACCAACTTTTTGACAGTCCCTTATAAATGATGTCATATGACAAAATTAGTATTTCCAATATCCCTCTAAAATTATCAGTACTATAACTTTCAAGTGGATTTTATTCATTAGTTTATAAACAGTGACAGTATATATAGGCTGTCATTTTCTCAGTGACAAGAGAGAACTGTTTATTAATAAAAATAATGTTTTAAATATGCATAAAGTTCTCAAAGGGTTTGAATCATATTCTCTAAAATATGATCTATAAAATAGAATTGTGATATTTTACATTTAATATTATATTCTCAAAATCAGGCATGTAATGATAGCATTATAAAATATAGACTACTTTAGTAAAACATGCAAAACTCACAATCTTGTTTTTTAACATGGAAATATTATTTTACATAAAAATAAACTTCAAAATAGAAGAATTAACATAGATAAATGACATGCTATAGGCTAAGCGAAAAATAAGCCCTTTGAAAATGTAAAAACTTTGCCAATATATATTGTTTGTTACAAATCCCTAATATCTTAATTATTTTCTCTATATATCCAATGTCTTTGTAAAGTATTATTTTTCTTTATAACCAAATGACACATATTTTTTAAATCTCTTTGAGGAAGATTTATTATTCACTAAGAATATAATCAGCATCCTTAATATTTATCATATATAATAATAATAACATTTAGTCATAAGACCCTGAATATTTCTTTACAAACTCTGCCTTGAATGTTTAAATGACTCTTAATCTAAGTCTCCTAAATTGTCGTAAAAATTAGGCTGATTCACTGTCCCTTTGAGACTGTGATATAAAAGCCCATCCATCACGATGTATCTAATTAAGAAACTAAGTTAAGTGGTGTTTGAACAAGATATTTGAAAATCTCAGGGGACCAGACAATTGAATTGGTATTTCAGACATATCAAATTAGTTAATGATTTGGGGAATCTTTATTCTTCAAGAGTATGTAAATTAAAAAAGAATAATGAAATTCATTAAAGCTTGGTATCAGGGAGAAAGGAGGACCCTGTGCACCATTGCATGTAATTATAAGTACCTGCTTCATTCAGATAGAAGGACAGGAGGCTGGGGAAACAATAAAAGCAATTTGGACAGATTAATTTTCATATTAAACATAGATAATTATAATTATTTTTCTTTATATTTTTGGGGTATCCTTCTCATAATTGACAAATCCATATTTGGTAATCAGGCTTGTTTTCCATTTTCATTTCACCATATGAACTTGTAAGATAAATGTCTTGCCATTCAAAATGACAATAGATATTGAATTTTCTCTTGAAATTTAACGAAGTAATTTATTTATTTTGTCAGCCTATTTTGATACTGAAAGAGGCAGAAGAATAAAACTATACTGTTTTATCCAAAGCATGGAATGAATAGAATATTAAATATCACCAAATAAAGAGCTAGACTGGGATATGTGTTCAAAATGTAAGCAAAACCTTTTCTTATTTTTGAAAGCATTATACTGATATTTCTTTTGAGGCATATAAAATAAGAATGCAACCAATGATACTATTTTATTAAATAAAATAGTTTCATCCACTTTTGAATAATTTCTGGAATGAAGCTTCATCACAAGATTTCATTTTTTAATGTACCATTTTAAAAGCTTAAACTCTGATAAATTACAAAATGTGTTTTCAAAACTAGGATACTGTAGAACACGCCTGTATTATAAAAATAATATACTCTTTTTAGACTTCTATCTAGAAAAAGGAAATATCACTGCAGAAATATCAAAGCCAACTGTTGATTTGGACAAGTGATACGACATTTAAAAATAAAATATTTTAGCAGACTACAGAACATTATCAGATATCCTCTTGATGCCCCCCTCTCCCTTTCCCTTCCCTTGATAGTCCCTCAAATCCAATATATTCTACAGTAAATCTTGGACATTTATGAGATTTATATATTTATTTTTTAACCTCTGAAGCAAGAAAATTGTAAGCATTTACAAAATAGCATTTATCATATCCAAGAGTTGAATGTTGGAATCATCAAATTGCTATGAATCAAAATCAAAAGGGATAAAAATAGGGTAGCTAAAGTATTCATGTCTCAGTTGGTTCTCATTAAGATGCAAAGTATTCAATGTCACACATTAAAGGAAAACCGGAAAATATATTCCTAAAATAGAAATGGTGTTTCTAAAGAAAAATAGATCCTAAAATAATAAATAATCTAGGATGTGAACAAAGGTTTATCAGTAAGGTTTTTCATTGCAGTAGTGAGAATGATGACTAAACAATAGGGGGAATGGTTAAATATACTATGGTAAATCCATTACCTGCAATATGCACTGATTAAACAGGATTTGGAAGAATATTTAATGACAATCCATGTAGAATACTTATGATTTAATATTATGTGTGAAGAAATTATAATTTGAGAAAAAAACACATACCATATGATTCTGAATTCATTTTTAAAATTTTATAATTATATTTATACATAGAAAAAAGACTGAAAAATGCCACACATTGTTAAATCAAACTCTGAGTTTGAATTAACTAATATTACTTCTGTTCTTTACTGATTCTCATTTTTCCATTTTCTATTAACTTAGTTTTTTGGAAAAATCAACAATAAAAAGTAGTCCTTGCAAATTGTTTTTCCTTGTGAAAAGTATGCTTTCCAAATAATAATGCTGGGTGTTAAAAGCATCATGTTATAACAAATTTATTTTCCCCATTATGTAAAGAGGATACACTCTATTCTACAGTCAAAAGCGTGCACACACACACATATATTCAATTTTAGCTTGTAATATTTGATTAAAAATAAGCAGTATTTACATTTCATGATGAACTTCTGTCACACCACTTATGCTGTTTTATCACCATTGTTGTAGATATTGTGATTATCTTCAAGTTCCATTTTATCTAACCAAATTTTGACCCTATCACAGGCTCTTTGGTGATCTAAGCCAGTCAAGGTAATGCCATTCCCTTGACTAGAGTAATTATGTCAAAAAGCAACCTCCAATTTACATTAGTGAATATTTGGAATTCCTCTACCCAGCATGATTACTTCAGTGGTGTCCACGTAGGCTAAAGTGGCACAATAAAAGCAAGGATTAGGCAAAAGTTCCTATTTAGAAGACCTTAGAGGATAGTAGGTCTGACAGTATCCCATCACCTAACTAACCCATGCCTGAAACTCAGGTTACAACTACATGAAACCCAGAGTATTTCAACTTCCTAAGATAATAATAAAACTTTATTGTTTAAGGCAATTTAACTTTGATTTTCTGTTACATATAATTATGTGCATGACAACTGAAACAATATCACAAATTCAATGTTATAGTAAAGTTATTAAACTTTGTATCCAATATATTAAACTAGGTGTCTGATCATGAGCTAAAGCCTTTAAAATTATAGGATTTATTTTTAAACTATAGCACAGGAAACTAGTAATATGGGTATGACCATCTCCTGACACACAAGAGATGTAAATTCTGCCACATTTGAGGTGCAATATGGCTAGTATCATTTTTTTTGGCATGGATATGGTTATGTTTTACAGTCAGCATTCTATTTTATTTCTGAAATAACATTATTCAGTTGGAAGAACATATGTAATGCACAAGTTGTTAATTTCAAAGGCAATAGTTTATTTCGAAGAGAATGTTTACATGCTTAACTATAAATTTTAGTAGTAGAACACATCTATAAACTTTCAAACAAAGCTATTTTCATTTTCTTTAGATTGCAATGTTGTCTTCCTGATATAATATAGCTTAACAGTGAGTATATTTAACTACATTGAGTTAAAATTCTCATTGCATCTAAAACCTGGTGAAAAGATATTTTTTAAAATGGAATGCTGTGTACCACTAGCCATGTCTTAATGGTTTCTGAAGTGTAGTGTGCAAATATTCTAACTAAATGCGTTTGCATTTTTAATGACTTAAGAGTCATTCTAAAATCTGAGATCAAAATTTAATAAAATAACACATGATTTTAAAATGTTTGCTATTTTGAATCTGATTGTCTTAGAAAGAAGTCACATTAATTAAACTAGCAAACAGAGTAAGGATAATTCTGGAGGGCAGAACTAAATGCCCATAATATATCCACAGGGCTAAGCATTGTTCTACTAGAAAGAATAAGAAAGAACAGCAGCCATTACCTGATTCTACCTGGGAGCAACCTCCTAGTGAAGCAATGTTGCATGTGAAACACTTTCCTTTTTAAACCCAACTTTGTGATTTCTCTTTGTTAATCTGTTTTATGAAAAATTCATAGGTCTGCTATGTGGATATAGTAAAACATACCTTTCATATTAATATCGACTGTTTTTTATAAGAATTTCCCAAAACTTTCAAGTGAAGCTAGATTTTACTTCAGAAATAAATGGTGTTTTCATGATGAAAAAAAGCAAGTAAGCACAAATTTTAAAAACTAAAATTCTTCATGAGTTCATTTATTTCCTGATGGTGTTCACCAGGGATATGCTTATCAAAACGAGAAGAGAATCATATGGAATACTAAATAATCACTGTAATTTTATTTTAAAATGTGGTATGAGGCCTGAAATTAAATTTCAATATTAAGTCCTTCCTTGATACCTGGGGAAACCAGGAAGCCTTCAAACGGCCAAACCACCAGTTTCCCTCCCGCTTCCACCCCCTGGATAAGCTCCCCTAGCCAAATGATGCTTCTTTTCACAAGGAAAAGCACAGTGCTTGCTTATCCCTGAGTAGTGAACTTAAGTTATTCTACACCCAGAAGAATTATTCAAATAAATCTGTGGTAGTCAAGGTTACCTCATCCCCTTGTTACTACAAAGCCTGCTTCCCACAGCCCCTGTTCACTCTGTTCCTGAGTTCTAACCCTATGTGGCCCTGCGTGGAGGGCAGTGCCCTCCTCTCCCAGGATGCAAGTGACTAATAAACTACCATCTGATCTGTATGATGTCAGGAGTGTGTGCCCATCCACCGTGTACTATTTGTGTGAGGATGCTACCCTCACCTATGGGGTGAAGATTAGCATTTCAGAACAAAAGATTCAGAATATTAAAATGCTAGCTGTCATTCAAACCATGAGACTGCTTCCACGTGTTTTAAAAAGCACCACAACATTGTTGTTTCTTCGACTGAATTTGATTTTACGGTCTGTTCATGTCGCAACCTAGAATTTTCTTGTTTTCATGTTCTTCATACCTTCTTACTGTGCCCACACTCCATGGCATTGTTAATTTAGAGTGCCTGACGTTCCAGTTATAGAGTTGGAGGGAAATCTGTGTCATTCAATCTTTATGACAAGTAAATATTCTTGCTCTGATTGGGTTGATTATTGTGCACTTACATTCGACGAAATGTATGCATTTGTGTATTGTGTATGATAGTAAAATAACGGTGTGACAGCGTAAGATGCCTGCTGCATTGCTCATGTTACTCTGAAAACACTGGAATACGTATTTACCCTTCAAGGATATTATTATTGTTTTTTTTTTGCATTTCTCTGAGCAGGTGATATTTCTTTTCAAAGAGTGCAATACCACCATGAGATGAGGTAATACGACAAACCTTTGTAAGAAGAATCTCTTTATTGGATAAGGTTAGCAAACTAAGGCTGTCAGAGATTGTATTACATTATCCCCTGTGTGTGCTTGCAGTGAGATTGTTAGAAAAGATCATTTTATAAAAGTAAAGAATAAATCGCTGTACTCTCTCTCCAAAATCCTTTTCAAAATAGATTTGACAGTTGAGTGATTATATCTCTAATACGGACTGTGCTAGGATATGTGAGATTAAAAACTCAGGAGCTTCAACACAAGACACTGAACAAAAGCGGTCAACAGAAACATGGAGCACCCCCAAATTGAGAACAGATAACTAATCAACTTAACTCTGCCCTCAATACATAGAGGTTAATATCTGTACCTTCAACAGATTTTGTTGTTCAGGTTTTAAAACCATATACTTTTTTCTCCTATAAAGATCCTATCAACTTCTTCAGGAAAGAAAAAAAATCAATAACATCTGAATGTAGGAAGATCTACCTGTAGAAATAAAACTTGCTGATTCCCTTTGCATTTCTAAAAGAGCTGTTAGAGGGAAATGTGTGAGAAATAGTGTTTGTCTTATTAATATTTACACTTTAGGGTTTAGAACCTCAGGGAAGATAGCTAAAGAAAGAAAAGATGAAATATCAAAACAAATATGTTCTATTAAAAGTTACACATGCATGGGCTCCTCTCCACATTTTACTTTATAGAATGATTTGCATTCAAAATAACAGGAACCATACACCCCATGTGATTAAATAATACAAATCAAAAATTAATTATCTTCTGAAAAGATAACTCAAAAAATCTGCCTCACATCTAAAGTTTTAGCCTTCAGCTAATTAACTGCCTTACAAAGAAATATTATTAATAAAGAGAATTTTGCCAAAGAAACATAGATGTAGAACAAACTTCTATAACTCAAAAGTGACATAAAACTATTGCAATCTGTTCATTGTAATCAGAATTTAGATAATTGTATGGTTAATTCGTTATTTTGATTGCCAGAATACTAAAGAAGTAGAGCTGTAATTTTTTTGACCATTGCTTTCAACCTTGCATTGTTTTCCCCCCAGCTTGTATGCAGAGTTTCTTCTTATATTACAACTGAGGCATGCACACTTATTGCTCTCTTTCTCGTCTTTCATTGTAGGCCATTAGCCAAATATGGAATGTCAGCCCTCCCGTTCTTATCCCCACAAAAACATGTCTTCTCTTCCATCAGAATAGTATTTTTAAGCAAAGAACTTACTTTGGGATCACATGAAACAATGATTCATATGTTTATAAATTATAGGTGCCCAAGTACTAACTCGGGCATACCAAATCAGTACATTGAATAGAGTAGGACCCAGCATGTATATTTTTCAACAATCCTTCGTTTAAAAAGCATGCTCTAGAGAGCAGAGATAATTATATGCTCTTGGCAGCTGGAGTCCTCCTGCTGGGATTGTCTCTGTTGTTGTTTGCTCTGCAGCCTGAGCACCTCTTTTGATAACAGGTGTGGTAGGCCCACTGCCTGCAAAAGTAGAGACCAATGCCAGCATCCTGGAGCGAGGGTCTTTACTGATGCTGTTACTCTTTTCACTCCATTAATTCTGGCCTCTGGCCGAAGAAGGAATCCTGTTTAAAAGGGGAAAATTTTCAAAACCAAAAATTTTCAAACTCTCGGTTATAATTTAAAGTCTGAATTCCCAATGAATAAAGCTCCCTATCACACTTATTATTAGCTTCTTGTTTGTACTGTTTGCTTGTACTATGGTCACACATTGGGTCTACTCAAGAAAACAGGAAAAAAAGATAAACTTCCAGCAATAATGCAATACACAGTGAATGCTGAAGCCAGCAGTCATGACAGCAGTCAATAGTGCAAGTCTGTGGTTAGATGCTGCCCTAGAAGGGGAGCAAAAGCAAAGGTGACTAAAAACAAAAGTGGGTAAGCACAAGTGAGGTTTGTAGTAACTGGTGACTCTCATTGACATTTGTCATTTATGTGATAGTCCGTTGAGTAGTATTTTCATAACAGGTGAAATTTCCATGTGTCGTGTCTCTCACAAATAATAGAAGGAAGGATTTGAATTCTCAGACACCCTAGCAAATAAAAGATGGGTATATGACCTACATGCTAATCAGGCACACAGAAACATGGCTCATAGTAGGTAACTGGTGGCAAACACTTTGTATAGCAACTCCTGTGTTGCTAGTGTAGTTGCCAACAGAGAACTTGAAGAACGTCAGGAGTCATGTGATTGTCTTGTTGAGGCAGAAGTGAAATTGTTGCAGCCATTGGTATAGAAAGTGGTTTTATACATGTGAAGACATTTCATTTTGTGCTTGACGGGGGGAAAGGCAACACTAGCTGTTTTCTCAAGAGGCCAATTCTCTGGCTGGACTTGGGGTAGTGTTTCTGGAGGAAAAGATTATGTTTCTATGTATGAACCACTTCCTAATATTCTTTAACAAATCCTAGCTTTCAGTAAATGAGACAGAGTGAATTTTCTTGTTGCCACTAAGGTGATAAAGCATACACAAGTGGGAATGTAAGAGGTTTCAAGCAATAGAACTTTAATTAAATTGGTGGTTATCTGGTCAGTTCAGTCCCATAGATAGTAGGAACACAGCTTGCATGGGTGCTAGCATGAGACTTTAACACATGACATACAGTGGCAAAATAAATAAATACATTTATTGTAAGTATTATGAATAAAATAGTTGTTGAAAGCAAGGCTATGAAGAGATCAAGAGGTTATTCATTTAACACAACATTAAACTTTCTTATATAAGAATGTAATTAGTCTGTGATTTTAATTGTGTAGGAAGGCTTACAGAAAAGAAACTACATAGTCAAAGTTTTAAACTCTCAGATCAAGCCATAGTCTGAGAACAATAAAATTTGTATGAGTATTCTAAAGAATCTCCTGATATTTACTGCCAGGGCATTAATATAGCCAAAAATTAAACTCAACAATTGATACCGTAAGTTGTTGGACATTCATTTATTTTTTATCTAAACAGTGACCACATTCCTTAAGGAAACTGAGGGCATTATTGAGGAAGAATATAACTCTGTGGACTTCATTGAACAGAAGGAAGACATGTGATACGGTTTGGATCTGTGTCCCCACCCAAATCCCATGTCAAATTATAATTCTCAATGTTGGAGGAGGGGCCTGGTGGGAGGTGACTGAATCATGAAAGCAGACTTCCCCCTTGCTGTTCTCAAGATACTGAATGAGTTTTCACGAGATCTGGTTGTTTAAAAGTGTGTAGCACATCCCTCTCCCCTCTATTTCTCCTGCTCCAGGCATGAAGGATATGCCTGCTTCCCCTTTACCTTCTGACACGATTGTAAGTTTCCTGAGGTCTCCTCTGCCATGCTTCCTGTACAGCCTGTGGAATCATTAGCCAATTAAACCTCTTTTCTTTACAAATTATCCAGTCTCAGGCAGTTCTTTATAGCAATGTGAGAATGAATGAATACAGTATGGAAAGATTCAGATCACTCAAATTTCCCTGAATCCACAAATTTCACTAAGCTTCATTAACATCCTCCTCTGTAAAATGAGGCTGCTTTTTCCTTGTTTTAAGACCCTGTGAAAAACCTTCCTGAGACAGCTACCTGGCAAGAGAAATCCAATTCTTCTTATGTCTTATTCAGCATGCCACCTTGCTAATCTTATAAATAGAGTCTAATACCAGCATGAGTCTGGTGTGAGGAAGGAAACACTGAGAAAATCAAGAAAAGGTTTGCACAGCAATATATACTATTACAAAATTTTTCTAATAAGTTAGTTGAAAAATGGAATATGTAAGTCAGTAGATTCTAAAGACGCTAGACCCAAAAGGAAGAAATAGAATTTCAGATGTGATTAAATTTATTGATATAGATGCAAATACTAGAGATTCTAAAGTAAATGTGTCAACACAAAGATCTAAAGTAATTGATTTATAAATAGTTACCTGACTAAATATTGTATTCATTGGTGACTTTACTAAATAAAACTGGAATACAAGAAATTTCCTGATTTCTGTGATTTGAAGAGTAAGAAATATTAGAACAGACATATTATATGTAGCTTTCTCTACCAACTCTTAACTATGACCCATAGGAAGCCACTGAAAACATTTTAATCAAAAAGACGTTGAGAAAGATATCAAAGAAGGAAAGACCGGTTTCTCAGCAAAGTATTTTACTGACTGTTCTGTTTAAGCAAAGAAAGTAGATGTACGATGAGATTTCCACTGAAAAGGATTTCTGAGAACAAGTAACAGATTTTAACTTTAGAGGCAAAAAGTGGTCAGTCATAGTAAAAAGCAGCAGGAATTTTTACAATCTACCCATCTGACAAAGGGCTAATACCCAGAATCTACAAAGAACTTAAACAAATTTACAAGAAAAAATCAACCCCATCAAAAAGTGGGCAAAGGATAGGAACAGACACTTCTCAAAAGAAGACATTTATGCAGCCAAAGACACATGAAAAAATGCTCATCATCACTGGCCATCAGAGAAATGCAAATCAAAACCACAATGAGATTCCATCTCACACCAGTTAGAATGGCGATCATTAAAAAGTCAGGAAACAACAGGTGCTGGAGAGGATGCGGAGGAATAGGAACACTTTTACACTGTTGGTGGGACTGTAAACTAGTTCAACCATTGTGGAAGACAGTGTAGTGATTCCTCAAGGATCTAGAACTAGAAATACCATTTGACCCAGCCATCCCATTACTGGGAATATACCCAAAGGATTATAAATCATGCTGCTGTAAAGACACATGCACTTGTATGTTTACTGCAGCACTACTCACAACAGCAAAGACTTGGAACCAACCCAAATATCCATCAGTGATAGACTGGATTAAGAAAATGTGGCACATATACACCATGGAATACTATGCAGCCATAAAAAAGGATGAGTTCATGTCCTTTGTAAGGACATGGATGAAGCTAGAAACCATCATTCTGAGCAAATTATCGCAAGGACAGAAAACCAAACACCGCATGTTCTCACTCACATGTGGGAATTGAACAATGAGAACACTTGGACACAGGGTGGGGAACATCACACACTGGGGCCTGTCATGGGGTAGGGGCAGTGGGGAAGGATAGCATTAGGAGATATACCTAATGAAAATGACGAGTTAACGGGTGCAGCACACCACCATGGCACATGTATACATATGCAGGTTGTGCACATGCACCCTAGAACTTAAAGTATAATAAAAATAAAATAAAAGCAGCAGGAATCTTTTCAAGTGCCTGCTAGATCATGGAATCTCCAGGACAAAGATAAATGGTCAGACACTGAACTGTTCATCTTTATCCCTCACCTATAATAAAACAAACAAAAAAATCCCTAGAAAATGGAAGTCTTACCCAAACCATCAAAATAGCTATAGTTTTAAACTTAATTTCGCAACATAAATTTACATAATAAAAATGCAATGAATGAGAACTCTGATTTCAGCTCGGACATGTAAAAAGCTTGGAAGTTGTCACTCCTATTCTTACAACAAGAGAAAACCTCAGCAACCTAAAAATCAATAACTTGTTTTAGACCTGTCAGAAAATTGAGGTCACAGGCAACTGCCACTGAGAAATCTGGAGAGATGGATGAATACAGAGAATCACAGCCAAGATCAGCTTACAGCTTACTTGGAGCAGAAGCTGCTGGATCTGTAAACTGGTAGGAACAATTAAAAAGTAATTTTGATTAATTGCTGGAGGCTGAGTTTAGATTAGCTTGAGAGTGAGAAACTCATATGGGTCCACTCTTAGGTGAGGTCTCAACATCTTCATGAGTTTTATTTCTTTGAAACACACCATATTCTCAAGGTGAAGATCCTAGACAAGAAAAAAATTATTATTTTGAAAGTACTCAGAGCATTTGCCATAACAGAGGCCTATTTTCAAAAAGAAATTTTACTAAGCCTTAGCTGACCTAGAGGAGGGCATTTAACAAACTTCATACCCATCTAACTTTCCAGTTTCACCAAAAGAAAGAAAAAAAAAATAGCTGAGAAACATTTCCAAAGCCCAGAGACTCTGGCTGCAAATAAAATAATATTTTATCATAAGATTATGGAAAACTTCCCTGACTCATAACTTACTACCACATTAAAAGGACTCTAGTATAATAACACTAGATTACAACTGAGAGTTGCAAAATAGAGATAATCGAAAAAGGAATCTTAGAGAAACCAAAGGCAAAAGGAGAAAAAACAAAATCCTGGGGAAAACTGAAATCTCTGACACCTACGTCTATAATAAATATTAAACGCAGCCCAAATCCTAGCCAGATTTACATAAATTTCATAATAAAAGACTCAGTTACCTCAATTTCTATGACCAAATATATCATCATGTGTGGCTTTCAACAAAAAATTACAAGATATGCTAAAAGGCAAGAAAGAAATACAGTATGAAGAGACAAAGCAAGAATCAGAACCAGGCTCAGATATGACACAGATGTTGAAATTATTTAGTATGGAATTTAAATATGTTAAGAGCCCTAATAAAATTAATAGGCAACACTGAGGAGCAGATGAGTAATGTAAAAAAGAGATGGAAATTCTGAGATAGTCAATAGGAAATACTAGAAATCAAAAATGCTATAACAGAAATGAAGAATAACTTTGATGGACTCATTAGGAAATTAAACACAACTGAGGAAATAATCAGTGGGCTTGAATGTATATCAATGTAAATTTTACAAGCTAAAATGTAAAGAGCAATAAAAATTAGAAAAATATTACAGCATGTCCAAGAACTATGAGACAATTTCAAAATGTATAGAACACACATGTGTTATTTGAATACTAGAAGAAGAAAGGATCAAAAGAAACATTCAAAATAACAATGATCAAGAACTTTCCAAATTGATAACAAACACCAAATCACAGATCTAGGAAGCTCAGAGAACATAAACCAGAGAAAAAAATCAAATAAATATTCACCTAAACCTATAACACTTTAAAAGCAGAAAACAAAATATAGAAAGACAATCTTCAAAGAAGCTGAAGCAGGGATAGAGAAGTTAAGGGGAGGGGAATGGTGGATACCATACCTATAGAGAAACAAGGATAAGAATTACATCACCTTCTCCTCAGAAATTATTCAAGCAAGAAGACAGTTGCATGAAATAAAGAACAAGGACTATTATCAGAAATAGTAGGAAATACTGTATAGTGACTATAACCAAATGCATACTTGGCGGCTTGCCATTTGTTAAACTAAATGAACAAGGACAAGATGCAATGAAAGGAAACTGACTTTATTCCAAAAGCTTGCAGTTGGAGACATGGCCAGACTCATTCCATAAAGGAACCATTTCAAATTTGGGGTTGAGAGGAAGTGTTTATAAAGGGAAACTTGATATGAGGGGCATGCAGGAATAGCAAGAGATGTTCTTGCCATAGAATGTGGCTTTTTTCATAGATTATCTTGAGTTGCCATCCCATCTGGTGTATGAGCAGGAGCCATCTTGGGTACAGCTGGGTTGTAAATTAACTGCAGCCTTGAGGTAATCTCTAGGTGGGGGATAATTATACAGTTGCCTGGATTGTTTCAAGAATTAGCCCCTGGGACTTCTAAGTAATCACATAATTAAATAAGGAAAACATTGTGCAAGAGAGTGCCTGGCAGCAAGAGGAAAGCAAAGGTTATTATACCATCAAAAATGAAGCAAATGAAAAAGAGACAACTTTAAATGCGGCATTCAGTTATGTGACAAACAAATCTAGTCTTCAAGAAAATATAACAATCCTTAACATACATGCTACTAACAACAGAGGGTCAAAATACATGCGTCAAAAATGGATATAATAACAAAGAGAAATATAAGACAAACCCACGAGTATACCTGGAGACTTTCACAGCCCTCTATCAGCAATTGGCACATTCAGAAGAAAGAAAATAGGTAAAGAAATAGTTGAATTGAGCAGAACCATCAAACAACTTGAGCTAATTGGCTTCTGTAGGATGCTTTAGCCGACAACAACAGAATACACAATCTTCTCAAGCTGATATAAACCTTATTTCTAGGCCATGAAACACAGCTTTACAATATTAAAAGACCATAAAGAGTATGTTCTCAGACTATATAATAGATTAAACTAGAAATCAAAACCAGAAAGATGGAAAAATTCCAAAGAGCTTGGACATTAAGGATAATACTCCTAAGTGAAACATGAGACAAAAAACACATCTTAAGGGAAATTAAGAAGATTTTGAACTGAATGAAAATGCAACTTAACAAAGCATGTGGGATGCAGCAAAAGTACTGTTTAAGAGAAGTTTATAGCCCTGAATGCATATATTAGTATAGAGGCCCAGGACTCTCTGAAGACTTGCTGACAAATCAACTCACAAAAGACAGATTAATTGGAGAAAAGGCACACATATTTATTTAATGTCTACACATGGGAGCCTTCAGAATGAAGACCCAAAGATACAGGGAAAATTTTTTCATTTCCATGCTTAGGTTCAGTAAAGTCTGGACAGCCATACAGGAATAGGATTGGACAAAAAGTGTATGATCTTATGTTAATAAGCTTTCTGGGGAAATCCAGCAAAGTCAGTCTGTCTGGATTCCTCTTGGCCTCTCAGAGCATGTATTCCTTTCCTTCTGGGTGTGGGGTACGGCCTTCTTTGGCATGGAGACTGATATCCAAAGTGTACACAGATTATAAAAATTCGAGTAAAAATAAAAAGCAATTAAAAAGTTAGCAAAAGTTCTGGACAGACACCTCATCAAAGAAGATGTACAGATGGCAGATATACATAAGAAAAGACATTCAGTATCAAATGTCATTAGAAAATTGCAAATTAAAACAACATTGAGGCCCCCGCTACATATCTATTAGCATAGCTAAAATTTAAAAAACTGACAATACCAAATTCTGGTGAGGATGTAGAACAACAGAAATGTTCATTCGTTACTGGTGAATACAAAATAGTACAGTCATTTAGGACGACAGCTTGGCAGCTTCTTACAAAACAAATCAGTTTTAGCATATGATCCAGCAATTGTACTCCTTGGTATTTACCCAAATGAACTGAAAACTTACGTCATCATAAATTACTGCAAATGAATGTTTATAGATTCATAATTCATAATTTTGTTTATAAGTGCCAAAAATTGGAAGCAAGCTGCTCTTCAATTGGTGAATGTTGAAACAAACTGTTGTATATCCATACAAAATATTACTTACAGATATAAAAAAAAGAGCTATTCAGTGATGAAAACACATGGAGGAACCTTAAGCGCGTATTGCTAAATGAAATAGGACAATGTGAAAAGATATACTGTATGATTCCAAATATATGACCTCATGTCCAAGGTAAAAGTACAGGGATAGAAAAAAATCAGTAGGTGCCAGGAGTTCATCAAAAGATTGGAAGAATAAGTGAAGCACAGGGGTTTTTTAGGCAAAAGAAACTGTTCTGTGTGATATTGTAATAGTGCATACATTGCATTACGCATTTGTCAAGAACCACACAAGTGCACAACAAAAAGATAGGATTCTAATGAAAACTATGGACTTCAGTAAATAATGTTTTAATATTGATTCATCAGTTGTAACAAATGCACCATACTAATGTGTGCAGGAGTTGCTGACCAAAGTCAGAAGAAACATACAGCCAGTCCAGAGACTCTGAAGTCAACAAAAGTTTGTGTGTGTGTGTGTGTGTGTGTGTGTGTGTGTGTGTGTTTTAAGCCACTAACATTGGGGTGGTTTGTTATGCAAATATTGATAACTGTGGCACAATGTATCATCTCTTAGGTCATAAACATTGATGCATGAAGTTTGTTCTGACAAAGAATCCCTTTGATATAACATGTAATAAAACTAAACTAATGATGTAATCAAATTTGAGATGGAAAATAAAACTTTGGCTCAGTGCAGTGTCTCATTCCTGTAATCCCAGCACTTTGGAAAGCCAAGACAGGAGGATTCCTTGAGACCAACAGATGGAGACCAGCCTGGGCAACATGGCGCAACTCTGTCTCTATTAAAAATAGAAAAATTAGCTGTGCATGGTGGTGTACACCTGTAGTCCCAGCTACGCAATAGACTGAGGTGGGAGGATAACCTGAACCCAGGGAAGTTGAGCCTGAAGTGGGCCATGATCATGCCATTGAATTCCAGCCTAGAGAACAGAGTGAAACCCTGTAAGAAAAGAAAGCGAAGGGAGGGGAGGAGAGGAGAGGGGAGGGGAGGGGAGAGGAGAGGAGGGAAGAAAAAGACAAAGAAAAAGAAAAGAAAAGAAGAAAAGAAAACTGCAACCCCATGTGAAAGAATTTTACAAAGTCTGGGTCTGTTTGAATAAGAAAATCATTGCTCATGACACTATATTGACAGTGGTTTTTGTGCAATGCCTTTAAACATCTTACAGTAATAGTTTAGTTATCTTCAGTCCCAGATATAGTTGAAGAATGTGAGATATTTGTGGCTATAGAGAAAAAAGAAACAGCAACAGTCCTTAAGGATGTGAGCATCTAAAAAAGAGTTGAACAAATGCATACATATGTACAATACAATGTAGTATGACAAATATTATAAAGAGATAAACCTAGGTAAAACCAGAAGCATTGAAGATTAGTATTTAATCTAACAGTTAGAACATAGTCTGGTGAACCTGGGCAGCATGGCATCCCAGATGGAGGGATGTGTGCGCTGGAATTAGGGCTGTTAGAGCATGACACAAAATTGTCATCTTCAAATGCTTTACTCTGACTCTACCGGGGAAGTCAAGGTGAAGAGGGACAAAAGGTAAGTTTGGAAAATAGAGGCCAGTTCATAAAGAGCCTTCGGTGGGATACTAACAACCTCAAATCTTATCTTGAATTGCCCTGAAAGCTATTGAAGGATTTTAAGTAAGAAATTACTTCATCAGATTATTTCTTTCAGAAAGATCGTTGTGTATAGTAATGTGAAGATTGTATCAGAGCAGGAAAATGAGTTAGAAGATATTTTTGAAATCCAGGCTAGACACCCTGTAAGGCAGGGAGGGTCATGTTTTCTGAAGAATGAGGAAAAGTGGAATAAAATCAATGAGAAAGATTTAAAACATCAAGCCCATTTAGATATAAAATATAGGGAGGTAGATTCAAAGAATACAAAGGAAAGCATAGAATTTAATTAGATTTTAAGCTTATTATAAGATCTGTTACATCAGAAGTATCTAAAAGACATTCAAATATAGAACAATATTACAAAGAATGAAAAAGTGAATAAATGAATAAGATACCTAGTAGTTTAGCAGATGATTCCATAGAATATTCTAGGCTGCAAAAAAAAATTTGGTTGTTATTAACCTATTAGCAGCATTTCAATTAATTGGAATAGGAGAAATTATCAAGGAAGATTATTAAGTGCTCACTATGTCCGAGGTACTATTTTAACTGCATTTATATGTATTTTCTCATTTAATTCTTTTGACAAATTCTACAATTTTACAGATGAAGAAACTGAACAATAAGGCTGATACTTATACAGACAAAAGCCTTGAAATATTGCTTTTCCTCTTTTTATACCTGAATTAATTTAGCTTTCTGAATCCAATAAAATCATTATAATCACGGGACCTTCGGTGTGGGCTTTAATTCTTGGAGGATTTAGTATCATCCGATAAAGCAATCAATTTATAGGAATTGTGAAACTGAAAAAATATTTGGACCTGGAAGTCATTGTTAATGAGAAGTGTGTCATTCTTTGTTTTAATGTATTTTATTAATAATAAGATTTTGGGCCAGGAGCAGTGGTTCATGCCTGTATTTCCAACACTTTGAGAGGCCAGGGTAGGAGGATTGTTCAAGACCAGGCTGTGCAACAAATCGAGATCCCATCTCTCAAAACCAAAAAAAAACCCCAAAACAATTAGGTGAGTGTGGTGACATGTTCCTGTGGTCGCAGCTACTTGGGATGCTAAGGCAGAAGGATTGCTTGAGTCCAGGAGGTGGGGGCTGCAGTGAGCTATGATCACGCCACTGCACTCCAGCCTGGGTGACAGAGCAAGACCCTGTCTCAATAATAAAAATAATAATATTTTGCTCACAAATTTTTTAAATATATTTTCACACATAAGATACAGAAATGGAGAGATATATAAATAAATTTTAACACGGTGTTACTAGTTATTTGTATTTTCTATTATTGCTATAATCTCTAAGAGACTAAGGATTATAATTACTGTCACTTAACTCTTCTGATTCACCAAACATATATAATTACAGAATTCATGGGAAAGAGAAGGAAAAAGCAAGGGGCAAAGATTGGTGTTGGAAAACAACTTAGGAGAAGTGGATGCCACAACTGAGGAGTAAAATGTTAGAAATAAAAGCAAAGAATAGCAGACCCTATAGCCCCACAGATACGAGTTTGCTTTCAAAGACAGAATCACCACATGGCAACAGGGAAGAAAATGCTATAGTCCAGTGATTCTCAACTGGGAGTGACGTTACCTGAGAGGGAACATTTATCAATGTCTGGAGGCTATTCTGATTTTTATGACTGGGGGATTGTCATGTACACTGATATCTAGTAGGTAGAATCCAGGGATGTTGTCAAACATCCTACAGTGCACAGGACAGCTCCCCACAACAAAGAATTATCCCATCCAAAATGTCAACAATGTCACTGCTGAGAAATGCTGCTGCAACCTGTGGTTCAATTTGGAAATAGTTTGAATAAATGTTCAATTCAAAATAAATAACTGACTGCTATCAAAAAACTCTTCAGCCAGAAAACATAGTTACTATTGAAAGTTGATTTTAATCATTTGTAAATTATACCACAATTAAAGAGAAAAAAATCATTAAAATCAATAAACTAAACCATCTAATAATACCCTAAGTAGTGAAAATAGTTTCTATCTATATCAAAAATCATTTTATTATGCTTTTAAATCAGAATTTTTTTGCCAGACATGGTGGCTCACACCTGCAATCCTAGCCTTTTGGGGGGTTAGGCAGGAAGATCTCCTGAGGTCAGAAGTTTGAGGCCAGCCTGGACAACATAGCAAGACTCCGTGTCTATTTAAGAAAAAGAAAAAAAAAAGTAAACTTTAGTTAAAAGTAAGTTTGAAGAAGGTGAAGTTGGGAATTAATATTTTCTTTTATTAAGAAATAAAATGATCACAAAGAACTGAAATTCAGTAAGTAGAACATCAAGTGTATAAAGAGTAATTGTAATAAATGTAAATTGATAACGTTATTATATTAAGAAAATTTCATTTTGATTTTTCTTCCGTAGAGTCCATGCCAGTTAGAATCTATCTCCTCTTCCCTCGATCTCCTTGACATGTCTCAAAGAAACCACAATTTTGCAGAAAACCATCATCACTTTTGTTTAAATTTTGTGCTTGTCTGCAGTTTGCAAATGATGGGGAAATGAGCAGAGGATGTTTGTCTGTGCCTAGTTATTGGATTATCCTAAGTGGTTGTGAAACACTATCCCTGGCATAGAAGCCTTGAACTGAGGGAATGAATGCTGCCTCAAAAAGAGGCCCACAGTGTGAAGTTTAAGTGTAGGTGGCTCTTCAGATAGGTCCTTTGCAGTATAACAATGAAACAGTGTAAATGCCAAGATTAGGAGAGTGGGGGCAGAGGAACAATATCCACACAACAGAGTTGAATGGATTATTTCTAATCTTTCATATCCTTTGGATTAAAGGCAAAACTGCAAATATTAGCATCTCCTAAGTGTATTTTTTAAAAGACTAAATTATGATCACATTAAAATGTTATTTTCTTATCTATCTGCTTCTCTATTATATCATTTTGTTTTTAACCACGCATTTGAGAACCTCTGCAATTAATTCTGGAGTCATTTTTCTATTATGATAAATAGAAAACATTCTTCCTCTTATGTCTCTGCTTGTTACATTCATTAACTCTTCATCAGTGTTATAAGATAGAAAGGGAAGTTTATAAGACCAAAGAAACACACAGCCACTTCCATTTTTTTGTCACAGTGGAAATAAGATAATCTCATTTAAAATGACTTGGCTAGAAAAATGAATCAAAATATTATAGTCTTTTCAAGTGATGCATTTGTTTTTGTTTGTTTGTTTGTTTGTTTCTTTCAAGACAGAGTCTTGCTCTGTCACCCAGGCTGGAGTGTTGTGGTGTGATCATAGCTTACTGCAGCCTCCAACTCCCAGGCTCAAGCGATTCTCCTACCTCAGTCTCCCAAGTAACTGAGACTACAGGATCGTGCCACTGCAACCAGCTAATTTTTTTTTAAGTATATACCAGGTCTCACTATGTTGTCCAGGTTTATCTCAAACTCCTGAGCTCAAGAAATCCTCCCGTCTCAGCCTCCCAAAATGTTGGGATATAGATGTGAGCTGCCACACCCAGCTTACATCTGTTTTTAGTTAAACTTATCTCTACATTCTAAAGTAGTGTGACAATAATTAAGTACCTCCTTAATGATTAATATTATGCAGTATTCTATATAATCTATTCCAAACATTTTTGTTGCATTTTTAGGTCCTCGAAGTCAAATCATGTACTCTTATTACTGTTGGTATAGGGTTGGCTCATAATACTTGATTGAATCTATCGATTCATTGCTTAGCAAGATAAAAAACAGAACAGGAAGCCAGTAGAACACAATTTACCTGTTCAGAATTGGTGCTTAACTTCATAGTTATGTTCCTAAAAGTGTGCATTTTAAATGATGACCCAAAGACTTTGAAGTTTGAAGAAGCAAGCATTCATAAAATAGCTTGGCTTTTGTTGCCAAGCTTTGGGAAATGTTGAATATTCATCTCAGTAGCCCTTGCAAGGCTAGGCCTATATTCTAGAGTCTGAGGAAACCAAAACTGACCTTTGACAAAAAAAATATTGTCATAACATTGGTAACTGTAATCATATTTTCCTCCTTCCATAATAACTAAAATCCTAAAATACACGTTAAAATTTGAAGAAACTAAAATAAATGTCTATAATAAGTATCTGTGCTATGTTCAATTTTATTTATTAGGTTGGATTTTGTTTTTTTAAAGATGAACAGCTTTGGATGGGCATGGTGGCTCACGCCTGTAATCCCAGCACTTTGGGAGGCCGAGGTGGGTGGATCACTTGAGGTCAGGAGTTCCAGACCAGCCTGGCCAACATGGTGAAACCCTGTCTCTACTAAAAATACAAAAATTAGACGGGTGGGGCAGTGGTCACCTGTAATCCCAGCTACTCGGGAGACTGAGGCAGGAGAATCTCTTGAATCTGGGAGGCACAGGTTGCGGTGAGCCGAGATTGCCAAGATCGCACTATTTCACTCCAGCCTGGGTGACAAGAGTGAAACTCCACCAAAAAAAAAAAAAAAAAAAAAAAAAAAAAAAAAAAAAAAAAATTGAGCAGCTTTGTTCAGCACAGTGAGAAGATAATTATGCTGTTGGGGGCTGGTGCTCCAGTGTCACCATTGCTTTTCTATGTAATTGTTCCCATTACCCTTATTTCTCAGTTTTCCCTCTTGTTTCCTCCAATCCTAACAGTAATCTTAGGATCTTGGATATTTAGGCACTGAACTCCTGGGAGGCAGAAAAGAAAGTGGAGAATAATACATGGACTGTAAAGGATTTATTTTAGAAAACAACAGAGTCTTAAAATCTTTGAAAATACATCTATATCAGTATCCATTTATTTTTCTCTACAGAACTGGCCTTTCCCATCATCTCGATTTTCTTGCTGTCAAATTTCTTACAGCTCATATGTTGGAAGGACTAATTCGGGTTTTTTTAGTAGTTTCATTTTTTCATGAATCAAATTAAAAGTCAAATTTGTTATGACTATAGAGAACAGCAGACTTTCTTGAAACAACAAAGATATTGTTTAGAAAGCTTTGATATGATTTTTTTCATATAATTATAGCAAAGTCCTTCAGATAACTTATATCTTAATTGTCTTGTAATGTAATTGCATTACTGTTTGTGTAGGAATTACAGATGTAACCACAGTTTATTTCTGGCTCTATTGTAGAGTTAAAAAGGCCACTTATATGTACAAAATCTTAACTTCATGATCTATATAAAGTTTTCTAATAAACACATCTGGTCATCTTAACTATCCAGTGTCTTCTGTTGTTTATAAATAACAAACTAACCAAACAGGTTTTTCCAAGGACAATTATTGCCTCAAGAAGAATTTAGCCATCATGAGTCAAGGAGTTAGTTTTTGAACTATCTTTAGAATTTCCATTTCCAAAGGTACATTACACAACTCTCCAAGGTTACATGCTCTCCAAGGCACATTAGTAAATATCTGCAAGGTTTCCATTTTCCTGACAGAAACAATTACAAATGCCATGCAAGAATAATTTCACACAGAGAGTTGAGGCAGCTATCAGAATTCTCTTAGGTAACAGTTGCAAACGTTTATGCTAATATTATTTAGCTTTTTCACTTTTAACTAAAAAATCAGGTTACAGAACTCACTGAATTTCTTTTGCTGTCAGTGTACTTATGAAAAAGAGAACAAACATTAAAAAAGGTGAAAGCAAGCTTATGTTTACCTCAAAACTATATGTTTTAAAACAAAATACTGCAGTCTGTTGTCACCAGGGAACTCTTGGATTTCCTATTTCATTTCAGTAATGAAGAGAAAAGTTGCCATCTGGCTGTTTCAAATGTATAGAGTTTGTGCTTCTATATATAAATGACAGCATATGGAAAGGGAGGCTTGTAATGGAGTATGTATTCCTAGAATACTTAGAAAATTTATCCCTTTCAAAAGGTGTACTATCTGCCTCATCCAACACATTACTTCTAACTCCAAAAAATATTAGGACAAATATGAAGTCATTTCTATGTATTAAAAAATCCTCAAAGTTCTAGTATCGTTTTTAAAAATGAGCTTATTTGACACTTTCTTTTAAAGAGAAGTAAATATGAATGTATTTTTATTCTCTCCCAAGACCCACTGACATTATATTGGCAGCTAAGGAGGTATTTGTATAGAAATATAGAGAGAATAGTTGAAGAAAGCTTTTAATAGATTTTTAAAAGTCAAAGACATAGTATAGAAGTGGAAAGTGATTTAACAGGGCAAGGGAAGCTATAACTAAGATAAGGAAGAGAGTGTGGTGAGAGAAAAGACCATCCACCCTGGAGAAACCTAAAAAAAAAGGGACTATAGAACTGACAGAAGCTTCAAATATAGGTACCTGTGCACAAGTCAGATAATAAAGGCCAATTCTTCAGAGAAATTGATATGGAAGAAAAGGATTTGAAAATCTAAATAGTGAGATCTTGTCTCTCACCCTAGATGTAGAATCCGTATTTCTCCTAGTCTGTCAAACAAACTCCCTTTCTCAATTAAAAAAAAAAAAAAAGCAAACAAAAACAAAAGATGAACTGTGGAAACAGATACAAGAAACAGAAGAAAAAATTAATTTTAATTAATACCCTCAGTGTAATAACACAAGAATACTTAAAATTATTTAAAAATAACAATGGCCAAATGATGTACAAAGGGACCTGTAAAGCGTAGACAAATTAAAAACATGATAGCTGATTTTTAAAACATGTATATAAAACTGGATTTAAAAATACAGAAACAGAATCACAGAAAAACACAATGCAAAATTATAGGGTGGATCATGGCAGATGGTAGGCTATATCAAAAAGAGAGCTAACAATCACTAAAGCTCAACTCTCAGGAGATCACATCTATCGGAAAAGGGAGAGAGTACTACATCACGGGAACACCTTGTGGGACAAAAGAATCTGAACAACAGCCTTCAGCCCTAGACTTTCCCTCTGACAGAGCCTACCCAAATGAGAATGAACCACAAAACCACCTCTGGTAATATGACAAAACAAGGCTCTTTAACATCCCCCCAAAATCACACTAGTTCACCAGCAATGGACCCAAACCAAGAAGAAATCTCTGATTTACCTGAAAAAGAACTCAGGAGGTTGGTTATTAAGCTAATCAGGGAGGCACCAGAGAAAGGTGAAACCCAATGTAAGAAAATAAAAAAAAAGATACAAGAAGTGAAAGGAGAAATATTCAATGAAATAGATAGCATAAATAAAAAGCAATCAAAACTTCAAAAAACAGTGGACACACTTAGAGAAATGCAAAACACTCTGGAATGTCTCAGCAATAAAATTGAACAAGTACAAGAAAGAAATTCAGAGCTTAAAGACAAGGTCTTTGAATTAACCCAATCCAACAAAGACAAAAATAAAAATAAGAAAATATGAACAAACCCTCCAAGAAGTCTGGGATTATGCTAAATGACCAAACCTAAGAATAATAGGCCTTCCTGAGGAAGAAAGGAAATCTAAAACTTTGGAAAACATACTTGGAGGACTAATCGAGAAAACTTCCACAGCCTTGCAAAGGACCTAGACATCCAAAAACAAGAAGCACAAAGAACACCTGGGAAATTCATCACATAAAGATCATCACCTAGGCACATTGTCGTCAAGTTATCTAAAGTTAAGACAAAGAAAAGAATCTTAAGATCTGTGAGACAAAAGCACCAGGTAACCTATAAAGAAAAACCTATCAGATTAACAGCAGATTTCTCAGCATAAAGCCTACAAGCTAGAAGGGATGGGGGCCCTATCTTTAGCCTCCTCAAACAAAAACAATTATCAGCCAAAGATTTTGTATCCAGCCAAACTATGCTTCACATATGAAGGAAAGATACAGTCTTTTTCAGACAAACAATTGCTGAGAGAATTTGCCATTAACAAGCCACCACTATAAGAACTGCTAAAAGGATCTCTAAATTTTGAAACAAATCCTGGAAACACATCAAAAACAGAACCTCTTTAAAGCATAAATCTCACAGGACCTATAAAACAAAAATACAATTTAAAAAACAAAAACAAAAACCAAGGTATACAGGCAACAAATAGCAGGAAGAATGGAATGGTACCTCACATCTCAATATTAACATCAAATGTAAATGGACTAAATGCTCCACTTAAAAGACACAAAATTGCAGAATGAATAAGAATTCATCAACCAACTCTCTGTTGCCTTCAAGAGACTCACCTAACACATAAGGAATCATATAAACTTAAGGTAAAGAGATGGAAAGAGACATTTCACACAAATGGACACCAAAAGTTAGCTGGAATAGCTATTCTTATATCAGACAAAACAATCTTTAAAGCAACAGCAGTTTAAAAAGTTTAAAAACAGAAAAACACAAGACCCACTTTTAAAACAAAATACTGCAGTCTGTTGTCTCCAGGGAACTCTTGTATTCCCTATTTCATTTCAGTAATGAAGAGAAGGGTTGCCTTCTCTTCTAAAGACAAAGAGGGACATTATATAAAAGACAGAGAGACATTATATAATGATAAAAAGACTAAGAGAGACATTATATAATGACAAAAGGCCTTGTCCAACAGGAAAATATCACAATCCTAAACATATATGCACCTAATTGGAGCTTCCAAATTTATAAAACAATTCCTAATAGACCTAAGAAATAAGATAGACTGCAACACAATAATAGTGGGGGACTTCAATACTTCACTGACAGCACTAGACAGGTCATCAACACAGAAAGTCAAGAAAGAAACAATCGATTTAAACTATACCCTGGAAGAAACAGACTTAACAGAAATATACAGAACATTCCATCCAACAACCACAGAATCTACATTCTATTGAAAGGTGCATGGAACTTTCTCCAAGACAGACCATATGATAGGCTGCAAAATGAGCCTCAATATATTTAAGAAAATTGAAATTATATCAAGCACTCTCTCAGACCACAGTGAAATAAAACTGGAAATCAAACTCCAAAAGGAACCTTCAAAACCATGCAAATACATGGAAATTAAATAACTTCCTCCTGAATAATCATTGGCCAAAAATGAAATCAAGATGGAAATTTAAAAAATTCTTCAAAGTGAATGACAATAGTGACACAACCTTTTAGATCCTCTGGGATACAGCAAAGGTGGAGCTAAGAGGAAAGTTCATAGCCCTAAACACCTACATCAAAAAGTCTAAAAGAGCACAAACAGATAATCTAAGGTCATACCTCAAGAAACTAGAGAAACAAAAACAAACCAAACCCAAACCCAGCAGAAGAAAGGAAATACCAAGATCAGAGCAGAACTAAATGAAATTGAAACAAAATAAAATACAAAAGATAAAGGAAATAAAAAGCTGGTATTTGGAAAAGATAAATAAAATTAAGAGACCATTAGCAAGATTAATCAAGAAAGAAGAGAGAAAATCGAAATAAGCTTAAGAAATGAAACAGAAAATATTACAACTGACACCACAGAAATGCCAAAGATCATTCAAGGCTACTGTGAACACCTTTATGCATATAAACTAGAAAACCTAGAAGAGGGGCAGGGCATGGTGGCTCAGGCCTATAATCCCAGCACATTTGGAGGTCGAGCCGGGTGGATCACCTGAGGTTGGGAGTTCAAGACCAGCCTGACCAACACAGAGAAACCCCATCTCTACTAAAAATATAAAATTAGCCAGGCAGGGTGGTGCATGCCTGTAATCCCAGCTATTCAGGAGGCTGAGGCAGGAGAATCGCATGAACCTGGGAGGCAGAGGTTGCAGTGAGCCGAGATCACGCCATTGCACTCCAGCTTGGGCAACAAGAGCAAAACTCCATCTCAAAAAAAAAAAAAAGAAAGAAAAAAAGAAAAGAAAGAAAGAAAGAAAAAAGAAAAAAAAAAGAATACCTAGAAGAGATGTATAAATTACTGGAAAGATACAAGCCTCCTAGCTTAAATCAGGAAGAATTAGATACCCTAAACAGACCAATAACTAGAACCGAGATTGAAACGGTAATAAAAGAATGACCAACAAAAAAAGTCCAGAACCAGACAGTTTCACAGCTGAACCCTACCAGACATTCAAAAAAGAATTGGAACCAATCCTATCGACAGTATTCCACAAGATAGGGAAAGAAGGAACTCTCCCTAAATCATTCTATGAAGCCATTATCAACCTAATACCGAAACCAGGAAAGGACATAACTATAAAAGAAAACTACAGACCGATATCCCTGATGAACATAGATGCTAAAATCCTTAACCAAATACTAGCTGACTGAGACAAATAACATATCCAAAATATAATCCACCATGATCAAGTGGGTTTCATACCAGGGATGCAGGGATGGTTTAACATATGCTAGTCAATAAATGTGATACACCACATAAATAGAATTAAAAACAAAAATCACATGATCATCTCAATAGATGCAGAAAAAGCATTTGAACATAATCCAACATCTTTTTGTGATTAAAACTCTTAGCAAAATTGGCCTAGAAGGGACATATCTCAATGTAGTAAAAGCAATCTATGACAAACCCATAGCCACCATAATACTGAATGGGAAAAGTTGAAAGTATTCCCTCTGAAAACTGGAACAAGACAAGGATGCCCACTCTCACCACTCCTCTTCAACATAGTACTGGAAGTCCTGGCCAGAGCAATCAGACAAGAGAAAGAAATAAAGGGCATCCAAATTTGTAGAGGAAGTTAAACTGTCGCTGTTTGGTGATGACATGATTGTTTACCTCGAAAACCCTAAAGATTCCTCCAGAAAGCTCCTAGACCTGATAAAAATATTCAGCAAAATTTCCAGATACAAAATTAATGTACACAAATCACTAGCTCTTCTATAAACCAACAGCTACCAAATGGAGAATCAAATGAACTCGACCCCTTTTACAATAGCTGCAAAAAATTAAATACTTAGGCATATACAAGGAGGCAAAAGACCCCTGCAAGGAAAACTACACAACACTGCTGAAAGAAATCATAGATGCCACAAACAAATGGAAACACATCTCATGCTCATGGGTGGGTAGAATCAATATTGTGAAAATAGCCATACTGCCAAAAATAATCTTCAAATTCAATGCAATTCCCATCAAAATACCACCATCATTCTTCACAGAATTAGAAAAAACAATTCTAAAATTCACATGGAACCAAAAAAGAGCCCCCATAGCCAAAGCAAGGCTAAGCAAAAAACAAAACAAAACAAACAAGCAAATAAATAAATAAAAATTCCTTCTAGACATTGGCTTAGGCAAGGATTTCATGACCAAGAACCCAAAAGCAAATGCAATAAAAACAAAGATAAATAGCTGGGCCTTAATTAAACTAAAGAGCTTTTGCACAGCAAAGGGAACAGTCAGCAGAGTAAACAGACAACCCACAGAGTGGGAGAAAATCTTCACAATCTGTACATCTGACAAAAAACTAATATCCAGAATCTACAACGAACTCAAACAAATCAGCAAGAAAAAACAGCCAAACAGCCATTGAAAATGGCCTAAATACATGAATAGACAATTCTCAAAAGAAGTTATACAAATGGCCAACAATATCGCTAATGATCAGGTAAAGGCAAATCAAAACCACAATGCAATACCACCTTACTCTTGCAAGAATGGCCATAATAAAAAAATCCAAAAACAGTAGATGTTGGCGTGGATGTGGTGAACAGGAGACACTACTACACTGCTGGTGGGAATATAAACTAGTACAATCACTATAAAAAACAGTGTGAAGATTCCTCAAAGAACTAAAAGTAGAAGTACCATTTGATCCAGCAATCCCATTATGGGGTATCTACACAGAGGAAAAGAAGTCTTTATACGAAAAAGATACCTGCACACTCATGTTTATAACAACACAATTCGCAATTGCAAAAACTTGGAACCAACCCAAATGCCCATCAATCAGTGAGTGGATAAAGAAACTGTGGTATATATATATATATATACATATATATATATGTATATATATATGTATATATATATGTGTATATATATATGTATATATATATATGTGTGTGTATATATATATATATATGTATATATATATGAAGGAATACTACTCAGCCATAAAGAGAATGAATCCAGGCAGGAACCTGGATGAGACTGTAGATTATTATTCTAAGTGAAGTAACTCAGGAATGGAAAACCAAACATTGTATGTCCTCACTCATAAGTGGGAGCTAAGGTATAAGGATGCAAAGGCATAAAAACGACACAATCGACTTTGGGGGTCTCAGGGAGAAAGGGTGGGAAGGAGGTGAGGGATACAAGACTATAAATACGGTGCAGCCTATACTACTCAGGTGATGGGCACACCAACATTTCACAAATCACCACTAAAGAATGTACTCATATAACCAACACCACCGTTCCCCAATAACCTATGAAAAAAAATTTAAAACACAATACAAGAATATATAATACAAGAATACTTACATTTATTAAAAATAACAATGGCAAATGATGTACAAAGGGACATGAAATGGTAAAACAAATTAAAAACATGATGGCTGGTTTTTAAAATATGTATATAAAGCTGGGTTAGGAAATACAGAAACAGAAGCATAGAACAAAAATGAAAGGAATTAAAATTATTAGAAAAAAATACACAAAGCATTAATCTAGAGAATCCATCATTTCTCTGGTAGTAACTGCAGACAGTGAAGACAGGATTTTAAAAAAAATACAAAATTTTGGATTATTCTGAATAAAGGAGTTTCCAGCTTGATAATAGGAGAATGAATGAAAAAAGACCCACAATTACACACTTTTTTGTACTTCAGGACACAAGATATAACAGCCTAAAGGTAGAAAAACAAAATAAAAACATATGTACACATATACACATATAGTAATGAGAATCATAATGACAGTAAGCTTTTTTTCCAACAACACTGGTTACTAGCACCTACTAGAATAATACCTTCAAGAAAATGACTTTCAACCTAGATTTCGGTAACTACCCAGACTATCAATCTAGTGTGGAGGCAAAATGAATTGAAAAGACTAAAAAATCTTCACTTATGTTTCATCTCAAGGAAAAGTACTGGAGAATATCACTCGATCACTCTGAACTAGTGCTCTGTTGTGGGTAACATTACTTTTTGCTTCTCAGAAACCTTAGATTCAATGCATTCCCTTTCCCTTTATAGCTGTTTAATTTCTTATTCACTGACACCTATTGTAAAATGTCCTGACTGCATAGACAGATGGAATTGAGAAAGATTCCTAGAATTCCTCAGTAAAGAAATGCCCTTATTAACTGTATTAGTCCATTTTCACACTGCTATAAAGAAATATCTGAGCTGGGTAATTTATTTTATTTTATTTTATTTTATTTTAAAAAGAGGTTTAATTGACTCACAGTTATACAAGCTATACAGGAAGCATCACTGGGCAGGCCTCAAGAGACTTACAACTATGACGAAAAGCGAAGGGGAAGTAGGCACCTCTTACATGGCCAGAGAAGGAGGCAGAAAGAGAAGGGGGAGGTGCTACACACTTTTAAACAATCAGATCTCATGAGCACTCACTATCATGAGAACAGCAAGGGGAAAATCCACCCACATGATCCAATCACCTCCCACCAGGCACCTCCTCCAACACTGGGGATTACAATTCAACATGAGCTTTGCTTTGGGCAGGGACACAAATCCAAACCATAACATTGACAATCCAGAGAAATCTTTTGCCCTAACTGGGCGCCAGATACATTCATATATACTCAAAGTAGATATAGATGCATCAGATTTTAAAAAATATATTGGAGTAGCTAGTAACATCATCAAAGTATCTCACCCTGATTCCATGATTATCAAGAAGTCTCCAGATAAAAATGAAGCTTTCTCTGAGACCTTGAAAAAATACTGATATTGTAGTCTGCTTTATAGTGGAATATTTTATTATATTTTAATAAATTGAAATATGTGTTCATTTATACAAATATATGTCTTTAAATTCTTCAAATGGATATTCTAAACTATATGTGCTTTTATGCCTGCTATTCATGACCTCCATGGGATGTATCAACACATAAACACATAATACCATTAATGTGAATAGTTCTCTTTGGGAGACTTAAATTAGCTTGTTGATCCAAATGTGTCTATTCTTTCTTAATAATTTATAGAAAATGAATATTTATTGTACATGTACAGTGGACAGAGCACTATTTTTAGTGCTTTATTTTTATTATCTAAATTTGATCATACCAGCAACCCTTACTATGAGTCTTTCTTTCTGGGCCTCTCATTTGCACAAGTTCTTTCTCAGCACAAGCGGGGTCCTTACACTATGTTATGTAGTCATACAGTTGGTTAGTTTTGCATAATTAGATTTTAACTGCCATCTGATAAGACCATTCATTCTTTCCAACCCCAATTATCATCTGTTAAAGTTAGCCTATTTGTCTGGAGGCAATAGAGAGTTCTGGGCATCCTGGTGATCTAGATAAATGGAAATTGAGTTGGGTGAGTTGGGGAAGCATTTGATTTGCATTTATGTGGACAAGATATTGTTAGCTAACTAATCCAGAGCAGAGATGGCTTCTAGAAATATTCCTACTGCCCCCTGTACCAAGTTACGCAGCAGCATGACAGAAAGACCACGGAGCAGGAGTTATAACGTTAGTGTGTCCTATGATATTGGACACTGGGTATATGAGGTAGTGGAGGAGAAGCCAGATTAGAAATGTAGGAAGCCTGATGGTGGTTTGTGGAAAATTCTCCCAAATCCTACAGATCATATACAAACTTAATAAGGGTTTCCTATGTTTGATAATACCAGTAATTTTCATATTACTGAGTAAAAGTTGTGAATTTAAAAAATTTAAATCATTGACAATAAAAAATTTCAATAAGCTATTTCAGAAGGAAGACTAAATTGCCTTTCTATTGTCTCCATATAAAACATACAAACTACTGGTTATATTAAGAACTAATAAAAATAATACAGAGGTATGTGAGACAGTAAATTTTAAAAATTTTGTTACCTTTCTGAGATGTAATAACATGTCTATCAAGCTTTTAGAATTTATAATTTGATATGATTTATTTTTTCAACTTTATAGTTGTATTTTTGTATTCTTTTTCTTAAAAGAGGCCTCAAAAAATGCTCTCAATCAATAAAAAAAGAAAATATCTCAACTCACCTCTCTTTGTAAGGTAGGTATTTTTGTCATCATTATTATTATTATTAGTTTAAGGATGAGATGACTAAACTCTTAGAGCTATGGTATAATTTTCTCCATTCACAAAGCACGTGCTAGAACTAGGACTCAAGCCAAAGTCAGTCTGAACATCTTATCTGTATGCTTAGCCATTATACAGCAACACATCTCTCAATATTTGTGAGTTAATCACAATACATCACACCTAGAAATTTTCTCCCTACCCCCTTGGTTTCTTTGATATTGTGCAGTATAATTCAATCAAATTAAAATAATTGTTTGATTATCTATTATGTATCAGACAGAGTACTAGGTTTATAAAACTGGTTAACTAGGTATATAACATTTTATTATTCGCTATTTTCTACAAGCAAACTTTCTTAATGGATGAAGAGAATTATGAGGAGATAATATCCATGTAATATAAAAAGTATCTGATAGAGATACAGATTGTACTGGAATACCTTGGAAGTACACTTGACTCCATCTCAGAGAAGGATTATGACAGAGGATTGAAATGCATTTAGTAAAGTATTATGGCAGGGGATTGGAATGAATTTAGTGCAAGATTCACACAATATGTGACATCTGAACTGAATATTAAAAGACAAATAGGATACAGCAAGGTGAAAAAGAAAGAACATTATATTATAAGCAGATGAAGTATCATGTTTAAGGGCACAGAGATATGATACGACAATTATACTTAAATAACTTCATGTAGTTTCATATTGCTGGAGTGTAAATAGCATCTGAGGGTAAGTAATTAGAAAAAATTATACCACAAAAGTGCCGGCTCATTGAGAGTTTTATATACCTTGGTAAAGACTTGGATTTTATCTTAGTTAAAATAAATCTGGAGTTATTAAAGAATTTAAAAGAGAGGTACGATTTGGTCTGCATTGTGATTAGCAGTAACATAGTGACACATGTTCAAAGTGATTCCGAGATAGACAGAAGACCTGGACCAGAGAGGAGACTGTGGCAACTACCAAGGTGAGACAAAGAGGGTCTGGACTATGCAGGACAGGGTCATGAGGACTGATAAAAGTGACTGGATTGGACATTAACTAAAAGTGGTGGGTGGGTGAGAAGTAGTTAAGATACCATGATAACTGGTATGGTTTGGTGAATGATTAGATGATGATACTATCATTTAAGGCAGAGAAATAAGATGAAAATCAAACATGAAAGAGAAAATGATAAGTTTACATTTGAACCTGTTAAATGTGAAGTGATTTTGAGATAATCTATTAGAAGTACTAAGCAGACAATTTACTATGACCCTTGGATATAGCGAGAGCTTTGAGATTCATGAGTGTTCTCACGGTGGGTTAAACTATGATTACAGATGAATCTACCAAAGTGGCACATAAAGCAAGAGAAAATGATCTCTGATAATAAAGACCAGTCATGGAATCAAATATAAAGGGACATCATGGATGAAAATCCAGTGACATTGTGTCTGGAATTGGTGGGTTCTTGGTCTCACTGACTTCAAGAATGAAGCCGCGGATCCTCGGAGTGAGTGTTACAACTCTTAAGGTGGCGTGTCTGGAGTTTGTTCCTTCTGATGTTCGGATGTGTTAGGAGTTTCTTCCTTCTGATGGGTTCGTGATCTCGCTGGCTCAGGAGTGAAGCTGCAGACCTTCGCGGTGAGTGTTACAACTCATAAAGGCAGTGTGGACCCAAAGAGTGAGCAGTAGCAAAATTTATTGCAAAGAGTGAAAGAACAAAGCTTCCAAAGTGTGGAAAGGGACCTGAGCAGGTTGCCACTGCTGGCTGGGGCAACCTGCTTTTATTCTCTTATCTGGCCCCACCCACATCCTGCTGATTGGTAGAGCCCAGTGGTCTGTTTTGACAGGGTGCTGATTGGTGCGTTTACAATCCCTGAGCTAGACACAAAGGTTCTCCATGTCCCCACTATATTAGATAGATACAGAGTGTCAACACAAAGGTTCTCCAAGTCCCCACCAGAGCAGCTAGATACAGAGTGTGGATTGGTGCATTCACAAACCCTGAGATAGACACAGGGTGCTGATTGGTGTGTTTACAAACCTTGAGCTAGATACAGAGTGCCGATTGGTGTATTTACAATCCCTGAGCTAGACATAAAGGTTCTCCAAGGCCCCACTAGAGAAGCTAGATACAGAGTGTCCATTGGTGCATTCACAAACCCTGAGCTAGACACAGGGTGCTGATTGGTGTATTTACAATCCCTGAGTTAGACATAAAGGTTCTCCACGTCCCCACCAGACTCAGGAGCCCAGCTGGCTTCACCCAGTGGATCCCGCACAGGGGCTGCAGGTGGAGCTGCCTGCCAGTCCCGCACCATGCGCCTGCACTCCTCAGCCCTTGGGTGGTCGATGGGACTGGGCGCCGTGGAGCAGGGGGAGGCGCTCATTGGGGAGGCTCGGGCTGCACAGGAGCCCATGGAGTGGGTGGGAGGCTCAGGCATGGCTGGCTGTAGGTCCCGAGCCCTGCCCCGCGGGAAGGCAGCTAAGGCTTGGTGAGAAATCCAGCGCAGCGCAGGTGGGCTGGCACTGCTGGGGGACCCAGTACACCCTCCGCAGCCGCTGGCCCGTGTACTAAGCCCCTCATTGCCTGGGGCCGGCAGGGCCGGCCGGCTGCTCTGAGTGCAGGGCCCGCCAAGCCCACGCCCACCCGGAACTCTGGCTGGCCCGCAAGCGCCGCGCGCAGCCCAGGTTCCCGCTCGTGCCTCTCCCTCCACACCTCCCTGCAAGCTGAGGGAGCTGGCTCCGGCCTTCGCCAGCCCAGCCTCCCACAGTGCAGCGGTGGGCTGAAGGGCTCCTCAAGTGCCGCCAAAGTGGGAGCCCAGGCAGAGGAGGTGCTGAGAGCGAGCGAGGGCTGTGAGGACTGCCAGCACGCTGTCACCTCTCAAACATGATAGAAAAGACTAACTCAAAAGCAAGGAGTAGTCCATGTCTCACACAAAAGAGAAATCAAGAAAAATCAAGAAGAAGGTACATTAGTTAAATCTGTGTTTTGGAGGCCATTGCTGTCTGTAGCTAGACTGTGTTGAGTGAAGGATGATGGTGACACCAGATTCTCATGAGTGAATGAATGAATGGAAGGTGTAAACTCTTAATCTAAGAATGTTATTTGATGAATGAAGAGGGAAATGTATGATAGTAAACATATACATATAGTTATAGCTCAAGTATTATTTAACAAGAACACAATATCTACTTTTCACATTCCAGCCCCATCCACTGTATATGTAACCACATAGTGTAAATAAACTAGCTCACAGAGACACATATACCCATAAAACTGAGGTGGATGTAGACATATATACCTGTATATAGATATGGACATATCCCTCTTAATTTTTACTCTTCTCTCCCTCTCTAATTTGAAAATGTTCTAACATTCTCATTTATTCTCCTCATTCTCATTCTCATTCATTCACTCAACAATATGTTTCATATGCTTATTGTATGTTAGGTGATAGAGTATAGGTTCCTGGAACAATTATTTTAGCAATTATTTATCCCAATCTGCTATATACATAATAGAGTACTAAACTCAATCTGGATAATGTAAAGCCTTCAATTTGAAAAATTAGTAAAGACAAAGCCTGAGATAACAAATCTATGGTGAATCTTAAAACATCAATTTTTAAAAATATGTCTTTATCTTTGTATCTGTGTTTCTTTTACTGGGAAATTTTTCAAAGAGCAGCAGATACATCAGCTCATGTTATACTTTTTCCCTCTTATTTTACCTGAGAACTTTAAGTGCCACTTTTTTCATTTCAATTTTGGTCTTATGCCCAGATGTTAACTTCTGAAAGTTAAACAAATCAATACAAGCCTTTACTTGAATAGTCTAACTTGGGGTCATCAGGAAAGAAATAACGAAGATAAGAGCTATCTCCTTGCCCCATGAGGAACACTTTTTTCACTTTTACTTCTGCCTTTTCAATGTTTTATGCATTTTGTATAGCATCTTCTTAAAAAGTCTTTCAAAGGCTAAAGCTCCTGGATTTCTTTACTTACAGTTTAACTCAGTTGGCTCCACTAGATAGTAAAATTGACTGCTTCTAATTCTCCTCACTCCTGTCTATTTCCCCACCCTAAGTGTTCTGACCTTGAGTTCACTTTTCAAAACACACCTGTTACAGATTAATAGTACATAAAAAATAGGTTGAAAATGTCATCACAATTCCTTTGTCACAATTGAATTTCATATTATTCTATCAAGAGTTAAATGAAAAAAATAAAATTTCAATGTTCATAGTGAGAAAGATAATAGTTTTATCTTCCAGTGGTCTCCTGCATAACATGTTTAAGTGAATGCATTTGTAATATGAAGCGAAACTTCATCTGTGTTCTGCGTAACTGCATCTTGGCTTTAGATGATTGCACTGTGGGATGTGAGAAGGAATTTTGAAATAAGCAGCCTGTTTCCTGCAGATAAGTTTATGTATCCTCCTTATCATCATGAAAAGAAGTTAAAATAATAAACTACCCTATAAACAAATTGCAAAATTTCAAATCCATTCTTGATTCTAATGGCTTTCAGTTCTGGTTCGGGATTATAGCATTGTACTATTCAAATCTGTGTTGCATTAAGCTCAGGAAAAATCCTCAAATGTTTTAAGGATGATTTATAACTTGCAGTATGTTTTCAAGATTTTGACATATGCTTATTAATAGTTAAATAGTCATGTCAATGCAGGTATAGTTCTACAGAACTGCCAAAATAATCAAGGCCAAAATACTAAATTTGAGAATGTGCACAAAATACATTCTCATCCGGGAGTTTTCCGACTGAATAATGATGCTATGTAGTTTTATTTAACAATGTGGAAATATGTGTGTGTGTGTGTGTCTGACAGAGAGAGAGAGAGAGAGAGCCCAGAACTGACAGTTACCTTTCATATGTGTCCTTAGTTTTGCTATCTCTATATCCTAACTAGTCGTGTTCATACATTCACCTGTTTCTATACTCACTTGTATGCTCTAGGACAGCTGTGACCTAAGACAATTTTCTTCTCTAAAACAAAGAGTCAAAGAGAAGTTATTGGGGCAGAAAATTGTATTAATATGGCAGTGTCCTTGACTCTGGTACCATATGATTAGTTTCCCCTTTAGACTCCTTCCTGCTCATTACCATGACTGAATTCCTGTTATGTCTGATCTTTGAGATCCTGACTTCCTTACTGAGATCTGGCCCCACTATAGCCATGTTCTAGCCCTTAGTTTCCAGGTGGGAAAATGACAAGTCATTCTTTTTTCCTTCCTTAATGTTTGTTCTGCTGCTGGCCATCTGTACCTTGACCTCTAAGTTTTAGACCTCCTGGACCTTGAGATATCACAGGTTTTATAGCCAATTATATATTTTTTAAATGTAAACACTAATGGAGACTTCTGTTTGGTAGCAGACATTTCTAATAAATTCAGAAATTTCCTCCATGTCATTCCTAAGCTATAGTCACATCATATCTACTTCAGTACATCTTGGGTTTGAGTTCATAATTTTTTTTTTTTTTTTTTTTTTTGAGACAGAGTCTCGCTCTTTCGCCCAGGCTGGAGTGCAGTGGCGCGATCTCTGCTCACTGCAAGCTCCACCTCCCGGGTTCACGCCATTCTCCTGCCTCAGCCTCCCAAGTAGCTGGGATTACAGGTGCCCGCCACCACGCCTGGCTAAGTTTTTATATTTTCAGTAGAGACGGGGTTTCACCGTGTTAGCCAGGATGGTCTCGATCTCCTGACCTCGTGATCTGCCCGCCTCGGCCTCCCAAAGTGCTGGGATTACAGGCGTGAGCCACCGCGCCTGGCCCATTATATTTTAAGGTGAATAATTTCTATCTTGAACAGCATTTTTTATTGTAACAAGTGTAATGACTGGATTATTTGGATGTGTCAGCTGCTATATTAAATAGTCACATGTTGGGTATTTTCATCCACTGTCAACTTTTACATGCATTCTAAGAAGTACATTGCAATGCCCATGAAATCCATCTATACTGGGACTCCTTATATGTATGATATACTGAAAACTTTGATACATGCTAGATTTTAGGGGAGAAAAATGAATGTGGCATCATGTTAGATGGCTAGAGGTTGTAAAGGAGTCACCTGAGGTAATCAGTTGCAGGACCTGATTGATGGTCAAAGTGCATGATGTTTGGTACAGCATGAGACTGCAGTTAAACTGCCCAGACATAGCCTTATGGCACTGACCATTTACTCTGGTGTTACCAGGGATTGGTGTTACCATGCAACTATAATGAGAACTCGTCTTCCAAAGAACAGGCTTGAAAAAAGGATATTGTGTCCTGAATTGGCCAGAGAAAATATTTTGAAGTCCAGGGCAGTGCTACACCGATACACAGGCAGCTCAAGTGTAATATCAGATGCATAGCTTATTAGTTATTTAAAATTAAAATAGCACAGGCAGATGTCTTAATAATCTCAGCCACTGAGATATGTCCTTGCCTCTGATGGGTAACTAAAAGGAGTAGAGCAGCCAACCCAGTTGTCTATCAATATAGGTAGCATTGATGTGGAATTGTGAACAGTGAAAATAAGACAACCAGCAAGAGCAGTAGCAGAAACAGTGGAACAATTTGCATGTGTGAATTCCTATCTATCTTACTTCCAATAATTTTTGAAATCTAAGTGACATAGATAAAAGGGGAAGGACTGAGGTTTTAGCTCAGGGAAATGTGAATTACATGTTCAGCAGATTTATGTATCAATTGCATGTATGTATTTGGACACACACACACATACCATGTCATTCCTTTGCCCCAAATTTTGCAACAGCTCCCCATTTCACTTAGAGTAAAAGACAAGATGCTTAAGCTATCCTACATGAGGTGATACTAATTACCTCTTAGCCTTCATTCCTTATTATTCTTCCTTCATTACTATTCTTCAACCCCCCTCCATGTCTTTTCTCAAATGCCTCTTCCTCAGTGAAACCTACACTAACTTCCTCTTTTAAAACTGCAACCATTCCACACTCAGCTCTCTTAATCTCCCTTTTCCTATGTACTTTTTATTTTTACTGTCTCACTTATCACCTTCTAAAATGCTTATCATTGGTTCTCTTACTACTCCTAGATTGTTAGCTCCATGAGGGCACAGATCTTGGTACACTCATGTAGCCTAAGGAACTAGAACAGTGTCTGGACAGACTTAACTGTTCAAAAAAGTACTTTTTAAAAGAAATGAAGAAACTAGAGACAGTGTTGAATGATTTGCCCCTTTTGGTGGACACTTGGGGTAGTATACATTTTATTAAAGTCCTTAAGTTGTGAAGGAATTAGAAACACTGGGTTTCAGCTATGGTAGTGATAACCCTTAAAAAGGACAGGTCAGCGGTCTCCTATGCAGCCATGAAAAGTATGAGATCCTGTCCTTTGCAGAAATATGGATGGAGCTGGAGGTCCTTTTCCTTAACAAACTAATACAAAAAACAGAAAACCAAATACCACATGTTCTCACTTATAAGTGGGAGCTACATAATGAGAACACATAGACACAAAGAAGGGAACAGCAGACACTAGGGCCTACTAGATGGTGGAAGGTAGGAGGAGAGCGAGGATCAGGAAAAAGAACTATCAAGTACTATGCTTAGTACCTGGTTGATTAAATAATCTGCAAACCAAACCTCCATGATTACAGGTTTATCTATATAACAAATCTGCGTATGTTCCCTTGACCCTAAAATAAAAGTTAAAAAATAAAAAGAGGTCAGAAATCCCTAGGCAAGTACATTGTTGTTCCCAGACAGCAGAAGATATGGGAAGCAAAAGTGCTTTAGGAAGAAAAAAGGCATTCAAGGAAATCTGAAAGGGTGACACGGAGTTTGTACAATTCACATGTAATAAAATGTACTTGTCTGTTGTGTTTACTGTTTGTCTTACTTCCATTATAATAAAAACTCTATAGAGATAGGAATTTTTGTCTATTTTGTTCACTGATACATTCCAACACTGAGAAATTTGGGTACATAGTCGAGGCTCAATACATATTTGCTAAATTAAGACAAATACTGCTTTGATCATGTATATTATATTCCTGCATATTCTTTAGTTCACATTTATGAGCACTGTAACCAAAATAAATGATCCCAAATTCTAGTCATGTGTTAGAGGGAATTTTTTTCTCTTCTGTTTTAATATTAGTGGCTTTGTTAGAAAAAAAAAACAACAGAAAAATGAGCAAAAGTTGCAGGAGGTTCAAACCATGGATCCATACACAGTAGAATAATGTAGCAAACATGCTGACTACAAGAGCAAGGACCTTCATATTATTTCTTCCAATTACAGAAATGTCGCATATAAAGAGAAAAGAATGAAAGGAAATCTGTCCAAAGCCACGAGAAGACAAATAATGAGTATTAAGACAACCAAAAAAGATACCACTAAGACTCTATATGCAACAGCTCACCATGATTCACCACAATACATGAAAGCCCTGTTTTTCCTCCTTAAACTCAGGGAAAAAAAGGCTTCTGGACTTAAAATGTTAGCGTTTAAAGAAAAAATCTGAGTAAAAGCAACATAGATTAGCCCTTAATTTGCTATCATTTTAGAGAAAGTAGGAAAATGTACAAAAACTAGTTAAAAAAAAAGACTCCTCCAAGTTGAGTGCCACCTAAGGAAGACAGGGAATGATGTTTTAAAATACCACAGTGAATCCGGCTCTCACAGTTGTAGTGTCATGTCAGCTTCAGGCTGAAATTCTCAGCTTCAGTTGACTGGTGAGAGGCAGGACAAAGTGAAAGAAAAGGAATAATCTTGATATTAAGTAGTGGTGAGAAATAAGAAAAATAATTATAAACAATTATAAGTCTTTTATTGACCTGGTAACTTCATATATTGACTATATGACTAAGAGGCTAATTTCTAAAGAAATTATCACTGTCGGGTATGTGCAGGATACATTGGAGACATTATGCCAGGAATAAGAAGATACACAAGGGTCCACGGATTCACAGTGACCAACTGCAATTTATTTAAATATTTTATTTAGTAGAGTATGTACTATGCTAAAGAAAGATATATGGACATTATTCCCAGTTAAGTTTTGTGTAGTAAAAGTAAGGGTTCACTCTAACACTCATCCCAAGCACACCACACACATAAATACAGAGATGCACATATCCCACTTCTAAAATGAGTACTGTCCCAACAGACTTCTCCAAATTAATTCACGACATATTTCCTTGGGTAGTCCTTCAGTACTGAGGACTGGAAGGAGAGGCTGGGGAATTTGAATCTCTCCTCTCTAAATGTAATGTCAGATATAGATATATGGAACCACACAAAATTTCATTCCAGATAACTTAGAGAGCAGTCCTAGAGATTGTAGTGTCTTCAAGAAATAAGTTAAGTGATTTTTATTAGAGAATTGCTCATTAACACAAATAGCTCTGTGGCCTTTCAGCCAGATGCTTTCTCTATCATGATAGAGTACAGTAAATCAGGCCTTATTTAGATATAGGTAGAGAAACACATTTTCAGAAAATGCATTAAAACAGTGCTCTGTTCATATTGCCCTAAATTACTGTCAAGAGAGCCAGGACATTCAGAGCTGGATTTGAGGACTTGGTATTAAAATACTCCTATGGCTAAAGGGTCAAAGAGAAGACATTATATATTTATAATAAAAGTATTTATCTGCTAGAAAATAGGAGCCCTTGATAATTCACAGTAGTATTTAAAAGGATAGTTTTAAAAATTAATTATCTGAAGATGCTTATTGTTGAGATAGGTTTTGATTAAAATTTCAAGGAGCATTAACAGAAAGTGTCCCAGATGCTGGCCTGTCTATATTACTGTAGCAGAGTTTGTCTAGTTGTTTATCAAACTCTTTGTAAAGGAAATGGCTTCACTTTAGTCAGGAGTGGCCTGAGGCGGCCTTCTGGTGCTGCATGACTCGGCGGGTTTGGAGCGCAGGAGCACAACCCCACACATTATGTAACCACACCACGTGAGGCACATTAGGTGATCACCCACGTGAACTCATGCTTGGCTCAGAGCCCTTTTGTTTGTAAAAGTATAATTACCCTGCTAATGCTGTACATATGGCTTGCTCATGTGCCAAGAGAGAGTAAATCCATGTCAAAACTATCTACGATTCCTTGAGTGTTTTTCCAGCTACCTGCTACTTGCCCACTGACTCCTCTCAGACCTCAGTTAGAACCTGACACTTTTTGGCTCTTGCTTCCTAGAAAGACTATCACAAAACTAGCCTATATTCTTCCCTTGCAGTTAGAAATAGCTGTGCAGCTGAGTTTCAGATAATGGAATGAGAATAGAAGTCAGGTTTGCCACTTTCAAATTTGGCCCAAAAAAACCTACCACATGACCCTCCACATTCTTTCTACCTGTCTCATCAAAAGATGCAAAAGGTTGAGCTGAGAATGCTGACATCCAGGGCATGACAAAGCCACAGGTAGGAAGAACATAGGTTGCCTAAATTATTGCATGGAAGATTACCCACATGACATAGTTACATGAGCTAAAAAGTAAGCTTCTATTCATAAAAGCAAAGACAAGGCATCAACTTAAATGCCCGTCAGTGGTAGACTGGATAAAGAAAATGTGGTGCATATATACCATAGAATACTACACAGCCATAAAAAAAGAATGAAATTATATTCTTTGAGCAACATGGATACAGCTGGAGGCCATTATCCTAAGCAAATTAACATAGGAACAGAAAACCAAATATCACATGTTCTCACTTATAAGTGGGAGCTAAACATTGATTACACATGGACATAAAGATGGAAACAATAGACACTGATGACTATTGTAGAGGGGAGGGAAGGAGGAGGGCAGGGGTTGAAAAACTGTTGGGTACTATCCTCAGTACCTGAGTGATGGGATCATTCATACCCCAAACCTCAGCATCACCCGATATGCCCGTGTGAAAAGAAAATAAACCTTGGGACCTCAAAATCACTAAGCCAAAGGGAAAAGCTAAACTGGAAACTGTGCAAGGTAAACTTGCCTCAAATTTTATTTTTAAATAAGCTAGCTACAAAGATAAAAAAGTTGCATACCTCCCTCATAATTTGCCCACAAGGAAATTCCTTGTAGGCCTCAAGATCTTTACTCTAACACAGTTATATTGAATCACACCCTGACAATGTAAATTGATAGCTTATCTTCACAAGTGTTAGAGGGAAAGCCATCCTTCTGGTCACCTGAGACAAAAACATGTCTAATTGTTTCTTCTGCCCTTTGGCTTATGTAAAAATGCAGATCTACTGAGCCAGAGTAAGCCATAAATGACTATACCTCTAGTCTCCTCTCACACGTAAATTGTATATTCAATGAAAGGCTGATCAAAGACTCAGAATAATGCAACCATCTGTCTCCTATTTACCTGTGACTTGGAAGTCCCCACTTTGAATTGTCCAACCTTCCTGGACTAAACCCGTATATGCCTTACATATCTTGATTGACGTTTCATATCTCCCCAAAATGTCTAAAAGCATATATCTACCTATAATCTGGAAGCCCCCCTTTCTAAACTGAACCAATGTATATTTATACATATTGATTGATGTCTCATGTAACCCTAAAGTGCTTAAAACCAAGCTGTGCCCCAACCACCTTGGGCACATGTTGTTAGGACCTCCTGAGGCTGTCATATGTGCATCCTTAACCTTGGCAAAATACACTTTCTAAATTGAGACCTGTCTCAGACACTTTGGGTTCACACCCATGTAACAAACCTGCACGTGTACCCCCTGAATCTAAAATAAAAGTTGAAAATATTAAAAAAGAGAATTTGAAAGATCAGCCATTGTGGTTTTACATGCACACATACACATATATTATTTTGTTAGCCAGACAGTGATGATTGTCAAGTCAAAGACCTAAGGTCAGACTGAAAATTCATGATTTAGTTTTGTAGAAAGAAAAGAAAAAAAAATTTGAGAAAAAAATAAGCTTCTAATAGGTTAAATGTCAAATTTGAGGATTGCTTTTAAAGGGATTGGTTTACCCTTATTTTGGGAGTGATTACCCTTATTTTGTCTCCAGCTAAGGTATGAAGGTCTGGAGAGTATCTTCAGACCCTCAATAAAACTTGCCTCATCCTAAACGGATCCTGGTATGAGGAATGTAAGAATTCCTTTCTTATCTTGACATGGTGTAAGGCCCAGGGGAGGCCCAGGCAACACTCTTGGCAGGCTAATGTTACTTTCTAGCCTTTATGTGAGGGCACTGGCCCTCTCAGTTTTAATTTTAACCTAACTACTCAGTCAGTGCTAAAGCAGCTTTTATGGAGGCCTGTGCCTGTTCAACCATTAGTGAGATCTCACCTGCCACACTATGCCATGTCTCCTAAATCCAGTAAGCATATATAATATATAGTAAAACAACAAGTGAAAACAAACAAAAACTAGGGTTGTCCTCAAACTACCTGGTCGTATCTTCAAAACTTTAAATTCTATGTAATTAAAGATACACTGACAGCTTCGTGAAGAACTATTCCATGGGGATATTAAGGCAAATCTAAAATATAAGAATAATGTACTGTTTTAAAACCTTTGTGCATAAGTGTAACGGCCCAGCAGGTTCCCCTTTCTCACTGCCTAGACAGAGCCAATTTATCAAGACAGAGAATAGCAAAAGAGAAAGAGTTTAATTCAAACAGAGGCAGCTGTATGGGGGACTGGAGTTTTATTATTACTCAAATCAGTCTCCCTAAGAATTCGAGGATCAGAGTTTTCAAGTATAATTTGGTGGGCAGGGCCTCAGGAAGTGGGGAGTGATGACTGGAGATAAAGTCATAGAGGGTGGAAGTGAGAAAGTGAGTTGTTCTTGCTGTCTTCTATTCATGGGTGGGATCACAGAACTGATTGAGCAAGATTACCAGTCTGGGTGGCATCAGCTGGTGCATCAGTAATATCTCAAGCACTGATCTTTGGTTTTACAACAGTGATGTTATTCCCAGGAGCAATTTGGGGAAGTTCAGACTCTTGCAGCTAGAGGCTACATGGCTCCTAAGTAATTTCCAATCTTGCAGCGAATCTGTTAGTCCTATAAAGGCAGACTGGTCTTCAGGAAAGGAGAGGGTTTCTTTCAGAAAAAGGATATCACTTTTGTTTCAAAGTTAATCTACACACTAAATTCCTTCTCAAGGTTAGTTCAGCCTCTGCCTGGGAATGAACAAGGACAGCTTAGAGGTTAGAACCAAGATGGAGGCGGTTAGGTTAGATCTCTTTCACTGTCATAATTAACTCAGTTCTTCTTTTTTTTTTTTTTTTTTTTTTTGCAAATGCAATTTAATAATGGCTAGGTGATATTTGAACAGTGATTTGAGGTTTTAGAAACTTGTGTTATACAGGAGTTTAGGCTAGAAAGTATCCTTTATTTACCACATGCATACCACTTGTTGAAACTTAAGAATTATTTGCTAAAAAAGACAAAACAAATTCAAGGGATATTTATAAACGTCCTGATGTCTGCACACTTGTCACAGATATGTTTGGGGTGCTATTCAAAGCATGAAATTATTTTCTCCATCATATGATTATTTGGTGCCAAGCTGGACACAATGTGGCCCTTATGGTAGTGGCATTAGAAAATTTTTATCATGGACAAGGCTTAGAAGAAAATGTTCTCTTCTTGCTTCACTCACTAAATAATGAAAACATCTCAGGACCACTTAGGAATTGCTGGGATGTGGAATATTGCCTTTTAGAAAGTGTCAAGTCCTGATAAGACAATTAAGCAACAAGGGGGAAGGGGCCCCAGGAGGGGATAAACCGTAGGTTGGGGAGAGCCCCAGATAGGGAAGAACAATGAACAATTGTTCTGAGAAATGACCTATCACAAATAGCCCATGGGCACAATGATCTCACTCCACACTTATCCCAGCAGCACGACCTTATTCCTCATGTAGCCCCTCCAGCAAGACCCTATAAAACTTCCCTCCAGCCCCTGCCTGTTTGCAGACAGCTCTTCCTCTGTCGTGCTGCCCACTGCAACCTTGCAGCATATTTTCATACTTTTTCTAATAAATCTGCCTTTCTTTACCTACAACTGTCTTAGTAAAATCCTTTACAACCCACAACACCAGCCCCGGCTACTTTCACTCATGACGGAAAGCTTTAAGTGGTGATGCAATTTATGACTCTGGAAAAATTTATAACTCAAATGAGAAAGTCCAAGTTTTCCAAGAGGGGGGAGGAATATTTCCTAGAGGGAAATTATAATTTTGTTCCTGAATTTAGCATAAACTACACTGAGATAGCACATATTTGACTTGTTTTTGCTATTCAACATTCAATACTATCTTATTACTATTACTATGCCTCTCTTTGAAGGGAATTCCCCAGTTTTTACAAAAGGGCAAAATAAGTGGGCCAAATACTTTGTCTCCCCTAGAAATCTCCCGACTTGGATTAATGTTTTACTATTGAACTGGTGACACAAAAACTATAGTAATAGTGGAATTCAGATCTCTGCTCATAGCACGAAACAAATTATCTTTTTCTTTTCCTTTCTTTTTTTTTTTTTTTTTTGGTAATGGTAGATCTATTCTGAGTCCTAAAATCTTCAGAGTAGGACTCAGAATACAATTGCCTTGGGGCAATTATCTGTCATCTGGCCCATCCCTCCATCCTCTTGTCTATTCTGTGAACCTCTGATATCTTTGCAATTATTCTGTTCTCATTATTAACTTTGTTTTTGTTTAAGATTGTTTCTATTGTTTATAATAAGACCTGACACAACTGGTTAACATAACGTTAATATCAGATTGTGTACTACCTGTGGTGAGGGCAATGGCAGCTGCAGATATTTTTTCTGTTTCTAAAAACATTAATTATATATTGTGCTTGGCTTTCTGAGAAGGGAAAGAGCTGAAGACCTGGTGCAGGGCACAGTTTGTTTTGTTGTGCTTGTTTTGGCTCAAGACAACCAATGATATCACATCCAAATGTGAAATATTTGCTCACTGCATTTGGTGGGAAATCATGCCAACTCTGGAAGCTCACCTGGAAGCTCTCATAGAAGACGGTCCCTGGAGCCAAGGTGAATACTTTTCTTGTCTTAAGAACCACATAGCAGAAGCATTGGGAACACAATTTTCATGGCAAAATGTCTAATCAGTCAAACAAAATTTTCCTACCATGGAGAAGTAGGCATAGATTTCCACAATGACGGTGATTTTTAGCAGACTGTATATATATTAATTTTTGCCTTCTTCATATAATAGAATTTACATAGGCACAGGGTTACCCAGGTAATGACTATGTTTTCCAGCTTTCTTGCCATGTAACATATCTCAAAATGAGAGCAGAAATGATTATGGCACTTACAGTCATCTCCTTAAATATGTGAAAGTGTGTTTCCTGCTATTTCTTCCTTCCAATTGTGTGAAATGCAGATATAATGGCAGAAGCCAAAACAGCCACCTTAAACTCAGAGGGAAAATACATTAAGTGTGAAAAAACAAAACAAACAAAAAAAAACACTCAACAAACTGTGCATCTATCTCAGATCTATTACATGGCATATTAATCAACTTCTATCATTTAAGCCTCATACTTGTGGTCCTCATCGGTATAGTAGTTTAGTCTATACCCTTAAACTAAGGAAATAAGGTTTGTTAGGATTACTCTGATTAAATGAGGCATTTTAAGCGTACTTTATGAAGTATTTTACTTAGCTTTGTTACATAACTCTAGTATCAACTCCTATCACCCTTAGGGCAATACATGCCTTAAAAATGTCAACTATACCATCTTTAGCAGTTTCAAGACACTAGAATGTGAGAAAACAAAGGCCAGTGAAGCCAAAATATTTTATTTCTATTAAATAAATATGAGCTCATCTGAAACAATGCCACTAAATTATCTCTATTTTTTAAATTTTTATGTTTGAGAAGAAATCTCTATTGCACATTAAATTCTAAATTCTTTGGGATAATTCCTCGATAGGATAGAAAAGGTTTCTCAGCATTTTCGAATGCCTTGACTTGATTATTATTTTTTGAGGATACTTGAGTCTATTTTTTAACTATTTGTTTTTATAGACTTTATTTGTAGAGCAGTGTTGACATGGGAGGAGAACAGGGAAGTGCTGGGTAGAGAAAAGCGGGTCCCTCGCTAGGGCTCCACCCTCGGGCATAGGCCCACGGACTTAGGTGAGGACAGGCACTCTTGCCTTTGTGCCCAAACGTTGCATTTTCCAAGACACCCCTGGCCCACCATACCCCGATCCTGTGCGTATAAAAACCCGAAGACCCTATCAGGCAGAGACAACAAGCGGCTGGATGTCAAGAGGAGCACATCAGTGGAAGAGCACGCTCACAAGCACTAGCAGATACCAGCACTCAGGCAGGCCATCCACCGGCAGAACAATGCGGAGTTTGGCCAGGGCAGTTGGAGAAGAGTCCAGCTGCTGAGAGGCCCGACTCCAGGGGAAACCTTCCCACTCCATCTCCCTTCTGGCTCCTTCATCTGCTGAGAGCTACTTCCACTCAGTAAAACCTGGCACTCATTCTCCAAGCCCAGGTGTGATCCGATTCTTCTGGTACACCAGGGCAAAAATCCCTGGGATACAGAAAGCCCCCTGTCCTTGTCATAAGGCTGAGGTTCTAATTGAGCTGATAAACACAAGCCACTTATGGACAGCTAAACTAAAGGAACACTCTGTAACACACGCCCACTGGGGTTTCAGGAGCTGTAAACATTCACCCCTAGGCATTGCAATGGGGTTGGAGCCCTACAGCCTGCCTGTCTCTATGCTCCCCTAGAGGTTTGAGCACTGGGGCACTGAAGAAGCGAGCCACTCCCTCTGTCTCACACCGTGCAAGAGGGACAAAGGAACCTTTCCCATTTCAGTTTTAGGTTAAGAGAAAAATTGAGCAAAACGCAGATTTCCATATATCCTCTTCCCACTCCAGTGAAGTTTTCCTTGTTATTAACATCTTGCACTAGTGTGCTGTATTTACAAAAATGGTTGAGCCAATATTGATACATTATTATTAACTAAAGTCCATAGTTTACATAAGGGTTCACTCTTTGTGTTGTATAGTTGTACCAGTTTAGACAAATGCATAATGTCATATATCTACCATTATAGTATTATATATAAAACTTTGACTCCCATAAAAATTTTCTGGGTTCCACCTATTCATCTTTTCCACTCTCCCACCAAACCCTGGCAAGTATTGATCTTTCTACCCTATTTTTTGCCTTTTCCAGAATTCCAGATGGTTGGAATTATATAGTATATAACCTTTTATGCAGGCTTTATTCACTTAGCTATACGGATTTAAGTTTCCTCCATGTCTTTTCATGGATGCATAGTTCATTTCTTTTTATTAACTTTTAATAAACTATGTATGGATTTTCCACAGTTTTTTTATTTATTGGCCTATAGAAGAATATCTTGGTTACTTCCAATTTCTGGAAATTCTGAATAAAAGTACTACAAACACTTGTATGCAGGCTATTTAGAGGACATAAGTTTTCAACTTATTTGGGTAAATATCTAGGGGTGCAATTGTTGGACCATATGGTAAAGTGTTCTTACTTTGTGGAAAACTCCAAAACAGTCTTCCAAAGTGGCTGTACCATTTTAGATTATCACCAGCAATAAATGAAAGTTCCTGTTCAATATCCTTCCAAGTATTTGGAGGTGTTAGTGCTTTGACCTTTAACTATATTAATAGATTTATAGTGATATGCCATTGTTGTTTTAATTTGCGATTCCCTAATGACATCATGTTGAGCATCTTTTCATATGCTTTTTTGCCATCTGTATATCATCTTTGATGAGGTATCATTTCAGATTTTTGCCTTTTAAGTGTGTTGTATATTTCTTCTTTTGAGTTTTAAAGAATTTTGCATATTTTCTATACCAGTCCTTTATCAGATAAAAGTTTTGCAAATATTTTCTCACAGAATCTGGCTTGTCTCTTCATTCTCTTAGTAATGACTTTCAAAGTGCAGAAGTTTTAAATTGTAACGTAGTCCAATTTATCAACTTTTTCTTTCATAAATCATGCTTTTAGTGTTGCATCTAAAAAAAAAGTCATTATCAACTGTAAGGTCATCTACATTTTCTACTATATTGTCTTCTAGACATTCTATAGTCTAGAATGGAAGACAGGTTTTACATTTTATGCTCAAGTCTCCTATACCTTTTGAGTTCATTTTTATGAAAGGCTAAGGCTTGTATATAGTTTCATATTTTTACATGTAGCTTTCCATTTATTCTGGAAATATTTGCTAAAAAGACTATACTTTCTCCACTGAGTTACTTTTAATCTTTTGTAAAAGATAACTTGACTATATTTGCTGGATCTATACCTGGGCTCTCTATTCTATTGCACTGCTCTTTTATTTTCTTTCACCAATACAATACAATACAATACAACACAAAACAATACAATACTCAGTTACAGTAGTCTTGTATAAAGTCTACAAAGTGATTCATGCCAGTCCTCCAAATTTCTTTATCATGTTCAGTATTTTGTTGATAATTTTAGGTCTTTTGTCTATTTATATACATTTTATGATTATTTCATCAATATCTAGAAACTACCCTGCTTCAATTTTGATTGGGATTGCAACGAATTTATAAATGAAGTTGGGAAGAATGATATCTCAACAATATTGAATCTTCCTATCCATGAACATAGAATACCTCTCCAATTGTTGAGGTCTCCGTGATTAGTTTTGCAGGGGTTTTTTAATACAGAAATTGTACTTATATTTATAGCTAAGTATATACATTTTTTGATACAAATATAAATGATGTCATTTTTAATTTCAAATTTCAATTATTCATTACTGATATGTAGGAAAGCAATAACTTATATATTAACTTTGTATACTCTCATCTTGCTATAATTTCTTGTTAGTGCCAGGAAATTTTTGTTGATTCTTTGAAACTTTCTACATAGACAATCCTATTGTTTGCCAACAGACTTATTGTTTTCCTCCCTTCACAATCTATACGTGTTTTAATTCCTTTTCCTTTGTTATTACATTAGCTAGGACTTCCAGTATGATGTAGAATAGAAACAGCAAGAGGGAACATTTTTACCTTGTTCCTGATGTTAGAGGAAATGCATCTAGTTTCTGATCATTATGTGAGATGCTACTCATAATGTTATTTTAATTCTTTATTATAAGTATTTTTAGAACAGTCCTGGACTGGGCTTTCTTCCTGTGGATTGATACTTTTAGAGGGCCCTTTTAATATATTTTTGTACCCCTTTTCAGCTATATAGGTTTTTTCTTTTATGTTTTAAATTACTTTTTTCATTCACTGTTCTCTGCACACTCTAGAAGTCTTGTGGTTTTTAGTACCTTCATTTATTAGTTCCAAATTCACAGATTCTTTTTAGTAATTTTAGTTCTTTATACCTGATCTTGTTTTATATCATTGACTTTTAAATTTCTCTTTGAATTATCTCTATGACTACTGGGGATATTTTTCTATTTGTCTATCCAGTGATTTCTAGTTGTGTTTCACATCCCAGGACTCTGTTTATTATTAGAGGACACAGATGGCTTCTCACCTAAATGAGCAACTTTCCACTCTGGATTTCTGAGACTGGCTTATTTTAGAATGCATACAGTATGGTACAGACAGTTTTATGGGACTCTCTCCCAAATGCAAAATCTAGAGTTTCCTAGATTGCCATTCTCATTTCAACTCAGTGAGAAGCAGAATACTAAGTTTTATTTCCCTTATAGTGTTATAGAGGCAAATTTACTAATCTTCAAACATGGATAAATTTACTAAGTTTTAAAATTTATTAATTTCTAATGTTTCTAATTTACAAATTTACAGATTTACAAATGTACAATTTACATTTACAAAATTACTAATTTATACATTTATAATTTAAAATTTTAGTAATTTAAAGATTTCAATTTTTACAGAATTACAAATTTACTAAAGTATTGTTACAAAATTGCTGATCTTCAACCAGCAGTGAATAGTGAGTGAATAAAGAATGTTGATTCTTATAATCGGTAGATGCAACTGTTTTTAACTTACCTTTACTTCGAATTTTTTTTTGCTCCAATTCTCTGTGGTTACCTACTGCAAAAGTTTACCTGTATTCTTCTTTGTACATCCTCTGAATTAGATTCTTTAATTATCAGTTAAATATCCACTAATTATATCTTTCAGCAATGTATGAAAATCTTTTTGCCACTCATTTTCTACCGTTAGTTTTTTTGTAATTGATTCTATAGAAAGTCGAGTTGTAAATGAATGTGCTAGGTGAATCATTATTTTTCAGAAGCTAGAAGTAGAAAATTTTAGAATGACACTCAAACATTTTTTGTAATGTAGGATAGACTAACACCTCTGAATTCTTACAAATATTTGTTAATACAAAAGAAAAGATGTTTCCTCCACATCTTATGACATAAGGAATTATGTACTATATTGATTTATAGAATAAAATATTCAAAGCAAAGAAAAAGAAGATTCTATTGAAATTGCTTATTTTTTCTCCAGGAATTATCTCCAGGAACACATTTATTAAATTTTTAAACTTTAAAAAAGTAAAGCTTATTTTCTTATATAATATTATACTATGCTAACAGTGATATCATGATGATTTAAGACTTCAAGTCAAATTCTATGAACCCAAATACAAGTCCAAGTCAAATCTCAAAATCTATGTCACTATATTATTGTTCATATTCTGCAACCTGGTTTAGAAATTTTACCTTATGATATGGTTTAGTTGTGTTACCACCCAAAACTTACCTTGAATTGTAGCTCCTACCATTCCTACATGGTGTAGGAGGGACCCAGTGGGAGGTGACTGAATCATGGGAAGGGGTCTTTCCCATACTGTTCTTGTGATAGTGAATAAATATCACAGATCTGATGGTATTATGAAGGGGAGTTTCCCTGCACAAGCTCTCTTCTCTTGTCTGCTGCCATGTGAGATGTGCTTTTCATCTTCCACCGTGATTGTGAGGCCTCCCCAGCCGTGAGGAACTGTAAGTCCAATAAACCTTTCTTTTGTAAATTGCCCAGTCTGGGGTATGGCTTTATCAGCAGTGTGAAAATGGACTAATACATCTTATTAAACCAAAAAATATTGCACTGAAGGGTCTTCAAGTAATCCTTAACTAATGTTCCCTGAAATACACATACTTTAATAACTGTGACCTAAAGCAAAAAGTTTCCCTTTCAATTAGCCATACAATTTTGATATATTTTAAGATTGTATGTTTTATAAAACATTTAGTACAAAATATGTGCTGGGTTTTGTGCGCAGGTATGTGCTTTTACTATAATCCCTTAAACATTTTAAAACATAACATTACCATATAGGGGTATCTATACCAATAGGGTTTCAGTGGTATACTCATACACACTGAAATAAAAGAGGATACAAACAAATGGAAGAACATTCCATGCTCATGGGTAGGAAGAATCAATATCGTGAAAATGGCCATACTGCCCAACGTAATTTATAGATTCAATGCCATCCCATTCAAGCTACCAATGACTTTCTTCACAGAATTGGAAAAAACTACTTTAAAGTTCATATGGAACCAAAAAAGAGCCCACATTGCCAAGTCAATCCTAAGCCAAAAGAACAAAGCTGGAGGCATCACGCTACCTGACTTCAAACTATACTACAAGGCTACAGTAACCAAAACAGCATGGTACTGGTACCAAAACAGAGATATAGACCAATGGAACAGAACAGGGCCCTCAGAAATAATGCCGCATATCTACAACCATCCGATCTTTGACAAACCTGAGAAAAACAAGCAATGGGGAAACGATTCCCTATTTAATAAATGGTACTGGGAAAACTGGCTAGTCATATGTAGAAAGCTGAAATTGGATCATTTCCTTACACCTTATACAAAAATTAATTCAAGATGGATTAAAGACTAAAATGTTAGACCTAAAACCATAAAAACCCTAGAAGAAAACCTAGGCAATACCATTCAGGACATAGGCACGAGCAAGGACTTCATGTCTAAAACACCAAAAGCAATGGCAACAAAAGCCAAAATTAACAAATGGGATCTAATTAAACTAAAGAGCTTCTGCACAGCAAAAGAAACTACCATCAGAGTGAACAGGCAACCTACAGAATGAGAGAAAATTTTTGCAATCTACTCATCTGACAAAGGGCTAATATCCAGAATCTACAATGAACTCAAACAAATTTACAAGAAAAAAAACAACCCCATCAAAAAGTGGGTGAAGGATATGAACAGACACTTCTCGAAAGAAGATATTTATGCAGCCAAAAGACACACGAAAAAATGTTTTTATCATCACTGGCCATCAGAGAAATGCAAATCAAAACCACAATGAGATACCATCTCACACCAGTTAGAATGGCGATCATTAAAAAGTCAGGAAACAACAGGTGCTGGAGAGGATGTGGAGAAATAGGAACACTTTTACACTGTTAGTGGGACTGTAAACTAGTTCAACCATTGTGGAAGTCAGTGTGGTGATTCCTCAAGGATCTAGAACTAGAAATACCATTTGACCCAGCCATCCCATTACTGGCCATATACCCAAAGGATTATAAATCATGCTTCTATAAAGACACATGCACATGTATGTTTATTGTGGCACTATTCACAATAGCAAAGACTTGGAACCAAGCCGAATGTCGAACAACGATAGACTGGATTAAGAAAATGTGGCACATATACACTATGGAATACTATGCAGCCATAAAAAATGATGAGTTCATGTCCCTTGTAGGGACATGGATGAAGCTGGAAACCATCATTCTCAGCAAACTATCGCAAGGACAAAAAACCAAACACCACACGTTCTCACTCATAGGTGGGAATTGAACAATGAGAACACATGGACACAGAAAGGGGAACATCACACACCGGGGCCTGTTGTGGGGTGGGGGGTTGGGGGAGGGATAGCATTAAGAGATATACCTAATGTTAAATGACAAGTTAATGGGTGCAGCACACCAACATGGCACATGTATACATATGTAACTAACCTGCACGTTGTGCACATGTACCCTAAAACTTAAACTATAATAAAAAAAAAAGAACTCACTGAAATCTATTCAGTAATGCTTACTGATGTTTTATTTTGCAAGGGTGGTTAATAAGAAGGCTTAGAATCCAAAGCACAAATAACATAGTCATAGAGGCATAACTGTAGACTACTCCCACCATTTCCTCTTCTCCAGGTTAATTCCCAGATTATGCAAAGCACTTTCACTCTGTCATTTGTTTCTCCTTTCTCCTTGGGATCAGAACCCAACCTACATTTTAAAATTTCACATGAGCGAGATCATACAGTATTTGTCTTTCTGTGCTTGGCTTATTTCACTGAACATATTTAGGTTCATTCTCGTTGCAGCAAATGGCAAGATTTCATTCTTTTCTTATGGCTGAGTGGTATTCCATTGTGTATATATACTACATTTCCTATATTCATTTGTTGACGAACACTTAGGTTGATTTCTTATCTTGACTATTCTGAATAAGTACTGTAGTTAACATGGGAGCTGAGCTCATGGAAGTAGAGAGTAGAATAGAGGTTACCTGAGTCTAGGGAGGGGAAGGAAGAGAGAGGATGGGGAGAGGTGGGATAATGGATACAATGTTATAGTTAGGAAAAATAAGTTCTGGTATTTTAACACAGAGTAGGCTGACTATAGTTAACAATAATGTATGATATATTTCTAAGAATTAGAAGAGAGAAATTTGAATGTTCTCACCACAAAGAACTGGCAAAGCTTTGAGGTGACAAAAATACTAATTACTTAATTTGATCATTATACGGTGTATTCATTTAACAAAACATCACACTGCACATTTAATTATTACATGTCAATGAAAAATAAAATGCTTATCTTTCTAAAGCATATGAAGGTACCTCTTCCTTTGCTTAAATATAAATCTCATTATTAATCCTGTAAACAATTTGAACTAAAATTCATATATTAATGTGTCCATTTTTAGGAATTTAGTACATATCTTTATTTCTTCTTCTTTATTGTCACTGACAAAAGAAAATTCTAAAAAGAATAGGGACAAGAACATGAAAATGAAGATTTACTGAATTTAAGATGATTAACCACAGAGGGACAAAGATTATAATCTCAAGTAATATGGCATGATAATTTAAATTCAGGCATTATATTGGAGATATTTTTCATTCACTTTACATACTCTTAGCTGTACACCAAAATACTGTACCTAGTTCATGAGGACAAGACTGTGGGAAATAATTGAAGTAATCAAAATATAGTAAGACCCTTTAAGGGAAAACTATGTGTTGTTTAGAGCACAGCCTGTATAGCTATCTGGTTGTATGTTTTGGGGGGAATTTTTGTTTCTATTTTCATCATCTTAGAGCTGTTTTATAACTTTCTAAGTAGTTAGAACGCTCATAAAATATCAAATAATTCTTTTTCATACAAATTCAAATTTTGCTTAGTGGAATATAAGTGACTATTGTTCTGTGGACATTGATAATTTGCATAAGTTTTGCATTCATTTGTAAATTTATTTTATTATTCTTTACCTGAGTATAAATGCATGTTATTCTGTGTTCTCTTTTGTAACACCTTATCAATCTTTATTAACTTAGTTAAATAAAAATCTTTGAAGTGTTTATTCAATTTTTTGTGTGTGTGATAAGGTCTCACTCTGTCATCCAGACTGGGGTACAGTGGCACAATCATGGCTCCTAGACATCCTCCGTTCAAGTGATGCTCCCACCCAGCACTCCGAGTAGCTGGGACAACAGAGGGGGCTATATGCCACCACACCTGGCTAATGTCTTTATATTTTTGTAGAGACAGGATCTTCCTATGTTGCCCAGATTGGTCTCAAACTCCTGGGCTCAAGCCCTCCCCCTGCCTTGGCCTTCCAAAGTGATGGGATCACAGGCGTGAGCCACCATGCCCAGTCTATTTGATATTTGTGTGTCGGGAAAGGTTATCATTCTTTTAAATATCTTTCAGTCCTTTAGAAACATGAATTGTGAGATGTGACATAGAATATTTGCTATAGATCATATACCAACAAATGGCTATCAAAGGTCAATATATATTTTGTCTATTTACTCAATCTGACTATTCTGTGGAGCACATGTTCTGTAGGAGAAATAATTATCTAAAAGAGTTTTATTTTAATTCAATAGTAGAATATCCAAAAATTGCCATCCAAGTTCTCAGAGCACATGACAATTTTGTGGGGTTTTTTTTTTTCCCTGCTGCTATGTGTTAAACTATCCTCTCCCTTTACTACAAAAGTTCTTTGAAAGCTTCCAAATTCTTAAGGCACAAATCCTAAAGAGAGTCATTGAACCTACTGAAACCATTCTGTACTCTCATCTTAGAAGTCTAGGTAGAAAGAAATGCAGTTTTTCTAAAACTACATTGATTGAACAATACATTGCATGATGGGGGCGAAAAACACTTTAATAACTGTAAATTACCATAGAAGTATTAAAGTGTATGTGAAAAATGTCTGCAAGCATACCTCAGAAAGTGAGATGTCTATTTCACTACGTCAGGATTTTTATTTTAATATGTTGCTGAAATTGCAGTGCTATAAAATATTTAATGAATAGCAAATGCAAAGGACTAAGTTTTGTCATTCAGTAAATATCATTTATCAATATCAAAAATTCTTTCAACAAAGTAAAAATAATTTAAATGTATAATCCTGGTATTTGTTGACAGAAAGATTAACTTAAATATGTAGAAATTGACTTCTACATTTTGTATATTCTAAATACACACACACACACACACACACACATATTGGATGCGAAAATCAACTTTTTTCCTGATGTTCTCAAAGAGTTTTTCTCTCTGATAACTATGCATTGATAAAGTTGTCACATGTAAACCTGTCAAGTACTCAATATTTCAGAAATATTTATGTCAGCTATATTAATATATACTATATAGTTTCTATTATGCATGAAAAATATATTTTTATAAAACTAATATAAAATTGGGAAAAAATTCAAATATATAAGTGTATTTGGCATCTGAAAATTTCTAGGCCTAAAATAGAAGCTAATGATACAAAATGAAATAACCACATATTTTACCTAAAGGAACCTAAGATCTAGTGGAAAGAAAAAAAATTGCACCTACATTGCAATACACAAAAATATAAGGTGTATGGGGAGATTGGGGGAAGATGAGGATAGGTTACAGGGCTAATGTGCGGCTTCCACATAGACAGATGACAGAACAGCATGTAGAGTCTCATACTGTGATCTTTTGCTCCAAGCACCATTGCAGGAACCTACCAGGAAAACTAAAAGAATTCACAGATCATTTGAAAGAAGCAACACACTACTGCAAATTCCATAAACCGGCAAAAAAACATGACCTCCCAAAGTGCGAGAGAGGGAAAAAACCTACCTTCAAACATACATCCCCACTGGGAAATCTGAAAATGTAGATCATGGGAGAAAGATTTAACATTACCTAGAAATGAACAGATTTAAGGAGTCAGATGAAATATAAAAGTAGAAGTAGCAGCAGGAAGTGCCTTGTAGGTACTGCCTCTCCCCAGCTCAAGCCTAGGGAAGCCAGCCATGACTATATCTCACAGGGGCCCTTGGTGAAGACAGCCAGCAGAATTGGGGAGGGGTCACAGGGCAAAGGAAGCTTACAAACGAAATTGGTAATGGTAGCTGAACACAAAACATAGAAATTCTTAGGAGTTTTGTGGTTCTACCCATCATCTGAGAAACAAAAAGGAGAAGACAACATCTAATTCCACTGCCTGCAACATCCTGGCTAATCAGAAGTCATGAATGTGTTCACATGACAGCCTCACTGCTAGCACAACCAGCATTCAAGCCAGCACACCAAACATATCTGCAACCAAGGACTCTCACAGAGTGTACTTCATTTTCCTGCCACCTATGCCACAGCAGGTGCTGGTATCCATGGCTGGGAGACCTAAAGACAGATCATATCACAGGACTCTTTGCAGACAACCCCCAGCACCAGCCCAGAGCCTGGTAGCCCCACTGGGTGGCTAGACCCAGAAAAGCAATAACAATCACTGTAGTCCAGCTCTCAGGAAACCCCACTTCTAGGGGAAGGGGGAGAACACCACATCAAAGAATGGCCCTCTGGGACAAGAAAATCTGAACAACAGGCCTTGAATTTTAGACCTCTCCACTGAAATAGTCTACCCAAATAAGAAGGAACCAGAAAATCAATTCTGGTAATATGACATAATAGGGTTCTATAATCTCCCCAAAAGATCACACCAGATCCTCAGCAATGGTTGCAGTTGAAAAAGAAATCTCTGAATTGCCAGATAAATTAAGAAGGTTTAATATTTCTCCCATTTTGTAAGTTGCCTGTTCACTCTGATGGTAGTTTCTTTTGCTGTGCAGAAGCTCTTTTGCTGTGCAGAAGCTCTTTAGTTTAATTAGATCCCATTTGTCAATTTTGTCTTTTGTTGCCATTGCTTTTGGTGTTTTAGACATGAAGTCCTTGCCCATGCCTATGTCCTGAATGGCAATGCCTAGGTTTTCTTCTAGGGTTTTTATGGTTTTAGGTCTAACGTTTAAGTCTTTAGTCCATCTTGAATTGATTTTTGTATAAGGTGTAAGGAAGGGATCCAGTTTCAGCTTTCTACATATGGCTAGCCAGTTTTCCCAGCACCATTTATTAAATAGGGAATCCTTTCCCCATTGCTTGTTTTTCTCAGGTTTGTCAAAGATCAGATAGTTGTACATATGCTGCGTTATTTCTGAGGGCTCTGTTCTGTTCCATTGATCTATATCTCTGTTTTGGCACCAGTACCATGCTGTTTTGGTTACTGTAGCCTTGTAGTATAGTTTGAAGTCAGGTAGTGTGATGCCTCCAGCTTTGTTCTTTTGGCTTAAGATTGACTTGGCGATGCGGGCTCTTTTTTGGTTCCATATGAACTTTAAAGTAGTTTTTTCCAATTCTGTGAAGAAAGTCATTGGTAGCTTGATGGGGATGGCATTGAATCTGTAAATTACCTTAGGCAGTATGGCCATTTTCACGATATTGATTCTTCCTACCCATGAGCATGGAATGTTCTTCCATTTGTTTGTATCCTCTTTTATTTCCTTGAGCAGTGGTTTGTAGTTCTCCTTGAAGAGGTCCTTCACATCCCTTGTAAGTTGGATTCCTAGGTATTTTATTCCCTTTGAAGCAATTGTGAATGGGAGTTCACTCATGACTTGGCTCTCTGTTTGTCTGTTGTTGGTGTATAAGAATGCTTGTGATTTTTGTACACTGATTTTGTATCCTGAGACTTTGCTGAAGTTGCTTATCAGTGTAAGGAGATTTTGGGCTGAAACGATGGGGTTTTCTAGATATACAATCATGTCATCTGCAAACAGGGACAATTTGACTTCCTCTTTTCCTAATTGAATACCTTTTATTTCCTTCTCCTGCCTAATTGCCCTGGCCAGAACTTCCAACACCATGTTGAATAGGAGTGGTGAGAGAGGGCATCCCTGTCTTGTGCCAGTTTTCAAAGGGAATGCTTCCAGTTTTTGCCCATTCATTATGATATTGGCTGTGGGTTTGTCATAGATAGCTCTTATTATTTTGAAATACGTCCCATCAATACCTAATTTATTGAGAGTTTTTAGCATGAAGGGTTGTTGAATTTTGTCAAAGGCTTTTTCTGCAACCTACTCATCTGACAAATGGCTAATATCCAGAATCTACAATGAACTCAAACAAATTTACAAGAAAAAAACAAACAACCCCATCAAAACGTGGGCAAAGGACATGAACAGACACTTCTCAAAAGAAGACATTTATGCAGCCAAAAAACACATGAAAAACGGCTCACCATCACTGGCCGTCAGAGAAATGTAAATCAAAACCACAATGAGATTCCATCTCACACCAGTTAGAAAGGCAATCATTAAAAAGTCAGGAAACAACAGGTGCTGGAGGGGATGTGGAGAAATAGGAACACTTTTACACTGTTGGTGGGACTGTAAACTAGTTCAACCATTGTGGAAGTCAGTGTGGTGATTCCTCAGGGATCTAGAACTGGAAATACAATTTGACCCAGCCATCCCATTACTGGGTATATACCCAAAGGACTATAAATCATGCTTCTATAAAGACACATGCACACGTATGTTTATTGTGGCATTATTCACAATAGCAAAGACTTGGATCCAACCCAAATGTCCAACAATGATAGACTGGATTAAGAAAATGTGGCACATATACACCATGGAATACTATGCAGCCATAAAAAATGATGAGCTCATGTCCTTTGTAGGGACATGGATGAAATTGGAAATCATCATTCTCAGTAAACTATTGCAAGAACAAAAAACCAAACACCGCATATTCTCACTCATAGGTGGGAATTGAACAATGAGATCACATGGACACAGGAAGGGGAATATCACACTCTGGGGACTGTTGTGGGGTGGGGGGAGGGGGGAGGGATAGCATTGGGAGATATACCTAATGCTAGATGACAAGTTAGTGGGTGCAGCGCACCAGCATGGCACATGTATACATATGTAACTAACCTGCACAATGTGCACATGTACCCTAAAACTTAAAGTATCATAAAAAAAAAAGAAGGTTTATTATTAAGCTACTCAAGGAGATACCAGAGAAAGGTAAAAACCAACTAAAAGAAATTAATAAACAATATAGAATGTGAATAAAAATGCTCAGATAAAAAGATATCATAAAGAAAAAAACAATCACAGTTTCTGGAAATGAAAGACGCACTTAGAGAAATACAAAATGCAGTGGAAAGAGTCAACAGTATACTAGAACAAGTAGAAGAAAGAACTTCAGAGCTCAAAGACAAGGCTTTCTAATTAACCCAATCATACAAAGACTAAAAAAAAAAAAAAAAAAAAAAGCCTCCAAGAAGTTTGCATTATATTAAACAACAAAACTGAAGCATAATTGGTGTTCCTAAGGAGGAGGAGAAATCTAAGAGTTTGGAAAACTTGAGGGAATAATTGAGGAAAACTTCTCTGCCCTTGCTAGTGGTCTAGACATCAAAATGCAAGAAGTTATAAAACACCTGGGAAATGCATTGCAAAAAGTTCATCACCTAGGCACATAGTCATCAGGCTATCTAAAGCCAAGATGAAGAAAAGACTCTTAAGAGCTATGAGACAAAAGTATCAAGATAGCCTCAAAGGAAAATCTATGAGATTAACAACAGATTTCTTTGCAGAAACATTATAAGCCAGAAGGAATTGGGATCCCATATTTAGCCTTGTGAAACAAAATAATTGTCAGCTAACAATTTTGTATCTAGCAAAACTAAGCTGCACAAATGAAGGAGAGATAAAGTCTTTTTCGGACAACAAATGCTGAGAGAATTTGCCACTGCTAAACCAGCACTACAAGAAGTACTTAAAGGAGTTTTAAACCTTGAAATACACCAAAGGCAAACTTGCTTAAAGCATAAATCTCACAGGACCTATAAAAAATAACACAATTGAAAAAAACAAAGAAGGTATTAAGGCAACAACTAACATAATAAACACAACAGTAATGCACATCTTAATACCAATGTTAAATGCTCCACTTAAAAGATACAGAATGTCTGAATGGATAAAAAAAATCCACCAACCAAGGATCTTCTGTCTTCAAGAAACTCACTTAACACATAAGGACTCGCATACACTTAAGATAAAGGGGTGGATAAAGATATTCCACACAAATGGAAACCAAAAGCAAGCAGGAGTAGGTATTCTTATATCAGAAAAAACAGACTTTAAAGCAACAACAGTAAGAAAAAAAGAGAAAAAGGAACATTTTATAATAATAAAAGTATTAGTACAGCAAGTAAATATCACAATCCTAAATATATATGTACCTAATGCTGGAGGTCCCAAATTTATAAAACAATTACTAATAGACCTAAAAATGAGATAGACAGCAATGCAATAATAGTGAGGGACTTCAATACTCCACCCACAGCATTAGACAATCATCAAAACAGAAAGTCAAGAAAGAAACAATGGACTTAAACTATATTCTAGAACAAATGTACTTAACAAACATTTACAGAAGATTCTACCCAACAACTGAGAATATATATTATTTACATTGGCACATGGAACATTCTCCAAAAGCGACCATATAATAGATCACAAAACAAGTCTCAATAAATTTAAGAAAATCAAGATTATATTAAGTATTCTCCAGACCACTGTAAGGAACCCTCAAAACTATACAAATGCATGGAAATTAAATATGTTCTTGCATGATCTTTGGGTTGACAATAAAACCAAGATGAAAGTTAAAAAGTTCTTTGAGCTGAATGATAATAGTGACACAACTTAAAACCTCTGGGATACAGCAAAAGTGATGGTAAGAGGAAAGTTTATAGCATTGAATGCCTACATTAAAAATTCTGGAAGAGCACAAATAGACAACGTAAGGTCATGCCTGAAGGAACTAGAGAACAAGAACAAACCAAACTCAAACCCAGCAGAAGAAAAGAAATGACAAAAATCAGAGAAGAACTAAATGAAATTGAAACAAACAAAAAACAATACAAAAGATAAATGTAACAAAAAACTGTTTTTTGGAAAAGATAAAATTGATAGACAATTAAAGAGATTAACCAAGAAAAAAAGAGAGATCCAAATAAGCTCAATTAGAAAAGAAACAGGAGATATTACAACAAATACCACAGTAATACAAAAGATCATTCAAGGCTATTATCAACACCTTTATGCATACAAACTAGAAATTCTGGAGGAGATGGATAAATTCCTGGAAATATACATCCTCCCAGATTAAATCAGGAAGAAATGGAAACTCTGAACAGACCAATAACAAGTAGCAAGTTTGAAACAGTAATTTTAAAAACTGCCAACAAAAAAGTCCAGTACCAGATAGATTCACAGCTGAATTTGAAAAAGAATTGGTACCAATCCTATTGAAACTATTCCAAAAGACAGAGAAAGAGGGAATCCTCCTTAAATCATTCTATGAACCAATATCAAGCAAATTCCAAAACCAGGAAAAAAAAATAACAAAAAAAGAAAACTACAGACCAGTATCTCTAATAAACATAGATGCAAAAATCTTCAATGAAATACTAGCTAACTGAATACAACAGCATATCAAGAATACAATACATCATGATAAATTGGTATTTATACCATGGATGCAGGAATGGTTTAACATACATAAGTCAAAAACTGTGATACACCACACAAACAGAATTAAAAACAAAAATCACATGATCATCTCAATAGATGCAGAGAAAGCACTTGACATAATCCAGCATCCCTTTATGATAAAAACCTTCAGTAAAATTGGGATAGAAGGGACGTACCTCAAGGTAACAAATGATAAACTATCTACGACAAACCCACAGCCAACATCATACTGAACTGGTAAAAGTTAAAAGCATTTCCCCTGAGAATTGGAACAAGACAAGGATGATGACTTTCACCATTTCTATTCAACATAATACTTTAAGTCCTAGCTAGAACAATCAGATGAGAAAGAAATAAAGGGCATTCAAATTGGTAAAGAAGAAGTCAAAACTGTCACTGTTTGCCTATGATATGATTATATACTTAGAAAACCCTAAAGACTCATCCAAAAAGCTCCTAGATCTGATAATGAATCCAATAAAATTTGAAGATATAGAATCAATGTACACAAATCAGTAACACTGCTATACACCAACAATGAAAGAGCTGAGAAACAAATCAATAACTCAATTCCTTTTACAACAGCAGCAAAAAATAATATATGATAAAATACTTAGGAATATACCTATTCGAGAAGGTGAAAGATCTCTACCAGAAAAACTATAAAACATTGCTGAAAGAAATTATAGATGAAAACAAACAAATGGAAACACATCCCATGCTCATGAATGAGTAGCATCAATTTTGTGAAAATGACCATACTGCCAAAAGCAATCTACAGATTCATTGCAATTCCCATCAAAGTACCACCATTATCAACCTTTGCAGAACTATAAAAATCAATTCTAAAATTCTATATACCAATAAAGACCCCTCAAACCAAAGCAAGGTTAACCAAAAAGAGCAAACCTGGAGGAATCACATTACCCAACATCAAACTGTAGTACAACGCTATCGTTACCAAAGCAGCATGGTACTGGTATAAAAATAGGCACTTAGACCAATAGAACAAAATACAGTACACAGAAATAAAGCCAAATACTTACAGCCAACTAATCTTCAACAAAGAAAACAAAAATCTGAAGTGGAAAAAGTGCATCTTATTCAATAAATGATGTTGGGATAATTGGCAAGCCACATGTAGAAGAATGAAACTAGATCCTCATCGCTTACCTTATACAAAAATCAACTCAAGGTGGATCAAAAACTTAAATCTAATGCCTGAAACCATAAAAATTCTAGAAGATACATCAGTAAAACTCTCCTAAATGTTGGTTTAGCTAAAGAGTTCATGACCAAGAACCCAAAAGCAAATGCAACAAAAACAAAAATAGATGGGACCTAATTAAACTAAAAAACTTCTGCACAGCAAAAGAAATTATCAGCAGAGTACACAGACAACCCACAGAATGAGAGAAAGTATTTTCGAACTATGCATCTAATATGGTTTGGCTGTGTGCCCACCCAAATCTCATTTTGAATTCCTATATGTTGCGGTAGGGACCCAGTGGGGGGTAATTGAATCATGTGGGCAAGTCTTTCCTGTTCTATTCTCATAACAGTGAATAAATCTCACGAGATCTGATTGTTTTAAAAGGGTGAATTTCCCTGCGCAAACTCTCTTTTCTTGTCTGCCACCATGTGAGATATGTCTTCCACCTTCTGCCATGATTGTACGGCCTTCCCAGCCACATGGAACTGTAAGTTTAATAAATTTCTTTCTTTCGTAAATTGCCCAGTGTCAGGTATGTCTTTATCAGCAGTGTGAAAATGAACTAATACAGTAAATTAGTACCAGTAGATTGGGGTGCTGCTGAAAAGATACCCAAAAATGTGGAAGTGACTTTGGAACTGGGTAACAGGCAGAAGTTGGAACAGTTTGGAAGGCTCAGAGGAAGACAGGAAAATGTGGGAAAGTTTGGAACTCCCTAGAGACTTGTTGAATGGCTTTAACAAAAATGCTGATAATTATCTGGACAATAAAATACAGGCTGAGGTGGTCTCAGATGGAAATGAAAAACTTGTTGGGAACTGAAGCAAAGGTGACTCTTGTGTTTTAGCAAAGAGACTAGTGACATTTTGCCCTTGCCCTAGAGATTTGTGGAACTTTGAACTTGAGTGAGATGATTTAGGTTACCTGGCAGAATAAATTTCTAAGCAGCAAAGTATTCAAAAGTTTATTTGGGTGCTGTTAAAGGCATTCAGTTTTATAAGGGAAGGAGATCATAAAAGTTCAGAAAGTTTGCAGCCTGACAATGTGATAGAAAACAAAATCCCATTTTCTGAGGAGAAATTCAAGCTGGCAGCAGAAATCTGCATAATTAATGAGGAGCTGAATGTTAATCTGCAAGACTATGGAAAAAATGTCTCCAGGGCATGTCAGAGGTCTTCACAGCAGACCCTCCCATCACAGGCCTGGAGGCCTAGGAGGAAAAAGTAGTTTTGTGGGCTGGGCTCAGGGTCCCCATGCTGTGTGCAGCCTAGGGACTCGGTGCCCTACATCCCAGCTGCTCCAGCCCTGGCTGAAAGGGGCCAACATAGAGCTTGGGCCATGGCTTTAAAGGGTGCAAGCCCCAACCCTTGGCAGCTTCCACATGGCATTAAGCCTGCGGATGCACAGAAGTCAAGAATTGAGGTTTGGGAACCTCGGCCTGGATTTCGGAAGATGTATGGAAATGCCTGGATGCTCAGCCAGAAGTTTTCTGCAGGGGCTAGGCTCTCATGAAGAACCTCTGCTAGGGTAGTGTGGAAGGGAAATATGGAGTCAGAGTGCCCATGCAGAGTCTCTGCTGGGGCACCACCTAGTGGAGCTGTGAGAAGAGGGCCACTGTGCTCCAAACCCCAGAATGGTAGATCCACCAACAGCTTGTACCGTGCACCTGGAAAAGCCACAGACATGCAATGCCAGCCTGTAAAAGCAGCCAGGAGGGAGGCTGTAATCTGCGAAGTCAAAGGGGCAGAGCTGCACAAGACCATAGGAACCCACCTCTTGCATCAGCATGATATGGATGTGAGACATGGAGTTAAAGGACATCATTTTGGAACTTTAAGGTTTAAAGACTGTCCTATGGGATTTTGAACTTGCATGGGGCCTCTAGTAGCCCCTTTGTTTTGGCCAGCTCCTCCAATTTGGAACAGGTGTATTTATCCAATGCCTGTACCCCCATTCTATCTAGGAAGTAACTAGATTTTGATTTCACAGACTTATAGGCAGAAGAGACTTGCTTGCTCAGATGATACTTTGGCATTGAACTTTTGAGTTAATGTTGGAATAAATTAAGTCGTTGGGGAACTGTTGGGAAGGCATGATTGTGTTTTGAAATGTGAGGACATGAAATCTGGGAGGTACCAGGGGTGAAACGATATGTTTTGGCTCTGTCTCCACCTAGATCTCATCTTGAATTCTAGTTCCCGTAATCCCCATGTGTTGTGGGAAGGACCTGGTGGGAGGTGGTTGAATCATGGTGACAGTTATTCCCATGCTCCTCTCATGGTGGTGAGTGGGTTCTCGTGAGATCTAATGGTTTTATAAGGGGCTTCTCCTCTTTGCTCAACACTTCTCCTTTCTGCTGCCATGTGAAGAAGGTGTTTGCTTTCCCTTCTGCTATGTAAGTTTCCTGAGGCCTCCCCAGCCATGCTGAACTGTGAGTCAATTAAACCTCTTTCCTTTATAAATGACCCAGTCTCAAGTATGTCTTTATTAGCAGCATGAGAATGGACTAATACACCCTGCTACCATTTTGTGCCTTTATAAGTCAATTTTCCACCCACAGCTCGTGATGTCCTATATTTGTTTGGGATTCGGTTACTCTTCTGCTCAAAAACATTCAATGTCTTATCTTGCCTTGTATACAATAAATCTTGAATTTTATGACAGGCTTCATAGTCCTTCCTAAGTTATCAGGCCACTAGTAAATTTTCTAACATCCTTTACTCCCACTCTTCCACTCTGACTTAACTGCATAACCAAATTTCTACTGTCAGAACAAAGGCATTTTCCACCTACAGCTTTTGTACTGGCTGTCCTTTCTGCCTGAAGTGCCTTTTTTCCAGATGTCTTTCTGGCCCCTGTGCTTCATTCAGACTCTGCTCAACATACTCCTAAGTCTTTCCCTGCCTATGTCTTCTAGAACAGCAGCCACTTGTATGCTCTTGATCCTCTTCATTTTTTTCTTTATATTACTTTTCACTACCTAAAATATTTAATTACATAAATGTATAGAAAAGAAGTTGTAGAAAGTAAGTACCATGAGGTCTGATATGTTAATTTTATTGCTCAAATCCAAGCATGTAGCAAAATGCTTGATGCATAATAGGTCCTGAATAAATATTTTGCAGAATGAATAAATGAATCAATTTGATCCATAATGTTATGATACAAATGTTTACTTTCTCATAGTTAAATATTAAAATATACATGCGTGTATATATACTTCATAAATCACAATTCAAACATAATTTCATTTGATTAAACCATATCTTAGTTTATGTTTTCTGTTTATAAGTGAATTTCATTTATTGAAAACAATATTCATAAATAAAGTAATCAATGTTTTTCTAGTTGATATTTCTTTGATCAAGCTATTACAGGATGTTCATCCATGTTGTGAATATTTGTATTGAGCAATGGATTGACACAGACATATCAGAGATCATTATAAATGGAATAAAATTTCCTTTGTAAATCTCCTCACTAAGTTTTTTTGGTTTTTAGAAGACTTGGGATGTATATTAACAGATAACATTTTGATAAAATATGATAAGTACCTCTAGTTTTGCCATATCCATTATGAAATCATTAATAATAATGAGCCTAAGCCTTGAGGTAATTCAGAGTGGCATTTGCTCAGACCTCACATCAATGATACTAAATGATGCACTTGAAAAACTTAAAGGTCTGAATTTCAAAGATGATTTTCACCTTATTCTCTCATGTCTTCTGTTTTATGTCATTGCTGTTATTCTTCCCCATACTCTGAAAAATTACCTCTTAGGTGAATTGCTTACCAGGCTTACCTTTGGTTTAATTGTGCACTATTAAAAAGCTTTTGCCTATGTTTAACATAATGTTCAGTTGTTCCATAGAAACCCGCTTATTATAGTTTCCTATTATCTGTTCTAAAAGTATTTTGTTGTAATAAGCTGTAAGCTTTAAATATCTGTACTTTTTCCATCCTATTTTTCTTCGAATACATCAATCACTTGACCTGTACTGTGTTTAATCGAGATTAAATGGGACACATCAAGTTCTTAAACTTAATATGTAATTAATGGTTGCAACAACTATTTCCCTAAGCGGAAATCATCACCTGCATTTGTAATCAGATAGAACATTTCCAAGGAAGTTTCATAAGCATAAAATTTTATAGAAGTGTTTCTATTGTGGTTTTACATAAAAAAATAGTGATGATAATAATTAAGATTTATGGAGGGCTTTCTGTGTTACACTGTACTCAGTACTTTATCCCCATTTTATAGATGGTAAAATCAACACTGAAAGTTATGTTTCCAGTCTCAGGCCAAATAACATGTTAGTAGATTACTCTTGATATAAACCCTTTTGGGAATTTTGGCAATATTATTCCAAAGCCTGAGGTCTTAACCACAAGTCACCACTCCAGAGCCTGCCGGGGAAAATTAACTAGCCATGAGATGATACCTTAAGGATATTTCAAGGAGAAAAGCAGGAGAGTGAGAGGAGTGTCTGAAAACAGGTACTTTCATTGATCATCACCAGATATCCAGTAACTGTTAGATATCTTTATCCATTGAATGAGTGTAAGCTTCTGGAGTTCATCACATATTGACAAGCACAAACCTATAGTTGGTGTTTAATAATGTTTATTAAATGTTAAATGCATGGATGTCTAGCATTTTAAGCACTTCAACCCTTTGGTTTCATCTTTTGTTTGTATGACTTGTCTCTAACCTGGGTCTACAGGCATTGATAAATAGAACTATTAAATATACCATAAACTTTCTCTCATGATTCACAATCTATACCACAAAATAGCACTAAAAGGAGTTTCTAAGACACAAATAAAGATAATATTTTAAACATTGACTAAAAATACTATCCCAACAGTGTCAGTATCACCTGGGAGTTTGTAAGAAATGCAACTACTAGGGCTCAATACAAGACTGACCAAATCATTGTCTCAAAGGATGAGGACTAGATATGTATATTTTAACTAAGCTCTTTGGGTGATCCTTAGAAAATCTAAAGTTTGAGAAATACTGCTCTAAACAAATTTTATTCTGATCCTATTTATTCATGCACATTTATTAATTAAATTGTGTCTATAATGTCAAGTTATGGCCCTAAAGCTTTAAAGTACTATAGAAGATAACTTTTTAAAAAATGGAAGTGTGAAAGCATTTTATTATCTAGCCCCTATCAATATCAAAATGAATGAAGGTACCAGTCAAATGTAAGAGGAACATACTCATTTTGCCTAGTTTCTTCATACTGCCGGTTAATAGCACCTTTATTATTTCTACATGAGCTTCATCATGTGGCTTAGCGTTTTTTCTTCTAGTAGTTATCCAGATGATTAAATTATGAATAGAAAAATTAATGTTTTCTCAGAGTTCTCCTATTGTCAATAGTTATTTATAATCATGCTTCCTTTGTTGATTTTAGCTGTTCCTGTTAATCATTTGGCATCATGATTTGGAAATTAGAAGGCAACATGGACAATTGTTACTAGTAATACAGCACAAATCATTCTTTAGTTTAGTAACACTGTGCTTCCAACTAAATTCTAGAAAATACAAAGGAAAATTCCTGCAATAATTGTATTTTGGGACTGAAGATTTCCCCAATGTATATCTATTTTTAAGAGATAAGTAATTTCACCCTGCCTCTCCATCTAGCTTATATTAGAAAAAAAAAAAAAACAAGTTTTAAGTGCATGTGTGTGTTTGCATATATCAACATCTGTTTTTTCATAAGCCTCAACACAAAAATAATACATAAAGCTTCATCAAATGCCAAAAAGGAAATGATGGTGAAGTAATCATAGAATTGATTTTTTGATATTAAAATAGTGAATTTGAAAGTAAATAATGGAATTTATTTAAAAATACTTTTCAGAGGAAGAAGGATAAATTTCAGCAAGTACCTGTTATGTAAAAATAAAGCATACACAGTCATCAATTTGCTCAAAGTTTATTACTAGAGTTCAATATTTACTATAAATTGCACTGTTATCCATATAGTGGTATGATCATACTCAACTGCAGCCTTGAACTCCTGCATTCAAGAGGTCCTCTTGCCTCAGCCTCCCAAGTAGCTGGAACTACAGGTATGTAGCACCATGCCCAGCTTTTTTTGTTGTTGTTTTTTAATTTTGGAGACTTGCTATGTTGCCCAGGCTGGTCTTGAACTCCCAGGCTCAAGCCATTCTTCCACTTTGGCCTCCCAAAGTGCTGGCATTAAAAGTGTAAGCCAATGCATCTGGCCCAGAATTTTTAAGGGATTTAGAAACCTCATTAACTACTTAATTAAAACATTCCTACTTCAAGTGTTTCTTCTATCTCTCTGTCCTATTTCATGCCTAAAGCTCCTACACAAGTGAAAATATTGTCATAATTGGAGAAATTGTGTTTCATTGATGACATATCAAATAAGTCAATTTGTAAACAAATATCTAAATTAAAATACCAATTGATGAAAGAAATAAAATCATAAATTTAAAAAAACAGAATTATTTATTAGCAAGGTGTTTCTGTGTCTATTAATATACTATTTTACTATCTATTGCAAAAGCTGTAAAAAAGCTAAATTCTATAATTCTGTCTTAAATGTATACATTATAATCCTGTTTTATTGCAAAATAAAAGCTTATGTGATGTTATCTAGATTTCCATAATGTCTTTAACATATTTAATATTGCTTACTATTGTATTTCAAAAAGAACTACTTTAAAATCAAATAAATAGACTTCATGTCATTTCTGTTGTGTTTTAGAGAGCATTTGGATAGCACCTACAGCTCATGTCTGCATGGATAACTAGAAATTAATGCAGTAAAGACACAAAAAATAATTAAAACTCCCTTAAAGATAATCATGCAGAATTGCATATGTATGAATGTGTATATATGTGTGTGTATATATATCTGAAACAAAAATATTATAAAATTGAATACCATATGAGAAGAATAAGCAGTAAGAACAATATCTCTGAGAAAGTCTTTATATTTAGAGTAGAATTGAAGGAGTAAATAGAAAGACATCAATTCAAATTAATGCTAATCATGGATCTTTTTGTTAAAATCTATATATTTGGTATCTATTGTCTGACTCTTTTTTGTTTTTGATGTGTATTTTCTTATGACTTTTTAATCTTTAAATTCTGTCTCATTGCCAATATTTTAATGCTTGATTTGCCACATTAGATAAGGAAGTGTGAGATGAAAAAATAGAGATTGGAAGCAAAAACTCTTGACCCTCACATTTCTTCCTGCTATTATTCCGTATGTCCCATTATCATCTAGTAATTACGAGACTCTCATCAGAGATTTATATTTCTTATGCTTTGTCTCCTGAAAAAAGTCTTAGGTAGAAACATGTAGCATCTGTAAAGCTTAATGCACAGAAAGTAAATAATATAAATGAAGAAGCTATCGACACGCTGTGCAGAAATTTTATATTTGTGAACCCATTTGCAAATTCCTTCAACTGCCACTATCAGCAGAAATTATATTAAAAATTTAAGCTATTAAATTGCCATATAGGTTAGTCAATATACTTAACATCAGTGACTTAAAAAGCTCTCCAATAATATACCACTAAAATTCTCAAAAGACTATTTTATTATCTAGTGCATTTTATCAGATAAATGCTTTAAGAATAATATTTGATAAATGCATTTATTATCAAGTAATAAAGCTGATTCTCAAAAACTCTACTTTTTAGCAAGAGGTTTTTAAATGCAAATTGATTTCTAAATCACATTGTACTCATAAAATGCAACAGCATACAAATTTAAATACTACACATGCCTACCTTTTAGAATTATGCTATAAAAATTAAATGGAAAGGCATTCCCAGTCTCAACTATGAGGTAATAACAATAGTAGAAGATGAACTAAAATATATACTGTAATGATAATATAAGAACATATTATGGGTCTTAATTTTGGTTGTGACAGTTTATAGCTTATTCAATTTGGTAAATAAGAGTTTCCTCATATATTTTATCATTCAAAAATAAAGAAAATAAATATATTCATCTTCTTTTTTCCAGAAAGCTGATTAGTACTACATGTTGTCAAAGAAGAAAATGTATAAAAATGAAATCAACAAAATTCGAGAGTTGGGATGTGCCCAGAATTAAGTGAGACTCTAAGAATGGTAAATAAGGACAATTAAATATCTGCTACAGCATAATTATTAACTGTTCTTTTGCAAGGACATTCATCAGTCAACTTATATATAAATTGATTGTATTATTATCGTACTTGGAATAGTTATAAGATATTGAAACCTAAATACCAATACAATTTGGTACACAGTATATAAAAATAATTGATATCAAATATATTATTGTAGGGTAACATAAAAAACTCAACACAGATGTACAATTCCCATGCATATTGGAAAATAAGTCATAGATTCGTTTGCCATATTGCAAAAATCTGCACTATTACCTAAATTTAAAAATCAGGACAAGTAAATTGCTACATTAACCTTTTGGAATTACGATTTAATTATTCTCCACACACCAGTTGACATTTATGCAAGCTTTTCTTCCGAATTAATAAGTCGTTTCATTTAATTACTCAAATGGTGTTCAAAGTTCCAATTTTTACAAGCATACTAACATCAGTTTATTTTGGAAAACATTGATATGTTTAATATTCTTCTTATAAAAGACCTACATATAATTTGCCAAAAATCTTTAACAGAGCTAGAGATAAATGAATTATGACATTTTGTAACTTGTCCAGGACATAAGATACATAATACAGTCATGAGTTACCTATGCATAAAAATTATGCTCTCCAGTCTTAAAACTCATGCTATTTTAATTAAATATTTGAGTAAAATTATTTGTTAAGGACCGCTTGTAGTATTACAGTCATATATCACATGCCAAAAAGGAGCCTGTTGGAACAGTTTGAATTTTGCCACTCTTTTAGACTTAGATATTATAGTAATTAGTAAAAAATGTGTGGCATACCAAGTCCATTTCAACTTGACTATAGTGCCAGTAAGTCTTGGTCTTCAGAAATACTTCCTGCTTGATTATAGACTGCCATTTATATTTTCATTGGTCATGAATCGCACACATACATACATGCACACACAAAGGTATGGGAATAAAATGCACAGTGTTCCTCAAACCATCTTGCTGCTTCCGGTTTCCTCAGTTGAGGTATCCACATAAATTGCAGTGAAAGGAATGTTTGATGTAGACTTAGACTCACCCAAATTTGAATCCTAGTCTGGTAACTACTTACTGGGGGATCTTGGGCAAATCATTATCATTCCCAAGATTCAATATCTGCATTGTAAGACAAATATTAGAATATCCCCTTCATACAGTCATTGTAAATTTGAGCTTCATTCGCCTGAAATTTCTTTGTCCTTTGATAACTTCTATAGAATGCCCAAGGGTTTATTGTGATTTCTATAAATTGGAGTGGAGGGGAAGGTGGCTTTTTTTTTAACCTCAGCCTCAAAATTCCTGGAATCCCACCTCACATGAGTTACTCTCTAGTCTTCATCTTGCCAGATGTTAAATTCAATCTATTTTTTCTTCATTATCCATAAATGTCATTTGACACATATCTTCAATAAATTTAAAGATAAACTTACTATGGTACTTTGTAACTTAATCTTGGTCACCTTATAAAAACATTTGTGCATGTAAGAAACTTAACAAAAAGATGGAAGAATAGAATCCTTAGTACTAAAAGTTCTTGAGCACTCAAATATCTCACTAATTTAGTCCATAAACGTTGTGCTTTTTTATTATAAATCAGCCTGTTTCAGTCCCCTCTCTCCTATTTTGTATTTCATCTGACTCAGCACTTTTTATTTTCTAAGCAGAAGAGCTATTTTTGTTTGTTTATACTTGTATTTTATTTGTATGTATGTATGTAGGTAGGTAGGTATTTGATGCCTTCTAAACTATAATCTCAAATACCAGCAGGTAATTCCTGGACTAAACAAAGGCAGTTTTTTTGTTTTTTTTCTGTTTTTTTTTTTGTTTTTCATTTTTTGTTTTTTTGTAAATAAACTAACCTTTGGTGCCAGATGTTAAAAATAATTTTTGCAATGTCCATACTGATCTCAAAATATATAATTAAGATTCTAAATTATAACATTTAACATGTACTCATTGTTGAAAGCAAGTTTTCCTCTTTCTCTTTATAAATAACCCAGAAAATATGTTAGGCAAAAAAAATGGATATCCTATGGCAAAAGTCATTTATAAACCACACCTCTTTTTACCAGTGAATATTCAAAGACTACAAACCATTTGTACTCTGTGAGCCAAAGTTGCATGTAACATGAACATAACAGGCTCTATAAAATTACTTCAAAAATGCATGAAGTTCATTCTCTAAGACCAATGAAAATAAAAATGTCTTGAACGGCAGAGTGTAAAATGGCTTCCAAATTTTCCCCATCACCTAGTATTCATGCTATTGTGTGATTCCCTCCCCTTAAGTATGGGTGGGACCTATAACTTGCTTCTAACTAATAGAATATGGCAAAAGACAAAGGTGATGGAATGTCAGATCCATGATTATGTCACTTAAAATCATTACTTGTGTTTTACTAGAAGACTCTCTCTGTTGATACTCACCCTTCCTGGAATTAATGAAATAAGCTGTACAATTGGAAGGTCCAAATAGTGAGCAGCTGATTGTGGCTTCCAGCAAGCAAGAGGCTGAGGATCTCAGAATGATAGTCTTCAATAAAATGAATCCTGCCAACAGCCAAGTGAACTTAGAAGTAAACCCTCCCTTAGCTGAACTTCAGATGAGACCACAGCCCTAGCCAACAACTTCTTGATTGCAGATATGTGAGACCTGGATGCAAAAAACAATTTGGCCATGCCCAGATTTATGACCCACTGAAATACATAGTAAAATTGTGCTGTCTTCAGCTGTGAAATTTGTGGTGGTATTGTTGCATGGCAAAAATGAGATCCACAATATTTCAGTAATATAAATAAAAATAAATATTTTTCAAATATTTTATTGTCAAAATTTTCAAACATATAAAAAGTCAAAGCAATTGAATAGTGAACACAAATAGAAATACCAATCTAGCAAGGCAGGCCAACATTCAGATTCAGGAAATACAGAGAATGCCACAAAGATACTCTTCGAGAAGAGCAACTCCAAGACACATAATTGTCAGATTCACCAAAGTTGAAATGAAGGAAAAAATGTTAAGGGCAGCCAGAGAGAAGGGCCAGTTTACCCACAAAGGGAAGCCCATCAGACTAACAGCGGATCTCTCGGCAGAAACTCTACAAGCCAGAAGAGAGTGGGGGCCAATATTCAACATTTTTAAAGAAAAGAATTTTCAACCCAGAATTTCATATCCAGCCAAACTAAGCTTCATAAGTGAAGGAGAAATAAAATACTTTACAGACAAGCAAATGCTGAGAGATTTTGTCACCACCAGGCCTGCCCTAAAAGAGCTCCTGAAGGAAGTGCTAAACATGGAAAGGAACAACCGGTACCAGCCGCTGTAAAATCATGCCAAAATGTAAAGACCATCAAGACTAGGAAGAAACTGCATCAACTAATGAGCAAAATAACCAGCTAACATAATGACAGGATCAAATTCACACATAAAAATATTAACTTTAAATGTAAATGGACTAAATTATCCAATTAAAAGACACAGACTGGCAAACTGGATAAAGAGTCAAGACCCATCAGTGTGCTGTATTCAGGAAACCCATCTCACATGCAGAGACACAAATAGACTCAAAATAAAAGGATGGAGGAAGATCTACCAAGCAAACGGAAAACAAAAAAAGGCACAGGTTGCAATCCTAGTCCCTGATAAAACAGATTTTAAACCAACAAAGACCAAAAGAGACAAACAAGGCCATTACATAATGGTAAAAGGATCAATTCAACAAGAAGAGCTAACGATCCTAAATATATATGCACCCAATACAGGAGCACCCAGATTCATAAAGCAAGTCCTGAGTGACCTACAAAGAGACTTAGACTCCTACACATTAATAATGGGAGACTTTAACACCCCACTGTCAACATTAGACAGATCAGCGAGACAGAAAATTAACAAGGATACCCAGGAATTGAACTCAGCTGTGCACCAAGCGGACCTAATAGACATCTACAGAACTCTCCACCCCAAATCAACAGAATAAACATTTTTTTCAGCACCACACCACACCTATTCCAAAATTGACCACATAGTTGGAAGTAAAGCTCTCCTCAGCAAATGTAAAAGAACAGAAATTATAACAAACTGTCTCTCAGACCACAGTGCAATCAAACTAGAACTCAGGATTAAGAAACTCACTCAAAACCGCTCAAGTACATGGAAACTGAACAACCTGCTCCTAAATGACTACTGGGTACATAACGAAATGAAGGCAGAAATAAAGATGTTCTTTGAAACCAATGAGAACAAAGACACAACATACCAGAATCTCTGGGACACATTCAAAGCAGTGTGTAGAGGGAAATTTATAGCACTAAATGCCCACAGGAGAAAGCAGGAAAGATCCAAAATTTACACCCTAACATTACAATTAAAAGAACTAGAAAAGCAAGAGAAAACTCATTCAAAAGCTAGCAGAAGGCAAGAAATAACTAAAATCAGAGCAGAACTGAAGGAAATAGCCACACAAAAAACCCTTCAAAAAATTAATGAATCCAGGAGCTGGTTTGTTGAAAGGATCAACAAAACTGACAGATTGCTAGCAAGACTAATAAAGAAAAAAAGAGAGAAGAATCAAATAGATGCAATAAAAAATGATAAAGGGGATATCACCACCGATCCCACAGAAATACAAACTACAATCAGAGATTACTACAAACACCTCTATGCAAATAAACGAGAAAATCTAGAAGAAATGGATAAATTCCTCGACACATACACTCTCCCAAGACTAAACCAGGAAGAAGTTGAATCTCTGAATAGACCAATAACAGGAGCTGAAATTGTGGCAATAATCAATAGCTTACCAACCAAAAAGAGTCCAGGACCAGATGGATTCACAGCCGAATTCTACCAGAGGTACAAGGAGGAACTGGTACCATTCCTTCTGAAACTATTCCAATCAATAGAAAAAGAGGGAATCCTCCCTAACTCATTTTATGAGGCCAGCATCATCCTGATACTAAAGCTGGGCAGAGACACAATGAAAAAAGAGAATTTTGGACCAATATCCTTGATGAACATTGATGCAAAAATCCTCAATAAAATACTGGCAAACCGAATCCAGCAGCACATCAAAAAGCTTATCCACAATGATCAAGTGGGCTTCATCCCTGGGATGCAAGGCTGGTTCAATATACGCAAATCAATAAATGTAATCCAGCATATAAACAGAACCAAAGACAAAAACCACATGATTATCTCAATAGATGCAGAAAAGGCCTTTGACAAAATTCAACAGCCCTTCATGCCAAAAACTCTCAATAAATTAGGTATTGATGGGACATATCTCAAAATAATAAGAGCTATCTATGACAAACACACAGCCAATATCATACTGAATGGGCAAAAACTGGAAGCATTCCCTTTGAAAACTGGCACAAGACAGGGATGCCCTCTCTCACCACTCCTATTCAACATGGTGTTGGAAGTTCTGGCCAGGGCAATTAGGCAGGAGAAGGAAATAAAGGGTATTCAATTAGGAAAAGAGGAAGTCAAATTGTCCCTGTTTGCAGATGACATGATTGTATATCTAGAAAACCCCATTGTCTCAGCCCAAAATCTCCTTAAGCTGATAAGGAACTTCAGCAAAGTCTCACAATACAAAATCACTGTACAAAAATCACAAGCATTCTTATACACCAATAACAGACAAACAGAGAATCAAATCATGAGTGAACTCCCATTCACAATTGCTTCAAAGGGAATAAAATACCTAGGAATCCAACTTACAAGGGATGTGAAGGACCTCTTCAAGGAGAACTACAAACCACTGCTCAAGGAAATAAAAGAGGATACAAACAAATGGAAGAACATTCCATGCTCATGGGTAGGAAGAATCAATATCGTGAAAATGGCCATACTGCCTAAGGTAATTTACAGATTCAATGCCATCCCCATCAAGCTACCAATGACTTTCTTCACAGAATTGGAAAAAACTACTTTAAAGTTCATATGGAACCAAAAAAGAGCCCACATCGCCAAGTCAATCCTAAGCCAAAAGAACAAAGCTGGAGGCATCACACTACCTGACTTCAAATTATACTACAAGGCTATAGTAACCAAAACAGCATGGTACTTGTACCAAAACAGAGATATAGATCAATGGAACAGAACAGAGCCCTCAGAAATAACGGTGCATATCTACAACTATCTGATCTTTGACAAACCTGAGAAAAACAAGCAATGGGGAAAGGATTCCCTATTTAATAAATGGTGCTGGGAAAACAGGCTAGCCATCTGTAGAAAGCTGAAACTGGATCCCTTCCTTGCACCTTACACAAAAATCAATTCAAGATGGATTAAAGACTTAAACGTTAGACCTAAAACCATAAAAACCCTAGAAGAAAACCTAGGCATTGCCATTCAGGACATAGGCATGGGCAAGGACTTCATGTCTAAAACACCAAAAGCAATGGCAACAAAAGACAAAATTGACAAATGGGATCTAATTAAACTAAAGAGCTTCTGCACAGCAAAAGAAACTACCATCAGAGTGAACAGGCAACCCACAAAATGAGAGAAAATTTTCACAACCTACTCATCTGACAAAGGGCTAATATCCAGAATCTACAATGAACTCAAACAAATTTACAAGAAAAAAACAAACAACCCCATCAAAAAGTGGGCAAAGGACATGAACAGTCACTTCTCAAAAGAAGACATTTATGCAGCCAAAAAACACATGAAAAAATGCTCACCATCACTGGCCATCAGAGAAATGCAAATCAAAACCACAATGAGATATCATCTCACACCAGTTAGAATGGCAATCATTAAAAAGTCAGGAAACAACAGGTGCTGGAGAGGATGTGGAGAAATAGGAACACTTTTACACTGTTGGTGGGACTGTAAACTAGTTCAACCATTGTGGAAGTCAGTGTGGTGATTCCTCAGGGATCTAGAACTAGAAATACCATTTGACTCAGCCATCCCTTTACTGGGTATATACCCAAAGGACTATAAATCATGCTGCTATAAAGACACATGCACACGTATGTTTATTGCGGCACTATTCACAATAGCAAAGACTTGGAACCAACCCAAATGTCCAACAGTCATAGACTGGATTAAGAAAATGTGGCACATATACACCATGGAATACTATGCAGCCATAAAAAATGATGAGTTTGTGTCCTTTGTAGGGACATGGATGAAATTGGAAATCATCATTCTCAGTAAACTATCGCAAGAACAAAAAAGCAAACACCGCATATTCTCACTCATAGGTGGGAATTGAACAATGAGAACACATGAACACAGGAAGGGGAACATCAACTTGTGGGGTTGGGGGTGGTGGTGAGGGATAGCATTGGGAGATATACCTAATGCTAGATGACGAGTTAGTGGGTGCAGTGCACCAGCATGGCACATGTATACATATGTAACTAACCTGCACATTGTGCACATGTACCCTAAAATTTAAAGTCTAATAATAATAATAAAGAAACTGCAGTTATCAAAATAAAAAAAGAAATAACAAGTAATGTTCTAATCTGCATCTGTGACTTAAATTATACAAAATAACATTATACTCTAAAAAGTAAAAAAAATTAAGCGAGTCAATTGAAATATATACTTATCATTTTTGAATAATACAATATTTTCTAACACATCTCAAATTACTCAGTTTGATTGTTTAATTTGCATGAAGAATTTTTCCTTAAAGCATAGTATTCCAAACCTAATATACATAATATATTAATAAAATTTTGAAAATAAAAATAAAAATATTAATATTTGTAAATGTTTAGTTTTACCCATACGTTATCAGAAAGAAAATGAGAATAAATTATTGTCTTTGGAAAAAAATTATAACTGTTTTTCTTTTTATATTTTTGAGACAGAGTCTCACTCTATTGCCCAGGCTGGAACGCAGTGGTGCAATCTCAGCTCACTGCAACCTCCGCCTCCCAGGTTCAAGCAATTCTCGTGCCTCAGCCTTCTGAGTAGCTGGGATTATGGGTGCACACCACCATGCCTGGCTAATTTTTATATTAATAGTAGAGAATGTGTTTCACCACTTCAGCCAGGCTGGTCTCAAACTCCTGACCTGAAGTGATCTACCAACCTTGGCCTCCCAAAGTGCTGGGATTACAGGTGTGAGCCATCATGCCCGACCAAAACTGTTTTTCTTGAAAAAAAATTAAATCATACAACATGGATTTTATTGTGTATTTGAAAGACAGAATCTAATGGAATTTGACAATTGATTGGGTTGAAAGTTGTTTTTATGAGTAATTAATTCTGATTATATATTAGATATCTGTTGTCATAGATTCATAAGAATATAATGTAACAACAATCATCACATCCTCATCTCTTTTTCTGTATAATAGGTTTATTTCTTTAGAAATCATTCTCTTGGGGAAGAGAGTAGCAAGATAGAGAGATGCACTGGTTATACTTTTTATAGTGCTTGTTTTAAATCTAATAAATTATGATTACAATTTTAATCAAATTTCTTACTTTTTGCATATTTACCTCCATATGTCATTTACCTTGATTTTGATAAAATCCATCCATTTTCTAGACACCTATACTAGATTACATTGTAAAATTAGGTGCTTACTAGAAAATATATACCACAAAACCTGGGGACAAAGTTCAAATATATGGTTGAAGGTGTACTTTAATCATATTAATAGATTCTGAAAATGTCTGTTTGACTATATGGCTAAAAATTGTAAATAATTATTTACATAATGGGTTTAAACAAGTAGAACACAAATATAAGAAAAATTGCAAGCAGTACTATCAATAACTCTAAAAGGGAAACACCATCAGATATTTGTTGAACAAACAAAACTGAAGCATGCCTACAAATGCCTGAGTTAAAATTCCAGAGAACTGAATGAAACTTTGCCCAAAGCTGCACTGTCTATGGAAGTTCTAAGATAAATAGCCCAACGTTAGAGAACCAGGGGAAGAACGGAGCTGAGTTGAGGCCTCTGCAACATTACTAAAATCTCAGTGAATTCTATCATTAGGGGGGCGTCTGGGCTCCCTAATTTTCACTTTCCTGCAATATACCAGCTGTAGAGACTTGGACAGTAGATACAGTGAGGATAAAGAATGATGTTGAAACACTGAAGCTTGTCTGTTTAACTAAGCATGACTGTAATCATGCCTCCATGGGCCAGATGCCTCTTCATTTGTATCAGGACTGTGCATATGCCCCTGGGTACTTCATTTACCTCACCTGGGCAGAATAAGACAGAAGAAGAGAGAGGAAAAATAGTCTTAACTTGATTAGGTTTGAATATTAAATTTGAGTTCATTTTACAAAAAGAAAACAATTTTAACCAAAAGTGACAAAGATAATGTAGAGTCATAATCATCAAGTGGATTTTTTTTATCTTCATGAGAACTCATGGTTTCAAAGCTAAGTTGGGGTCTCTTAAAAAATAAATTGTATTTCTACATTTCTAAATTTTGCTATCCATTGTCATCTACATACATTTATGTATCTCTCTACGTGGATATATTTATTTGTCTGCATGAAACAAGTTAACTCAATAGTCTCAACTATTTGAGGCATAGATAAAGATTTTTATTTTGCCCCCGTATCTTTGAACAGTGATTTGCCATTTCCTCATATCACACACTGTAGTATTATTTGTGGCATATTTCATTAATTCCTAATGAGCCTTGGTAGTTAAACTTGGTCAAATCATTTTAAACCTCTAATCTCACATCAATTCTAAAGATGCAGAAATTATTTTACCCTCATAAGGCCCTAGTTGCTCTAGTGTTTTGGAGCAGAGAGAAGAAAGAGAGAAAAGCTTCATGAAATAAAGTCACTATCCTATCTTTAGGACCTGTTGATGCTTCTATGACAAAACACTAATTAGCCTTTGATGCCTTCTGGCTCTGAAACTCTTGAAGATATATCTATTCCTCCCTGGCCTAAAAGGTTTACTCTTTGGTGTTTGCACAAAAGAAATGAAACACACACACACACACACACACACACACACATCGCATTAGACAAGAACTTTCAAAAGATGTACACGTAACAGTTAAACACAGAAAACAACAAAAATGCACAATGACAGGTAACTGGTTAAGCCACTTGTCTATTTATACAGTAATTTAATATCAACTCCTTCATAGCGGGTTCTTCAGAAGGCGCTGGTGGAGCTCCCTTCAGCACTTTCTTGATGTAAAGAAGCCTTTCCCAACAAATGCTACACTTTCAAAAGCAAAGGAATAACCTTTCTGATCATTCTCTTCTCCTATAGCCCCGTATATGGGAAGAATAACGAGGGTGATGTTCGGTAGAGTAGAACTAGTTCTACCTCCAAGAAAGCCCTTAGACAGAGTGCCTGGTTCCTATTTTTTGGTGGCCCCATGGCACTTCTTTTTAGGTTGTGTGTCACTTTACCTAACATTCTCAGTTTTGAGCCTCGTACAATGAGGACAAAATTCTCTTGAGAATTTCTTTACACACACTTACACATGCAACAAAAAGAAAGTGACGCAGTGGTTTTTGACCAAGGGTGGCTTTGCTATCACAGGGTATTTGGCAATGTTTAGGGATGTTTTTGATTTTCATCACTCAAGTGGAGGGTGCTTTTGGCATCTATTAGTAGAGACAAAGAGATGTGGCTGTACATCTCACCATGTATAGTTCACCCCCCGGAGCAAAGAATTATCTGGTCTAAAATGTCAAAAGTGCTGAGGCTGAGAAACTCCGAGTTACAAGAAATCTCTAAATTCAGACTTTTATAGAAAATCATAAATTCCGAAAGGTTTAAAATATCACACTCAGAAATACAGCACCTTGTAAGGTCGAACTTCTGTGAAATAAACATGTCACGCAGTCAAGCTGTGGTTATTTACAGTGACTGTAGGCATTGTCTTCTCAACCTTCACACATCAAGTCATTCCAATAAGCCCATACAGTTTTTGTGAGAAGTAATTACAACTAAAAATGATAGCAAAACCATACTCTCAAAGGACAGTGTTGTACAGTAACCTAATGATGCAGATAGAATATCATTTAGCGCATTTTAAAAGAATTATGAAGAACACTGCCAATGACATTAAGTTATGTCCTTTAACATATAACACAACATTTTCAATATAAAAGAAATATAGTACCTTTAAATGATGCAAAGAGAAGTCTGCTTATTTCCAAAATTAATTTGAACCCAGGAAAGGAGTGCACTTATTTGTACCATAATATACATAAATCAATTTCAAAGATATTTTAGTTACGTATTTTGACCAGCAATAAATTGTACATTTTGAAGAGAATATACTCTTAATACATTCACCTCTGTCTGTACCCATGAGACAAATACTATTCAGTAAATGTTGGCTTATTAAGAAGGATCTACATACAGGATTTTTATACTGACAAATTCAGTAAATGCCACTCGAAATATAAGCCCAATCACTTATTTGACAAATATTTATTGAGCTTACCATTAAACAGGCACTATACTAAGTATTGAAGCCAAAGCAATGAGAAGGAATATAACGTCCTTGACCATATGGATATAACATTCTACTGTCTACATTAAATGATTTTTATATAGCCTTATTAAATGCTGGGGCAAAATGAGCTACTACCGTCAACTTAATTCATATCAAAATTACATTATATAGTATTTCTGTATATTTATTGCTAAATTTAAAGGATCACTAAGAAAAACAAGTTTTCAAATGTACATGTTTCATATTCTAAATGTGACTATTTTATTTTTTCGTTCATTAACTTGAAAATTAAAGCTATATGTATATATATAAAACAAATATATATATATATATATAAAATAAAACTGTTTCATTGTTTCACTGATAATCTTCCATACTCAAAAAAAAGGTACATTGAACATGAATTTGGAAAGCAATAGATACTAAATGAATGAAAGCATGGAGATTTCTATATTAAGGTCACTGTTTGATTTCCAACCCACATGTGAATTGAATAGATGTTGTTACCATCTGTTTACTATTTGTTGGCCAATCTTCAGTGAATTTGTGGTCTCAGACCAGCTCACCTTTCACTAAATCAGGTCATGTTAAAAAAAAGTGACTGTCATGAAATTGGAACTAATTGAAACCCATGTGGTCTAAGTAGCAGGTTGAAAGATTGTTGGGCCATCTTGTTAAATCAGCAGGGCAGTTTACACATTACTTTTAAGGTATCGTTCCATAGGAATGTCATAGAATTTCTGCTTAACATCTTTTTAGAAAATAAAAAATGTTTCTTCTGAGAAGAAAAACTTGCATGGCAAAAAGATATACAAATATATTCAAAAGCTTTATAATATAGGTAGTGAGGTGCCTGAAGCACCTTAAAATGGTGCAGTTTATCCCAGCATATGAAGTTATTGTGTATTTCAATATATAATGCACAATTCAAGTTACTGAGGTCATGATGACCAATCCAGAATCTCTTTCATCCAAGACTTTGTAAACTGGTAGTGGGAATAGATGATCAAATACAGAAAAACTATGATACAAAGCTAAATACAAACATAACTGAGAAGACATAATATTATGTAACATCTCCTTTAGTCATTTGCTCAATAAGCATTTTGGAATATAGCCTATTTATGTCAACCCTCATTACCAATGCATTCATAATAATTTTTTTTAGAAAATATTTTTTAGAAATAACAAAATTATATGTTGTGTGTGTGTCTGTGTAAATTGTAAGAAGTAATTACAACTAGAAGTGATAGTTAAATTATGTCTTAAAAATGACTATTTTGTATATACTCATGCATGTGTGTATATATGTATGAAACAAATCAGTGAAATAACACTGTATATATTTCTCCTCATTCTCTAAGCATTATTACATGTTCTCAATCAATGAAGCAGTGTAGAATATTTCACAAGATAAAACTGACCAGGGAATATTTGGAATGGATGCTGCCATGCGTCACCCAGCTCTCGCCTTAGGACTGAAGGATGTCCGGGAGTGTTGCTGGCAAAAAGTCCTCAGTTATCGTCTCTCTTAAAAATAGTCAGGTCACATCCAATGGCTGCTGTGACATGGGGATATAAATTCCTGGGATACCCACCCCAACTTGGGACAACTCTGAAAGGCCCTCTCTGCTTCAAAGCTCCCTGTGGAGATGGCTGAAGCCTCCATCAAGACCACATCACATAAGACTTTTTCCTTTGCTCTTTCCCCCATCTGCTTCCTCCCCTCCACCCCATGTTGATCCCAGAAACTAGAAACTCTATAATAAACTGCCTGCAAAGTAATTCCCATCTCTTTCTGGGGTCTGCTTTCTAGGGAAGCTGCTATAGTGTTAGTGACTTATACCACCAAAAATCTTCACTACTTAGTGCTCTATTACACTCTTCTGCATTGGGTAAGTTCACTGTTTTTGTTATGGGCTCTTATAAGCCGTGTATTTTCACATTTTTGGAAAATTGTTTAGATCCATAATAGCTGATAAAAGTTGTTCAACTTGTCATCATACAGCCACAGAAGAAAAAATAGTATTACAGTGGATGCAAAAATAAAGTTTAGTGTCTAGGATCCTTCAATAAAATCTTTGGGTAAGTAGTGACTTAAAACAGAATGAAAACAAAGAACAGAGAAAAGAAAAGACAAGAAAAGAAAAAAAGGAGAGAGAGAGAGAGAAAGGAAGGAAGATAAAAAGAGAAAAAAGAGAGTGGAAGGAAGGAAAGAAGGAAGGAAAGAAGGAAGGAAGGAAAAAAAAGGCAACTAGGAATTTATGGGAAGCCTTTGACATTATAAAGACCATCACAAACATCAGTGCAGGTAGAAAGGAAGGACCAATATTGCCATTACTTACATTAAGGGCTTTGGGCATTTTGAAGAGAATAGAAGAGAGAGTTCAAAGTGCAACAATGGTGCAGGATCACAAGAGGACTGTTAGTTGAACCTCAAATTGCACTGACTCAGTTAATGCTTCCACATTTCTAGGATTGGATTGCCTGTCTTAAAGATAATTTCTTTGTGTTTAACGACAACCAAAAAAGCAGCTTGAAATTTGGGACATCGTAATCAATACGCAAGGCAGTTGCCTTCATAAAATTTAATGAGTCCCAAAGAAAGCAGTGATCTCATTTCAATACTAACACTTAAGTATTAACTTTTCTTAGAAAGTTAATTCATCTTAAATATGTGCATTCATACTCACATAGTTTCAATGGGGGTAAAAATAATTAAATATATTAAAACTCTTGGTATAACACAATCTACTCAATTTAAGAAGCTCTCTTCACTAATGATGGAAGTACATGATGCCAAGTTACTGAAAATGTGTTCTTCCAAAAGCATCATCTGGATTCTTGACAAGAGTATTGACAGCTGGAAACTTAGTTCTTAAATTTAACAGTACTCTTGGGCCTCTAATCTGGTTAGTACATCAAAAGCTATGTTAACTAACAAAAAGACTCAGTATGCTTTGGTTATGTAACATTATTTTTTATTTTACTTTTAGAAAACAATGTTAACTTTCAAATGCAATGCATGAAATTTTCCAGCACTGATCATATCCTATTTTAATATTTTTAACTTCTAGTGCTTTTATATATAAATCTTAATATATTTAGTATCATTAATTCAATAAACTTTATTTTTCAACTCTCCTAAACCTGTAAGATCAGACAGAGACAATTTAACTTTTACTTGGCATTATAAGACCCATACTTAAGACAGTGCCTGAAACTAAGTATTCTATAAACATTATTAAATAAGGCAATCCACTGTTGGTACAGGCCTTTAAAAAAATCATTTAACAACCGGAATTTAGAGGCTGTTCCTCAAGATTAGAAGTTCCATTTATTTTTTTCAATGATCTTGCAGTTTATCAAGCTCTTAGAGATCTGTTTGAAATAACTAACCTCAAAAGAGAATTACTGTTTGTACAAATTATCATGGCAACTAATTATATTTCACTTGATGTTGTATATTTCCATTAAACTAAATGTACATATCTACCCTATCACTGTTTAAAAAAGAAGCTAAATTACTAATAAAATGTTTAGGCAGTATTGACATAGTTTACCCAGGACAGACAAAAGGATAATTAACTTCCTTTGACTCCTAAAGCAAGGTGTACCTCTCTAGTGGCCATTATTGTGATCTCTTGACATTTAGCAAGGCAAGGCTGGAAATAGCTTTAATCCTAGCTCCTGGATTTCTTTTAAAAACCTCGCAACCTATCTATCTCTTCTTTTTAGATATGTTAAGACAATTAATTAAGATTAATTGGGATTAATGCCTTGCTAAAAAGTATTTTTGAGCTGTCATAAAGGTTCAGGGTTATAAAGAACTAACTTATTATATAACTCATTTTTATTAATTTCATTCTTAAGTGCTAAAACTTAGTTTACAATTTTGAGATATTTTTTAATTTTCCAGGGTACTTTGAATATAGTCTTGGCCCTGTAGAGGCTTATTTAAAACCACAAGCTTTTTACAAATACATGGATTCTCATTTAGAAAGAGCAGTTTATACTTTTGTTCCTTTTTAAGCTAAAAACACGTTCTAGTTAGGCTTCTTGCCATTTTTGGACTTATTCTAATATTTCTATTAGATCATTAGTTTCCTGTGGGTAGGTACATTGTCTCATTACATTACCCTCTGTAGTACTAAGCAGTATTTCTTACTATCTAACAGTATCAACAAAATGTCGAATGGAATTCACTATTTCACCCAAAACATCTGTTGCTTTGATGCATAGAAGAAAAGGGTCTATGATCTTTTCTAAATTGCATTTATCTAATCCAAACAAAACAAACAATTTAGTCAGTTGCACGTATATTCTGATTCTATATATAAAGTACATTGTTAATAAACAATTTAAATCACTTTGGCATATTGTGCCATCTAATACTTAGGAAATACATATGTGACAAAGCCCTACTGACACCATCACAAGCTATAGACTGCATTTTGATGCTATTGCCTGGGATGAATGTTCCATAGTACATATATTTTAATCATTCAATAATTTAGATCAATTTATTTATTATGTAAATAAAGTTTATTCTCATATTTAAATAAATCCTTGAATACAGATTCTGAAAGATCAAAAGAAAATTAAGATCTAACTTTGTAAGTGGGATTGTAAGTTTCAGAATTTCTTTTCTGATCACAGGTACACAAGTCAAAAGAAACCAATTTCTATTTTCTTGCAGAGGATAATTGAAATTCATTACTTGCTGAAAAGAACAAGCCGCAGCTCAATGAGACCTCTCCATAACAGGCAACCAAATAAAAATCAGTGGGTACAATTAAGATCATTGAAATTTCAAGAGAACTGTGTGTATCTTTAAACAAACAAATCAATAAATGGTGCTTATTTTGTGAACTTGAGTCGGTTCTAACTGAGTTGAAATGATCTAAAGTACCAGTTGCCTAACTGTATGTTTTAAACCATTTTATTTCTCTAGTTCAAACTGAGCTACGGATCTATATAAAACTTTGCAATATTTTCATAACAAAAGCTCAGTATTATGACATATTAACTAGTGAACTTTCAAGAATATCAGTCAAGTTTACATGAAAGCTTATACTAGAAGCCCCACAAAAACAGAAGCTACTCTATGACCATTGTAATAACAAAGCCTCAAGTATGCTTGCACTTTAAAGATTTTACTCTGCAACAACAACCAATTTGTCTATAAATGACTTACATTCTCGAAATACCGATACTACAGTAAGCCTCTAACATCTAGTACAATAATAGGCTACACTAGGCCTTTGAAAGCACAGCATAAATTAAGCTGAGAGTGCTTCTGACTTTTACCAATGTTTGGTTTTATTGTTAATAATTACATTTGGCATTTAATCACATGTTTTGTTAGATGTGCCTGTTACAGGGGATATTTATATATTCAAATACCATTTTAAACATTAAAAATCATGTATGTGACAAAAAAGATTCAGGTATAAAGTGTTCTTTTCAAAAACTTCCATTTTGAAATTAAAGAATAAGACATCTGTTTAGCAACATTATAAGGCAGATATATTTATAAATGAGGAAGAGTTAACCTTTTGTAACTTTAGATAAAAGTCTCTTCTTAACTTCATATTGATTTTCTATAGAGTAAAAGAAAATAGAAGTTTAAAGAAAGAAGCCTATTAAGTGGCTTCCAGTAATATTGAAATTGAAACAACTTTAAAATCCTTTATAAAGACATTTGGATTAAAGTCTTGAAATGGTTAGACTGTTAACAACATCAGTAAAATAACATATAAATATAAAGTCAAAGAAGAAAATGTCTATTATTAAGTATTTATAAATTCAAATATATAAATTAATCTGGAATAATTACTTAAATTATACATTCCTTATTGTAAAATATATCTTATCTGTGTAATGTACTAGTATCCTTAAAATTTATATTTTAAAAACTTTGATCATATAAACAACAGAGAGAAGCATATAATAAATAATCATATACTTGTAATCTAGTATAGATTGTACAGATTAACAATTTGTCTTATTTATTCATCTTTTTTCTATAATAATTTAAAATATGTTACAGATAACATGATATTTCAGTGTGCAATTCAAAAAAGAATATTACCTACAATATAATTTTCAAAACCAAAAAAGTTACAAATAGTCCTTTAATGTTATATATAATCCATACTTAAATTTCCTCAATTTTCCTAAAATGTCCTTTACAGATGGTTTGTTTTAGCTGGGATCTAATCAAGGACCATGAATTCAATTTATTGTAATTTTACTTACATCAATTTTAATTTATAACAATTGTCTCCTTTTCCCTACCTCAAATACTGCAAAGACCAAGCAAGTTGTCATTTAGAGTATTCCAATTTCTGGATTTGTTAGACTGTTTCCTCATGCTGTCAGTTAGCAAGTTCTCCTCTTTAGTTCTACATATAGTATTTAGAAGTAGAAGACTAATCAAATTCAGAGGAAGCATTTATGAAAAGTCCAGTTTATAGGGTGTAGTGAAACCAGAAAATGATTACTTAGAGGAGGAGGAATAGCGAATTGGGGGCTGTGATGGAAGATTCTGTGGTGCCGATAATAGGAGTTTTTTTTTTGACGCCCCCCACAACACTCAGATGTTAATACATAGAAGTATTCACTTTGTGAACATTAATCAAAATGGGAGCTTTTAATTTTAAAAAATGTATTTCTAAAATATCTTTTTTTAGAAAAAAAAAGAATACCATATAGTGTTGTGCTTTTATTGCATCATATCATGATATGCATAATGCCTGATTATCTCAATGGCATTACTAAGAATTATCAGACTACATTCAACAATCATTTATTGTACATTTAAAAATACCTAAAACATGTTCCTTGTTTTTAACATGAAGGGAGGTTGAATTTTATGAAAAGCTTTTTCTGCATCTACTGAGAAAATCATGTGGTTTTTGTTTTCAGTTCTATTTATATAATGAATCAAATTTATTATTTGTTTCATGTGTTTCTTGGCTCTTTGTAGGTCTTGTTTTGAGAAGTGTCTGTTCATGTCTTTTGCCCACTTTTTAATGAGATTATTTGCTTTTTTTTTTTCTTGTTGGGTTGCTTGAGTTTCTTGTAGATTTTGAATATAAGTCCTTTGTCAGATGCATAGTTTGCAAATATTTTCTGCCATTCTGTAGATTGTTTACTCTGTTGATTATTTCTTTTTCTGTGAGGAAGCGCTTTAGTTTTGTTAAGTCCCATTGATCTATTTTTGTTACATTTGCTTTTGAGGTCTTAGTCATAAATTATTTGCCTAGGCCAATATGCTAAGTTTTTTCCCTAGAAAAATCTTCTAGATTTTTTATAGTTTAAAGTGTTACATTTCAGGATTATAATTTTAAAAATTTAATATACTTCTAAAAATATATTTTAGTAATTAGAAATCTGATCTTCTTTTGATTCTTGTATCTTAACAGTTGTTATTCTTCCTGGACTCATTTAGAATTTTAACTTTATCTTTGGAGCTCAGAAATTTCACTGATTCCAATGAGCATCTTTTTTTTTTTTTTTTTTTTTTTTTGAGACTGAATCTCACTGTCACCCAGGTTGGAGTGCAGTGGCATGATCTCAGCTCACTGCAACCTCCGCCTCCCAGGTTCAAGTGATTCTCCTGCCTCAGCCTCCCGAGTAGCTGGGATTACAGGCGCCTGCCACCACGCCTCACTAATTTTTTGCATTTTTAGTAGAGACAAGGTTTCACCGTGTTAGCCAGGGTGGTTTCGATCTCCTGACCTGGTGGTCCACCCACCTCTGCCTACCAAAGTGCTAGGATTACAGGCATGAGCCACCACACCCAGCCAAGCATGTTTTTCATATTGCTATTATTATTTTTATTCAGTATTTGACTAGTCTTTTCAATCTAAATACTCATGTATTTAATTATTTTCTTTCTTCATTTTTTTTATTTTTACTCATTGAAATTCCTATCTAGCTTATGTTCTGCTTTCTGAATTTATCCTCCAGCTTTTAAGATTTTTGCGATTTTTTTCTGATACTTCAGAGTTCTTAAAAACGGTGATCTGGCCGGGTGTGGTGGCTCACGCCTGTAATCCCAACACTTTGGGAGGCCGCGGCGGGCAGATCACAAGGTCAGGAGATCAAGACCATCCCGGCTAACATGGTGAAACCTGGTCTCTACTAAAAATACAAAAACCAGCCAGGCATGACGGCAGGCACCTGTAGTCCCAGCTACTCAGGAGGCTGAGGCAGGAGAATCGCTTGAGCCAGGGATTCAGAGATTGCAGTGAGCCGAGATCTCGCCACTGCACTCCAGCCTGGAGACAGAGCAAGACTCTGTCTTAAAAGAAAAAAAAAAGTGTGACCTGGGAATTTTATCAAGTTTATCTTTCAGTTACCTACTTTGTTTTTGAGTTATTATTTAACACTTTCACCAACATTTAAAAATTCACATTCATTTATTCAAAAATATTCATATTTGAATACATAAGGGCTGTATTGGGTGTAATTATACAGAATTTATAAAGCAGATTTGTATCCATGCCCTCATGGAGCTTACAGGAATATAAATAAAATACTTCATGCTGTGACAATTGTGATGCCCATTCTGATTGCTCGTCTGAGAACAAGGAGCTTTACTATGATGCAGATGTGCAGCTGCACAGTGATGAAACTATTATGTATTAAAAATACCAAGTACCTGTGTCAAGGTGAAAAATGCTCACAAAACAATAGGCATTAGCGTGCATGTGCTTGCTAATTGATAAAACTCGGCTGTGTCTTATATGTGGCACATTTTTCTGAGATACTCAGCAAAGTTGTAATTAATTACTGATAAGGAAAATAAGAAAAACATAGCTAGAATCCCCAGTTCTATTCTACCTGCTTGTATCCTTTCCTTTCAAATAAACCACATTTCTCAGTGATCTTTGGAAGTGTGATAATATCATACAATATTAACTTTACAGATAGGGAAAACAGTATGAGTAGAATAAAAAAGGAAATGAACTGAAACAGAGAAGTCAAGGATGAAGATAATGTGTGTAATAGGGAGCGGTAGAAAAAGTAATTAAAAAGGGGAGGGAGTTCTAGAATTTCACTTATGTTGATATTATTACCTGCTTCCCCCACCTGCATGCCTTCAACTGCAGGAGTAAGGAGATACTTCAAAGTTTAAGTACAACTGCTATGATTGTTTTTTTTTTTCTTGACTTCTATTCCCCATTGGCATAAGGGATAAAGAGGATCTAGGATTCCAAATGCTATACACTATAATGAAGCACACTACAGTAGAAAGACTCGGTTTACAATAAATTATAGATCATGATTGTTGTCACTTAAGCCAACTTTTGTGATGCTTTCAATGGTTCTCACCTGCTCATAATCATGCCTTTGTGTAATCTTCCCTTTACTCCCTTTTCCCTCTTTCTGCCATCAATACACACAGCCTCTTCAATGCAATCTGCTTTAAGGACCTGAGGACTGTTTGCATGGCATCCTAAATTAATTCCTGATTATATCAGTCTTCATCAAAAATATAAATCTCACAAGTCACCCTCATCCATTATCAGATATTTGATTCCAAAACCCTTTCATTGTGCACTTTGGAACTTATATTTTTAGAAAAATCTAGATCTTCAATTGTTTCTGTGAATTTTCACTTCTTTATGAGACCTAATTCTTCCCTGAGGATAAGGCTCCCATTGCAGCCCTCTTAATCAGTGGCTATTTCCTTTTTTACATACCTTGTTGTATTGGGCCTGGAAGTACTGCAAGTGCACTTAATTTACATTGTTTCCACCACTATTCTCTTTAAAAACCCTAGGTTTGAAGCTCAGGCCATTAGATTATGTCACTCACTATACTTCCTTGTTGCAGTCATCTACAGATATCTGGTTCATTTCTCTTATTCCATCTACATTGTGGATCCTGATTTAGTCTATTATTCTGTCATAATTCCTGATACATTTGCAATAATTATATAGTTAATTTTCCCAATATTCTTCCTCCCAATACTTTGACCTCATGGTATTTCAACCAATTACACTCATTGTGATACTACAGCATTTGCTGTAATGCTGTAATAATATGCTGTAATGCTGTAATGTAGTAATAATAACTGATCCCCTCCCCACCCCTGGAAACTCAATTTCATGCTTTCCACTTTTTATCTCCCAACTTGCCAGCTTACATTCTCATTCTTGACCATTCTGATTCGACATTTCTTCTACCTTACATTTGCCTCTTTCTTTAACCTCTTGGCGTCATAATTAATTACCTCACAGTTTTTCTCTCCTCAAACTTTCACATCTTTTTATTTTTTTAACTAACTTCTTCCCATCAATCCACAAATCTGTTTAATTTCCCCTCATGAAAAAACACTCATGTTTACCTTACATCACCCTTCACCCTGTACCCTATCTATGTTTCACTGTTTAGTTTTTGGTGACAACACTGCTCAATAGTTGCCTACACCTTTTCTTTCCACCCACACAAGTCCACCGATTATATATTCGGGATCACCAATAACTTAGCTTTATTCTCAGCCCTCATCTAATTTGACCTATGAGCAGCAGCATTTAACCTAGACTATCCTTTGAACCTCCTCGATCACTTTTGTTCTCTAAGATAACATTCATTCGGTTTTCCTCCTGCTTGCTGGCCACTCCCTTTAAGGCCCCATTGTGGCCCCCCTTGTCTGACTGAGCCTAAATATTAGAGTGGCCAGGGGCAGTCCATGGACTTCATCCCTATTCTGGTTACTCCTAGTTTCTTGTTGGACTCACAAGTTCATTGGTTTTAAAATCATCTATAAATCCATAATTCCTATATTTTTATTTCCCGTCTCTAGTCTACTCAAAACACACCAACCTCAGTGGTTCTTTTAAAAGTAAGTCATATCATGTCACTTTTTTCTCAAAATTTGTAAATGATTTCCCACCATTTCATCCAAGGCCAATAGGCCTAATAATACCCTGTAATATCCTGTTGGATCTGGCCTGCCCATTACTTCTCTGACAACATCACTGACAAGTGCCTTTGTATTCACTCTGCTGCAGAACCATGGCCTTTTCTTGTTTCTTATTTACCAAGCAGGTTGTCGCTTCAGGATCGCTGCACTTGTTGTTCCCTTTGCCTGGAATGGCCTTTCCTCAGATGTTTCAAGATTTATTCTTCACCTCCTCAAATCTTCTGCTGAGAACTTAACCTCTCAATGAAGCTTTTTCTAAATACTATTTACAAAAAAAGAATCCCAACATACAACACTGTACTAATCCCTATCGATTTTTATACTGCTTTTTCTCCAGAGTAAATTTCACCCTTTATATGTATATGTATATTTTTGTTTTGTACATTTTTTTGCTCCACCCACTAAAATATTAATTCCCTGAGGTTGAGGGCCTTATTTATTTACATATATATCAGCAGTGCTTACATAAATATCTGGCACATAGTATGTGCATGAAAAATATTCCCTGAAATTAATTCATGAATAAAGGAAAATTGAATAAAACCATACAAATTTCCACTTTTGAGAGAAAGCAATTTTGACTTTATTTAGTAGCCAATTGGGAAATCTCATAGATTTTTCAAAATATTGACATATTAGAGCACTGCTTTAGAAAAGATTAATCAAGATGGAATGAGAGGTGGAGGGGCTGGAGAAATAGGAAGCAGGCGGAAAATTTTGCAATAGTGCTAAGTATAAATAAATAGATTGTTAATATAGTAATATATACAGGCAGAAAGGTGCTTAGATACTATTTTAAAATTGTTACTGAGACTTTGGGGGACTATGCTAATATATGGGTCTTAATGGATTTTTTTAAATTGTGTTCTATTTTTGAGGTCAAAATTCAGAGCAAATGCTTCCTGAAATTTTTGTGGAGATTATTATCTTTCTAAATCCCATATGGTTCAGGAGTTTCAAAGCATTTGATAAAAGTATCTACGGATTAGCTTCTTAACAGATCTGCCAACATAGCACAAAATCTCTGATTTCTACCAGCCTGTGCCCTGCTCAAACTAGCTCTAGCTGACCCTTTTTCTTCCTTTCACCTTTATGACCTCCATTTTAATTAGGTTTTCAGCCCTGACAACAGACATCTGGTTCTCAGTCTACCCATTAATCTGAGGACTGCACTCTTTAAACCGAAGAAGTCTAAAGCTCGTCAAAGGGCAACATTTAGATGAGCCAACAGAAAATCTTTTAGTAAATAAGGACTAGAGGGATCTTATTTAAAAAGATAATAGAGCTATCAATTTTCTCAATCATTAATGTACTTTTCCACAAAAATCCAAATACAAGATACATTATACTGATAAACCAAATGTATCTTTTAATATATTCTGTTTTTATTCTTTTATTGAATTTTTTTATTGAACTCTATGTGCCTCTAGGTTCTGAATATTTAACATTTGGGATATAAAACTTATGCTCTTACTGGATGTCTAATAAATTTGAGTAAAACTGAAATTAAAAGAATGCTTATTTTATCTTATAATATTAGCCATAAATAATATTTAAAAGCTTCATTCCCTTTGTTCCCATATCCAGTCAAGTTATCCCTAAGGCAGAATTTTTCAGAAAGACAGTGGACAAAAATAAAGAAACAAATAGCAATGGGCATTTGTTTTCTATCATGACTTGGGCCTTAAGAAAATATATATAATGCTGTTTCACTGAAAAATTTGTAACACAATAAAATTTCTCTAATAGCCCAATTTGCCCATTCTACAGCCACTTTTTTATTCAGGCTATGATCTTTACTCTATTGGAAAAATGCCATAGTCCATTGCTACCCTATAGCTTTCCTGTGTAGTAAAACCTTCAATGTATGTTAAACTAAAAATTCTAAAATACGATCATATGATTATATCATTTTCTAGCTTAAAAATCTCTCAGTGGCTCTCTGATATGGTTCTAAGAATATGAAAACTCTTTTGTGAAGTACCTGAGTTTCATTCCCAGCCATGTCAGTAAATGCATGGTGAAACCTCTTTGAAAATTTCAAAACGGACCATATACTGTTTTACACTAACCCACATACTGTTCTCTCTTACTGGAATGCTCATCTTTTTCTAACTTAATTCTTACCGTCTTTAAAACAAAGTTTAATGATCAGCTCATTAAGAAAGCTTTCCCTGACCCTTAAGACTAGTGTAGGTTTGTTCCACTGTGCTTTGTCAGGTTCCGGGGAAGACCTCCCTCACATCACCTTTCTTATTCTACTCTGTTAAAAATGTTGGCTACTGTTTCTTTCCCTCAAGTGTGGCTGTTACTTTGTTTCCAGATCCTAGCACAATAACTGACCTATAGTAACCACTGAATGTGTTTTTTGAGCAATTAAGGGCAGTGTGTTTGTTGATTGAATAAATAAATTAAAATTATTGATGGCCGGGAGCGGTGGCTCACGCCTGTAATCCCAGCATTTTCGGAGGCCGAGGCGGGCGGATCACGAGGTCAGGAGATCGAGACCATCCTGGCTAACACAGCGAAACCCCGTCTCTACTAAAAATACAAAAAATTAGCTGGGCGTGGTGAAGGGCGCCTGTAATCCCAGCTACTCAGGAGGCTTTGGCAGGAGAATGGCATGAACCTGGGAGGCGGAGCTTGCAGTGAGCCGGGATCGCGCCACTCCACTCCAGCCTGGGCAACAGAGCGAGACTCAGTCTCAAAAAAAAAAAAAAAAAAAAAAAAAAGATTGATGAAAAGTTGTGACAAAAATACAATTAACTTGATAATATTAGGATGCTTTAAAAATAGTGTCTGGCACATTTTTTTAATTGTTTTTCCATGAATAAATACTTAATACATTTTTGTTAGATGTATTCCTAGATATTTTGCATTTTGATATGTATATTTTTCGCTTTAAAAGTATTATTTTATTTATATTTATGTCTAATAAAAATGGCTGTATTACCATGTTTACATACATATTGGTTTTGGAGACAGTTTGCTAATGAATCACGCTTAAATTTTATAGGGAACTTGAAAATATTAAAGCATTGGTTATAGATAGTGGAATGACCTATAATTTGCTGTAATTTGCATTTTAGAGAAAGAGCAGCACCCTTTGAAAGTAATCAAATTAATTAATAATACTCATCCATACTGCAAAATAATACAATCAGCCTCTGTACCTGAGTGTTCCATATCTGCAGATTCAACCAACCACAAATCAAAAATATTTTGTAAAACCCCAACACAACAATAAAAATAACAAATCCAAAGAACAACACAGCATAACAACTACTTATATAACATTTACATTGTATTAGGTATTGTAAGTAATCTAGAGATGATCTAAAGTAAACAGGAGATTGCACAAAGATTACACGCAAACACTACGCCATTTTTTACAAGAGACATGAGCATCTGTGGATTTTGGTGTCTGTAGGGGTTTTGGAACCAATTCCGTGAGGATACTGAAGGATGATTGTATGTATATGTATATACACACAGAAGTTAGCAATTGTATTGATTTTATTGCTAAGCCATTTGTCTGTCTGACATTCAATACAAAGAGATAAAATATAATCTGACAAATCTTAAGTACTCAATAAATCTTAGTTCATGCATTTGTTCATTGAGTCAATAAATTAGGTATCTATTATGTGTGAAGCGCTGTTGTAAGTGCTGAGAATAGAGTTGCGAGTAATAGCACAGACAACAATTTCTCAAAAAAATCTTAAATTTTAATGAGGATACCAAAAAAAGCAAAAGAAATAAGCAAACAATAAGTAGTTTGTTCTATGATGACAAATGCAAAGGATCAAGATGAAGCAGACAGTGGGTTATGGAATTGCTCCCTGAAACGAGTACCAGTTTTGAAAATAATTTTCAAAATTGGTTATAGATAGTGGAATGAGCTATACATATGGTTGACATATAGTAACCACTGAATGTGTTTGTTGAATAATTAAGGGCAGTGTGTTTGTTGACTGAAGACATAAATAATTATTGATAAAAAGTTAAATGACAAAAATTAATTTGATAATATGATGCTTTAAAAATAATGTTTTGATTATTTTTAAAATATGGTCAGTGGAGAAGACATTTGAGCAAAACTGAGTTGAGCAACATTTGAGTTGAAGGTATCCCTTCAGATACCTGGAAGGAACAATTCATCTAGAATAAATAGTAATGGCAAGGCCGTGAATATGGGACACTGTGCACAAAAGCAGAATAATGCAGCATTGTGGAATGAAGTGAGCATGGTGGTTGTTGCAGGAGGTAAATTCAGAGAGAAGAGTGAGGGAGGAGGAGACCCAATCATGTAGGAACTTTTGGACCATTGTAAGATTTTTGGCTCTTACTTTTAAAAAGATAGGGAACATTGAAGCAGAGAAGCAACACGACTTTTATTTTATAAGACTCACTCTGCTTACTTGAGTGGAAATATTATTGCTAGCACTTGTGTCAATAGGAATATTTACTGTATTAGGGAAGCTATTATCTTATTACAAAGGATAACGTCAGTTGTTTTTATCTTTTCATGGAAAGGTTTCTTTGGAATTTTCCACACTTTATTGGCTGCGCTTTCTGACTTTCCTTTGCTGCTCATGTTTTTCTCAACCTCCACATAGTGGGATGGGCCAGGGCTTACATTTTATTCCCTCTTCTGGTCCTCTTCTTGCCTCTATCTACACCAGTAATTCTCAACTAGGGGGGTGATTTTTTCCACCAGGAGATATTTCAAAATGTCTGGAAATGTTTTGATTGTCACACTGGAGGGGAAAAGGTGCTACTGGAATTTGCTGGGTAGAGGTGAGGGATGTGCTGAACATCCTACAATTCAGATGGCCCCTCATGACAGTGTTATCTGGCTCAAAATGTCAGTAATGCTGAGATCGAGAAACCCTGGTTTTACACATATTTCATTGACGTTTATATCCTGACCCACAAACTTAAATCCCATCAATACCCTAGTGATTTCCTCATTTCTGTCCTCAACTGCAACTTTCCCCTGTGTCCTAGGCACATATAATTTATTGCCAAATAAGCAAGCCTAACAGACATCCCAAGCTTACCACATCTAAAACATGATTTCAGATAATTTTCCTCAGATAAACTGATTCTAGTCTAGCTTCCTCATCTCAGTAAATGGCACCATCATCTGTCCAACTGCTTAAACCTTAAACCTAGGAGTCTTCCCTGACTTATTTCCCGTTATACTCCACATCCAAAACATTGGTAAGTAAGTCCTATAGGTTCTCCCTTTAAAATATATTCTGAATCTGCTCAATTCTTACTACCACCACCACCACCTCAAACCTAATCTAAGTGCCTTCATGTCCTAGGACTAAGGCAAAAACTTCCTAATTGTAATTTGACTTCTATTCTTCTCCCACAATAGTCAATACCTTCCCCACCTGCCCCCGACACCCCACAGTAACCAGGGAGATGCTTTCAAAGTATAAACCAGGTCATGTCCTTCACCTGCTCAAGCCCCCCTGTGGCTCCCCATCTCTCTCAGCACAGACCAATGCTTTACCACCATCTATAAGGCCTTACCTGTTCTGACCCCTCCTCATCTAGGACCTAATCTGACATATTATGTCTGGCTCACTGCCACCTAGCCACAACTTGTTTTCCTGTTATTTCCTCATAATACCAAACTCAGAGCATCTTCAGGACACTTTTACTTGCTGCTTTCTCAGACAGGAGGCCTCTTTCCTCAGACTGTCTAAACATGTCACTCTCACTTTATCCAAGTCTCTCCTCAAATGTCAGGCTAAGTGTTCTCTGAGTCCCTTTTCTAAAATAGAAATCTCCCACCTCTACACCATATGACTTTTTATTTCCTTACCGTGACTCATTTCTCCCCTTAGAATCTATGACTTTCTCAAATCTTATTATATATTTTCTGTTTGTTTCCAAAATCCTCAATTAGAATATTGGCTTCGAGAAGCCAGGGATCATCTCTCTTGAAAATATTCTAAAAACCTACAACAATCAGATTTTAGCAAATTATGGTACTTTATGAATATTTGTCAAAGGAATAAATTAATAAATATGCATTGCCTCTAATAATTCTGGCTTGTAAAAACAAGCATTCTATGGATGTCTTAATTAAATTGTTACTTCTTTTTAATCATCCATAATTTGTATCTAGTGTTTTTGTCTGACTAAATATAAATCATAGTAATTTCTTTATAGTTTTAATCACTTGTAAAAGATCAAATTGAAAATTATAATTTATTCAAGATAAGTCATCTTTCATCTCTCTCTCATGAGACAGGTAGGAGATAAGTTCCATAGAGGATATTAGATACTGTTCTATGACCTTAAATCAGAAACTATATTTTACTACATTTTAACAATAATATTAAATAAGATTAAATTAAAATATAATTATTCTTTAACATAAAAAATGCAAAAATAATTTAATAAGGAAATCAAACGTTTTAAAGATAGACTATAACATTTTAATCTTATATAATCCTCACAGGAATAGTTTCTTTTCCACTAGATACTTAGAATACCACCACTAAGAGCAACAGCAGCTGAAAATTAATTGCAGGCAAGATGAATAGGAATAGTGGCATAGATAAAGAGTTGTGGAGAAAAACATCTCTTTATAATTTATTGAATACTACACATGATAATAAAATTTTTGAGAGGGTGCCTCGCCAACTTCTGCTGCATGAAAACTATGCCATAAAGCAAATTTACAAGGAGAGAACAGGAAGGGCAGTTAGTAAACAGGGCAAGATTCCATGATTCTCCATAGTTGGAACCTTTGATAGGCCAATCAGAGAGATTTCTTTGCCAGGTTTCAGTTTCCACAGCTTGACACCTGCTGTATGGAATGGTTTGCCTGAGAAGGGGTGAACCTAGGAAAAGTGAGACCGTGAAGATCTGTAAAATGATAGGGGATACATACAGATGCAAAAGCGCCTCCAGATATTTTATATCTTCCTACAGATGCGATAAAATGATTAAAATCTGAATCTGTGTGGGTGAGATGATTGAACTTTCAGACTGGGGTTATCCAAGAAAGTATTAGTGTCTATACACCACCTTCACACTGATTATTTCATAATGTCATATGATATTTTCTATCAATTAAATATTTTCCTTTAACTTGATTCTAAGAGTGCTCATTTCAGATCATATCAGGAATGCTAGATAAGAAGAGCATTCCACTGGACAATTTTCTGTCAAAACAACTACCTGAGAAAATTCATGAAAATTATCACAGGTTGAGATATTACAGTGATCAAAAGCACTTGCATGAAAAGAGAAATGAATCCGTTTCTCAAATGTTACTTAAATTGGAAACATATATCTCATATACACTTAAGTTCACTAATAGAGCAGATATCACCATTTTTCTATGTTACTGATAATACTAACCTTAATTTAAAATACAACAGAATTGGCCTGGCTTGCTGGCTCACGCCTGTAATCCCAGCACTTTGGGAGGCCACGGTGAGTGGATCACTGAGGTCAGGAGTTTGAGACCAGCCTGGCCAACATAGTGAACCCCGTCTCTACCAAAAATACAAAAAAATTAGCTAAGCGTGGTGACGGACACCTGTAATCCCAGCTACTCGGGAGGCTGAGGCAGGAGAATCACTTGAACCCGGGAAGCAGAGGTTGCAGTGAGCCGAGACCACACCATTGCACTCCAGCCTGGGCAACAAGAGCAAAACTCTGACTCAAAAAATAAATAAATAAAATAGAATTTAGAAAGTAATAGATCTTTAAAAAATAACAATAATAAAATGCGTAACATATGCTATATATTCAGGTTGAAAAAAATGAGCTGAGTAAAATGTATTATTTGTCTGTAAGGATCTCCTGCTTTAATATGGATATATAACTGTAAGGTAGTATCCCTAATCTCACCAATCAAGAATCACTTCTATTTACTAAGACATTACTCCCACTCTTCAGGAAATTAAGAAACATTTGAAATAGGGTTATTCTGATAGTGACCTTGAAGCTAAATAAGGACAGGACTTTGCTGAGTGAAAATATTAAAAATGATACTGAATCCAAAGATTATTCTTAATGATTATCTGAGAACCAGTTAATCTTACTCTGTCTCATTTTAGCTGAGTTTGTGTAAACGTGGAAGTGTATGAATTTCTGGATAATTTAATGTCTATTATTTTCTAGTTAAGTAAATGAAAAAAAAATCACCGTTTCTTCCCATGCTGTTTTGATTATAAATCTCACTGTTTCTCAAAGGTTCTTAGATAGTCCACTGATGTATACAAATAAGGCAACTTGAGATCTGCAAAATAAAATGCTCCTATTGGTTCTTCAAAGGCTGAGATAGTAGTCCAAAGTCTTAACTGTTCTATGCTTTGAAAAGTACCTGTCCACCATATCCACTACCAGTATTTTTGTTTCCCTTAATGCATACCTTAAAGCATTATTTATTGAGCACTGATCACCCGACAGACTCTGGCTTCAGTTCTGAACATGTAATATTGAGAAAAAACTAAATAGAACAAAACAAAGACCCAGAAATATTATATATCCCCATGAAGTTCACAGTCCACTGGGGGAGACAAATATTGCTCAAAGAGCCATGTGAATAAATAATAAATAGAAAACAGCAACTCCATTAAGTGACATCAAGAAGAGGTGATTGGGCCCCAAAAGAATAAATTACAGCAGAAATGACTTAGTCAGGGATCACCATTAAAAATGTGATGAATGAGTGATATTTAACAGCAGGGTTAATTTGGTGAGGAAGGAAGACAAGAACATCCTAGGGAAACCTAGAGAAAGAGAATAGTATTTAGAAGGCACTATACTGAAATAATGCAAGACTTGTTTTAAGAAGTTAAACATGCCAATGTGTCTAGAAATCAGAGACCGCGGGAGAACACAGCAAGGCAGGAGATGTAAGCAGGACCACTCCATGGAGAACCTTGCAGGCCCTCCACAAGAAGTGCTTTTAAAGCAGGACAATCCCCTGCTTGGATTGGCATGTTTAACAAACCCCTTTGAATGCAGTGTGGAGAATAGACAAAAAAGCAGAGCAGAATAGTTTGAGAGTGACCAACTAGGAAGTCCTTATAAGCCAGGTGTAACAATTGGACCAATAGTGGGCACTGAGGGTGGGAAAAGATGTTCAGTTGGAAAGCTCTATAGAAAGTAAAATGTAGAGGATTTTGTGTGGATCTGATGGTGAGTGGTTAGAGAAGTATTAAGGATGACTTGAATTTTACCCAGAATAATTGTTTATACCATTCTTTAAAATCATGAGTTTTGTTTTGGGCATGTTAATTTGCAGATAAACACAAATCCATCAGCAAGATTTAACATAAATCATATTTGTAGAGGGAGAGTCAGTGAGAAGCAATGAGGGCTTGTGTCTGAGCTGTGAGAAATCCCGGTCTTTTAATGTCTAGATAGTCAGATGGCCTGAAAATGAGGCAAAACAGGAATAGCTAGAGTTGAGAAAGAACATCCAGGACACTATTAGAAGCCCAGTTAGAAGATGAGGGAAGAGAGTGTGTCTTAGTTGGTGTGGGTTACAATAGGACACTAACATAGACTGGGTACTTAATAACAGAAATTTATTATTTTATAGTTCTAGGGGCAGGAAGTCTGAGAAAAGGGTGTCATATTAGGGTGCCAGATCTGTTGAGGGCCCTCTTTCTGGCTTGTAGATGGCTGCCTTCCCACTATGTCTGCATATGGTAGAAACTGAGTGATCTCTCTCTCCCTCTTTTTATAGACGCTAGTTTCATCATGAGGACCCCAAACTCTTGAATTCATCTAGCCTTAATAACTTGCTAAAGTTATTAGCAAGTGTTATGAGTTATAATAACTCATCTCAAATAACATCACATTGGGGGTTAAAGTTTCAACATATGAATTTGTGGGGGTTGGGGGTGGGGCGCCATTCATTCCATAGCAGAATGCTCCAGTGAGAAAATTTCACTGTTTTCTTTAATGATTCTGAGGGATGAATTAAAATGAAATATAGCTATACGGAAGTCAGTGATGACCTCAGTAGAAAGAACCTTGTTTCAGTGAGTGGGCTTGCAGAGTGGGCAGGAAATAGGATATGGAAATGGCAAAATATGAAGTCCTCTAAAATTTGATCAGTGTAGGAGAGGAGAGACAGGACAGTTTGGTATATGAGTGTCTATTGTGTTTGTAAGCAAATAACTTAACGATAACTTGGGAAGTTAATGGTATTTTGAAGCTTATAAAATCTGGTTCACTTTGAAAAATTCACTCTCTTGAGTTCCTCTTTGGGATGAAACTTTATTTCTCATGACATATTCAGTTTCATAAACCCATAAAATCTGCCAAACTATCTCGACTTTCCGCATTACACCAGCAATCAAAGGGCCACAGTTACAGGGGATGTGGGTAATAGAGATTTAAAGCTTGGACGTTTAAATGACCTGCTCAAACTCTCATAGCCAGTGAAGAGAGCCCTGAAATTCAGACATTTTTATTTTCTCTGACTTCTATCCTGTAGCACAGTTACCTCTCTGTCCTTTTCTCCAATCTCTCCCCTCCATCACTAGGTCCGCCACCCTGACCTCCTTGCTGTTCCTTGAGCCCTCTAGATATACCACTGCCTCCAGACTTTTTCATTTGCTGGTTTCTCTTCTTGGACTGCCCTTCCTCTAGATGTCTACACACTGCATTCATTCACCTCCTTTAAATTTTTTATCAAAATCCCATGTCATAGAGATTTTCTCTAGCTACCTTATCACTCTCATTCATTCTCTGCTTTATTTTTTTTCACATTTATTACCACGTAGTAGACTACAGCATCTAGCTATTTTGGTGATCATTTATTGTCTGTACCCTGCAACTACTATAAAGTAAGTTTCATAAAAGCAGAAATTTAAAATTATTTTTTCACTATATCACCATAGCTTTAAGCTGCACCTAGCACAGAATGGGTGGTCAATAAAAATACTTTAAATAAATAAATGATTGAAAGGAAACATCTCTAAAATATACACAACAGTATTTTGTATTAGGTTTTTACTCCCAATACCTATGATTTTAACTGGTGCTAGAAAAAAATTACAAGTAAAATAAGCAATACTATAAAGAAAACAACATGGCTCAAATATTCATCTTTATTATAAACTGACTTGATTCAGGGACTAATTTAGAACATAGGTTCTTAATTTATGTGGAACTTCATAGACCTCTGAGGATGAAATTCAGAGGTCAGCACATTATGAATAAATGTGTATTAAGCAATATGCTGTAAGCATACATAAAAAGAGTAATCTATCAAATTTCTGGCCACAAGAATATTTCTAAGTACATTTCCTTATGCCAGATACCTGTCCCTCTAAAATAAATAAATAAACCACCACAAACAAAAACAATAACTTTCCATACTGGCCTGATTTGATGAGAATGTATGTGCCTACTACAAAGAGCCAGCCCTTCACAGTTTTAGTAATATTGTGTGCATTTGCTTATGAAATTAAAAAAACTCTGATGAAAATAATTACATATATCTTGTATTAGAAAAAAATTAATCCTACTGTGGGTAATTTTAATATTCAGTAAAATTAAAGTTCAATATAAACATTATTTGTTGGTATATAGAATAAAGTCCCTTAAATATTGGAATTCCACAACTTATTTAGTGTTTGGTGCACATATAAAACTCAGATTGGTCAATATAGTTATTTTAAAATTTGGAACAAATTTGGCATTAGATTGCAAAGAAAAATATAGCATAGTTGTCTCTTTTTAAAATATAGTACTGGGATAGTTTACATAATTTTCATTTGGAGAATCATTTATTTCCCTTAGGTTTTTCTAAATTCACAATTATTATTACGATTACAATGAAGATTAAAACAGTGAATTCTGGAGTATTGGCCAGAATGGAATATTGAGTGAGTGATTTTCATAGGATTAGGATTCATAACTTAATGGATTTATCTGCTGTGAGCATTTTGGCCTGTCATACTTCATAAGCACACATGACATAAGCTTCATTACCTTTCTTATGTAACACTGAAATAATACATTAATCTTGGAATCATCACATTTTTAAAAAAATAAATAGAATATTGGTTTTGATAGTTTACAGTTGTTATTTCCAAGGCAGATATAGTTCAATATTGTCTCCGGTGAACTTTCGAGAATGTAAATTAAATGTGTAATTGAACAAAGTATTGCATAGTCTAATGAAGCACCACTGTAGGCAGAGAAAGGAGAGCATCAGAGCCAGCTGTTATTAGAGCATCAAATCTGCCCGAGGTTATGGAAGAGCAGGAAGAGCTGTATCCTTCAGAAGAAGCATATGGAAAGCCTGCGGCTGAGGTCAGGAATCATGTTGCAAAGCAACATTGTCAGGACCATCTGTATCCATATGTTTCAAGAGTATGTCCCTGCAATAAGAGTTCTATAGAAAGGTTCATGGAAATCAAATGGTAAAAGTCAGGGACAAAAACGTCTGCAAAGTATAGCAAACACTAGTCCCCCTTTATCTGCAGGGGATATGTTCTAAGACCCCATGGGATGCCTGAAACTAACGATAGTACCAAACGTGATTGCCGTCAGTTAAAACAGGTTTCTGTGCATGTCTTCCACCCACAAATTTAATGCCATTTCCATCTTAATGAAGCACTTATCATGCACTGTGGCTGAAACTTTTGCAGTTTGATGTATAACAGCAAAACTATCAGGAAATCTGTATTCTTTCTTCACAATTTCATGAATAGAAGATTCATTCTTATCATAGATCTTAGCAACCTCAGCATATGATGTTTTTTCTTTCCTTATTAAGAACTTTGACCTTTCCACTTAACAAAAGCACTTTATGGCTTTTCTTTGGCATATTGAAATTGCCAGCATTACTACTCTTGTGCTCTGGGACCATTATTAAGTAAAATAAGGGTTACTTGACTCAAGCTCTGCTATACTGCCACAGTAAATCTGATAACTAAAATGGTTTACTAAGTGGATGAGTTGGACAAAGAGGGGATTCACACCCCAGGTGGGACTGAGCAGGATGGCGTGAGATTTCATCACACTACTCAGAATGGCATGCAATTTAAAACATATGACTTGCTTATTTCTGGAATCTTCCGTTTAGTATTTTCAGACAGAGGGTGATCTCAGGTAACTGAAATCATGGAAAGAAAACCCACAGATATGATGATGGACTACTATATTTGTGAATCTCCATCTTGCAAATAATGGTATATTACTAATTGCCTTATGGAGTAAGAACAAATGTATATAAATGAATAAAATTATTGTTTGAACTAAATTTTTTAAAGTTCAGGGGATACTTGTCCATAGGGAATTATAATATATACTATCCACAATACCTTAATTGGGTTTACTTCATTTTATTAGATTCAGGAGATTACATTTTTAGAGTATTGGTCTATTTCATGATTTTCAAGCCATAGGTAAATAGGTAAGATAGCTATGGACAAAGTTCAGTAATGTATAACATCAACAACCAACAAAGGAAGAAGCCCTTTCTGTCTCAATCCCACTTCCATGAAGCCTCAAACATGAGTTGTGATTTAGCACCCATGCTTGATGTTAAAAAATCTAGGCAGTAAGTTTCCTCCATTATAATTTCAAGACTAGCTCACTTATTCCAGGGACAGAGTTTCTGCACACTTGGCCTTCTGGATCTCAGCCACAAAGAGGAGGTAAAAAGTTCTTCGCTCATAAACATTTGCCACAAAGCCTTTCTTTAAAATAGAATAGAGACATGTGGATTTGAGTACAAATATGCTCCCTACACAATACTTTTTCTGAAAAAAGTATAATATTATGTAGCATTATATACTAGTCAACACTCACAATGAGCGTTACAATTTTTTTGGTTGTTGTGCATCAATTAAGAAAGTCAAGAACACTGAATATATTTTATAGAAAGATTTCCAACAAGAATGTTAAAGTATTACTAAATAAATTGATTCTCGAATATCATCTACCTGGCTGTCTACTTCATGTACTCTTCCTTGTATGGGGACGGTGGCATGGCAGTTGATGTAAGGAAAGTAACTGAGCAGTTAATATGTGACCAGCCAGAAATTTACTCCAAACCTATATGTAACAAGTGAGCCTCATCTTTAGTCTGTGCATTCACTTTGCTAAGGATTAATCCTGTTTTTCAAAATTAGCATATACATATATATGGTTAATTTACTGATTTCCTTTTGGCTTACATATTCTATAATTCTGTAACTTCAATGAGCAAAAATAGAGATTTCAACTATTTAAATAAAGCATGAGTGTCAAATATTTTGAGCAAATACGTTTTTAAAGAGTGTCATTTCAAAGATTCAAAATACAAACAAAAAATAAAAAAAGAATCTATTTACTTGCTAAGTAATTAATGTTAACATATTCTTCAATTTAAACTGCAATCATAAAATGAAGATTATTATGACCTTGGATTTAGTGAAATAATAAAAATGTAAACATGATCTTTGACCTAAATGGAAAAAATTCTTAGTCTTTACTTTTAAATTATATGCCAATAACAGTGTGAGTGTAGCTATGCAAATAAAAATCCTGGTCATGTTATTGCCCAGTTGCATTAGATCACCTGAGATATTTAAAATAGCCTGAAGCAGGAAGAAGCCAAATTAAGTAATTCATCTTTTGACTAATTTGCTTGTGAAACAGACGGACTCAAGCAGGACTTCTTTCATATTAAATATACCAAATGCTTTCCTGATGTCCAAAGTCATTTTGCTCTGCATATTTCTGGCCCCTAATTCACTGTCAAAATTATGATATTTTATTTAAAAGGACACCTATTGTGGAGGACTCTTAAGTTAGAAATTTGTATATTTTCAATGATAATTTTCAAAATGCTCATGGTGGATGATAGATAATAGTACAACCGCTTTCAAATCCGATCTGTACAATGTTGACTATGTTTAATCCCAACAGGGCTTGTCTGCTGTCAAATGGAATCTAAAACTCTGTGTGTGTGTGTGTGTGTGTGTGTGTGTGTGTGTGTGTATTTCACCATATATATCCCTGGAATTCCAACTATAGAGATAAGTGTTTGCAGGCATATGTAGGGTAAGAAAGAACAAAGGAAATGTCATAAACTCAATTTTGATCTATTCTTACTGATTAAATGTCGTTGGCTATAAACCCTACTATACTAAAAGGGAGAATTATAACCACAATGAGATAACCCCTCATGCCCACTAGGATAGCTATTATTAGAAAGAGAAAAGAAATAAAACAGAAAATACAAAGTGTTGGCAAAGACTTGGAGATATTGAACCCCTCATGCATTGCTGGAGGGAATGTAAAATGGTGCAGCTGCTGTAGAAAACAGCATAAATAACATAGAGCCACCATATGATCCAGCAATTCCCGTGCTAGGCAATTTTCCCACAGAAGCGAAAGTGGGAACTGGAACAGACATTTGTACCTGTTCACAGCATATATTATTCACAATAACCAAAAGGTGGAAGCAACCCAAGGGTCTAGCGAAAAATGAATGAATAAACAAAATGTGCTACATACATACCATAGAATGTGTGATGGTTAAAGTTAAATGTCAACTTAATCACTGAAGAATGCAAAGTAATTGTTCTGGGTGTATCTGGGTGTTGCCAGAACAGATTTAACATTTGAGTCAAAGGACTGAGAGAGGAAGACCCATCATCAGGAAGACCCACCCACGGTGTGGGTGGACACCATCCAATCGGCTGCCCGCGTGGCTAGAAAAAACAGGCAGAAGGTGGACTTGCTGAGTCTTTGGCCTTCATCTTTCTCCCATGCTGGATTATTCCTGCTCTGGAACATCAGACTCCATGTTTTTTGGCTTCTGGACTCTTGGACTTACACCAGGATTTTGCCAGAGGCTCTCAGGTCTTCGGCTACAGACTAACAGCTGCACTGTTGGCTTCCCTACTTTTGAGGTTTTGGGACCCGGCCTGGGCCACTACTAGCTTCCTTGCTCCTCAAATTGCAGATGAGCTATTGTGAGACTTCATCTTGTGATCATGTGAGTCAATTCTCCTTAATAAACTCCCTTTTGTAAATTAGCCAGGCATGGTGGCGGGCGCCTGTAGTCCCTGCTACTCAAGAGGCTGAGGCAGGAGAATGGCCTGAACCCGGGAGGCGGAGCTTGCAGTGAGCCGAGATTGTGCCACTGCACTCCAGCCTGGGCAATAGAGCGAGACTCTGTCTCAAAAAATAAATAAATAAATAAATAAAATAAACTCCCTTTTGTATATACATCTATCCTATTAGTTCTGTGCCTCTAGAGAATCTTGACTAATAAAGAATGTTATTCGGACTTAAAAAAGGAAGGAAATTCTAACACATGCTACAGAATGAATTAAACTTGGAAACATTACGCTGAGTGAAATAAGCCAGTCATTAAAGGACAGATATTCTGTGGTTCCTTTTATGAGGTTCCTAGGACAGTCACATTTATAAAAACAGAAAGTAGAATGGTGATTATCAGAAAGTAGATGGAGGTTAGAAAGAGGAGTTAGTGTTTAATGAATACAGTGTATTTGGGGATGATGACAAAGTTCTGAAGATGGATGGTAGTGATAACTGCACAGTAATGTGAATATGTACTTAATGTCACCAAATTGTACACTTAAACCGCTTAAATTGGTGAATTTTATGTTATGTATATTGTGCCCCAACTTAAGAAAAAAATTAAATAAGTGAGTAGGAAGCTACACTTTGATAACACAAAACATTGTTTCCATTTTAAAAATTCTGCAGAAAATAATTCCTTTTCTCTCAGTACTAGGAAAGGTTATTTGTTTTTGTTTTATTGTGGTTTGTTCCTTTTAGATTACAAATAGTGCACCAAGGTGACATTTACATTTACTAATCTTTTTAGATTCTCCTTTTCCTTGTTGGAAGTTTGTGAAGATCTCCTTTGTGGCAATAGTTCAAGACACCAAACAATGCACAACTGAAACATACTTTTCATTCAAGGAAATGTTTCTGGATGGTTTTCCTTTGCAATGTCATTAACTATCTACTCCCAGATTAGCCTCTGCATGCAAAGCTTTTGCTCTCTTCTTAAAATTTATCTTCTGATTTGCAAAGTAGATAATTTTACCTGGTTGACATCAGAAATATATTGGATATCTCTTTAATTTTTAGTTTAAAGAACTGAAAAAAAAATGCTCTATGGTAGAAAATCCTTTTCCTGTGTGGGAATATTTTATTGCCTGCAAGATGAAAAGGAACACCTATTTTTTTCCTCCAGCACATCTGATTTTTCTACGTATTATGAATAACTAAATCTAGGTAAATAAACATGTTCCAGAATAATTGGCTTTATCCTTTGCCCACCAGATAGAAACTATGCTTTTAATTTTCTTTCTTCCTTATTCATCTTTTAATATAAATGTTCAATAGGGGTTTAAATCTTTTTCCCAAGCTTCTCTTTTATCGTGTTTCTAATTACCTAGCCTAATTGCTCTGAGCCTGTAAGAGCTTGTGAATTTTTTAAATGGTTTTCTTTAATTATGATTCTTTAGTGAAGAAAATACTGCTAAACAAAAGTGAAAAACTGAACACTGAATATCTGTTCTACAAAGGAAACAAGAAGGAAATATTCACTTTAAAAATATAGCCTAAGAAAATCAATTTTCCTAATGATCTTTTACAGATCACTTGATACTGTGAAAGACTTAAGATTCATGGTGATCAAATTGCTCTGATGGGGAGATTCATACACCACATAGATACTATGCTGTATGTACTATCTCCTGTTCCTTCTGCATTTCCATACCTCACACATGCATATAATATCAGAACAGTAAGCAAGTATTCTTGAATATTTCAGATAGACATTTTCTGCCCAGTATATAAATTTAGAATTCTAATTAAAAATTTCAAGACAAAAAACTGTTATCAACAGCAGAACAGTATGGTTGAAGAAACTCCCAGTGTGAGGTTTCTGAGTCCAAAATTGCAAAATAAATATTATTTTAAAGTAATTGAAACCTCACTCAAAGCAGAGTGTTGTGGGAAAACATTATCTGTATGCTTGTATTTTAAAAATTTTCAATAAATAAAACTACGTATTTTTAAAAAATTATTTTATTTATAGTATAAACAAAACTGTGTCCTTATAAGTGTCAGGCCTCTGAGCCCAAGCCAAGCCATCGCTGACTCTCTTTTCGGACTCAGCCCACCTGCACCCAGGTGAAATAAACAGCCATGTTGCTCACACAAAGCCTGTTTGGTGGTCTCTTCACACGGATGCGCATGAAATTTGGTGCCGTGACTCGGATCGGGGGACCTCCCTTGGGAGATCAATCCCCCGTCCTCCTGCTCTTTGCTCTGTGAGAAAGATCCACCTACGACATTAGGTCCTCAGACCGACCAGCCCAAGAAACATCTCACCAATTTCAAATCTGGTAAGCGGCCTCTTTTTACTCTTCTCCAACCTCCCTCACTATCCCTCAACCACTTTCTCCTTTCAATCTTGGCGTCACACTTCAATCTCTCCCTTCTCTTAATTTCAATTCCTTTCATTTTCTGGTAGAGACAAAGGAGACACGTTTTATCTGTGGACCCAAAACTCCGGCGCCAGTCACAGACTGGGAAGGCAGCCTTCCCTTGGTGTTTAATCATTGCAGGGACACCTCTCTGATTATTCACCCAAGTTTCAAAGGTGTCAGACCACGCAGGGACGCCTGCCTTGGTCCTTCACCCTTAGCGGCAAGTCCCGCTTTTCTGAGGAAGGGGCAAGTACCCCAACCCCTTCTCCTTCACCCTTAGTGGCAACTCCCACTTTTCTGGGGCAGGGGCAAGTACCCCTCAACCCCTTCTCCTTCACCCTTAGTGGCAAGTCCCACTTTCCTAGGGGGCAAGAACCCCCCAATCGCTTATTTCCGCACCCCAACCTCTTATCTTTGTGCCCCAATAGCTTATTTCTGCACCCTGACCTCTTATCTCTGTGCCCCAATCCCTTATTTCCATGCCCCAACCCCTTCTCTGCTTTTCTGGAGGGCAAGAACCCACCATCCGTTCTCCGTGTCTCTACTCTTTTCTCTGGGCTTGCCTCCTTCACTATGGGCAAGCTTCCACCTTCCATTCCTCCTTCTTCTCCCTTAGCCTGTATTCTTAAGAACTTAAAACCTCTTCAACTCTCACCTGACCTAAAATCTAAGTGTCTTATTTTCTTCTGCAATGCCGCTTGACCCCAATACAAACTCGACAGTAGTTCCAAATAGCCGGAAAACGGCACTTTCAATTTTTCCATCCTACAAGATCTAAATAATTCTTGTCGTAAAATGGGCAAATGGTCTGAGGTGCCTGACGTCCAGGCATTTTTTACACATCAGTCCCTTCCTAGTCTCTGTGCCCAATGCAACTCATCCCAAATCTTCCTTCTTTCCCTCCTGCCTGTCCCCTCGGTCCCAACCCCAAGCGTTGCTGAGTCTTTCTAATCTTCCTTTTCTACAGACCCATCTGACCTCTCCCCTCCTCGCCAGGCCAAGCTAGGTCCCAATTCTTCCTCAGCCTCTGCTCCTCCACCCTATAATCCTTTTATCACCTCCCCTCCTCACACCTGGTCTGGCTTACAGTTTCGTTCCCTGACTAGCCCTTCCCCACCTGCCCAGCAATTTATTCTTAAAAAGGTGGCTGGAGCTAAAGGCATAGTCAAGGTTAATGCTCCTTTTTCTTTATCCCAAATCAGATAGCGTTTAGGCTCTTTTTCATCAAATATAAAAATCCAGCCCAGTTCATGGCTCCTTTGGCAGCAACCCTGAAACGCTTTACAGCCCTAGACCCTAAAAGGTCTAAAGGCCGTCTTATTCTCAATATACATTTTATTACCCAATCTGCTCCCGACATTAAATAAAACTCCAAAAATTGGAATCTGGCCCTCAAACCCCACAACAGGGCTTAATTAACCTCACCTTCAAGGTGTGCAATAACAGAAAAAAGTTGCAATTCCTTGCCTCCATTGTGAGACAAACCCCAGCCACATATCCAGCACACAAGAACTTCCAAACGCCTGAACCGCAGCAGCCAGGCATTCCTCCTGAACCTCCTCCCCCAGGAGCTTGCTACACGTGCCGGAAATCTGGCCACTGGGCCAAGGAATGCCCACAGCCCGGGATTCCTCCTAAGCCGCGTCCCATCTGTGTAGGACCCCACTGAAAATTGGACTGTTCAACTCACCTGGCAGCCACTCCCAGAGCCCCTGGAACTCTGGCCCAAGGCTCTCTGACTGAGTCCTTCTCGGCTTAGCAGCTGAAGATTGACGCTGCCCGATCGCCTCGGAAGCCCCTTAGACCATCATGGATGCCGAGCTTCGGGTAACTCTCACAGTGGAAGTTAAGCCCGTCCGCTTAGTCAATGCGGAGGCTACCCACTCCACATTACCTTCTTTTCAAGGGCCTGTTTCCCTTGCCTCCATAACTGTTGTGGGTATTGACGGCCAGGCTTCTAAACCCCTGAAAACTGCCCCACTCTGGTGCCAACTTGGACAACACTCTTTTATGCACTCTTTTTTAGTTATCCCCACCTGCCCAGTTCCCTTATTAGGCCAAGATATTTTAACCAAATTATCTGCTTCCCTGACTATTCCTGGACTACAGCTGCATCTCATTGCTGCCCTTCTCCCCAACCCAAAGCCTCCTTTGCGTCCTCCTCTTGTATTCCCCCACCTTAACCCACAAGTATAAAATACCTCTACTCCCTCCTTGGTGACCGATCATGCACCCCTTACCATCTCATTAAAACCTAATCACCCTTACCCCGCTCAATGCCAATATCCCATCCCACAGCATGCTTTGAAAGGATTAAAGCCTGTTATCACTCGTCTGCTACAGCATGGCCTTTCAAAGCCTATAAACTCTCCTTACAATTCCCCCATTTTACCTGTCCTAAAACCAGACAAGCCTTACAAGTTAGTTCAGGATCTATGCCTTATCAACCAAATTGTTTTGCCTATCCACCCCATGGTGCCAAACCCATATACTCTCCTATCCTCAATACCTCCCTCCACAATCCATTATTCTGTTCTGGATCTCAAACATGCTTTCTTTACTATTCCTTTGCACCCGTCATCCCAGCCTTTCTTCGCTTTCACTTGGACTGACCCTGACACCCATCAGGCTCAGCAAATTACCTGGGCTGTACTGCCGCAAGTCTTCACAGACAGACCCCATTACTTCAGTCAAGCCCAAATTTCCTCCTCACCTGTTACCTATCTCGGCATAATTCTCATAAAAACACACGTGCTCTCCCTGCTGATAGTGTCCGATTAATCTCCCAAACCTCAATCCCTTACAAAACAACTCCTTTCCTTCCTAGGCATGGTTAGTGCTGTCAGAATTCTTACACAAGAGCCAAGACCGCACCCTGTAGTCTTTCTGTCCAAACAACTTGACCTTACTGTTTTAGCCTAGCCCTCATGTCTGCGTGCAGCAGCTGCCACTGCTTTGATACTTTTAGAGGCCCTAAAAATCGCAAACTATGCTCAACTCACTCTCTACATTTCTCCTAACTTCCAAAATCTATTTTCTTCCTCATACCTGACGCAAATACTTTCTGCTCCCGGCTCCTTCAGCTATACTCACTCTTTGTTAAGTCCCACAATTACCGTTGTTCCTGGCCCGGACTTCAATCTGGCCTCCCACATTATTCCTGATACCACACCTGACCCCCATGACTGTATCTCTCTGATCCACCTGATATTTACCCCATTTCCCCATATTTCCTTCTTTCCTGTTCCTCACCCTGATCATGCTTGATTTATTGATGGCGGTTCCACCAGGCCTAATCGCCACACACCAGCAAAGGCAGGCTATGCTATAGTACAAGCCACTAGCCTGCCTCTCAGAACCTCTCATTTCCTTTCCATCGTAGAAATCTATCCTCAAGGAAATAACTTCTCAGTGTTCCATCTGCTATTCTACTACACCTCAGGGATTATTCAGGCCCCCTCCCTTCCCTACACAACAAGCTCGAGGATTTGCCCCACCCAGGACTGGCAAATTAGCTTTACGCAACATGCCCTGAGTCAGGAAACTAAAATACCTCTTAGTCTAAATAGACACTTTCACTGAATAAGCAAAGGCCTTTCCTACAGGGTCTGAGAAGGCCACCACAGTCATTTCTTCCCTTCTGTCAGATATAATTCCTCAGTTTAGCCTTCCCACCTCTATAAAGTCTGATAACAGACCAGCTTTTATTAGTCAAATCAGCCAAGCAGTTTTTCAGGCTCTTAGTATTCAGTGAAAACTTTATATCCCTTACGGTCCTCCGTCTTCGAGAAAAGTAGAATGGACTAAAGGTCTTTTAAAAACACACCTCACCAAGCTCAGCCACCAACTTAAAAAGGACTGGACAATACTTTTACCACTTTCCCTTCTCAGAATTCAGGCCTGTCCTCGGACTGCTGCAAGGTACAGCCCATTTGAGCTCCTTTTTATTAGGCCCCAGTCTCATTCCAGACACTGGACCAACTTAGACTGTGCCCCAAAAAAACTTGTCATCCCTACTATCTTTTGTCTAGTCATACTCCTATTCTCCGTTCTCAACTACTCATACATGCCCTGCTCTTGTTTACACTGCCAGTTTACACAGTTTCTCCAAGCCATCACAGCTGATATCTCTTCGTGCTATCCCCAAACTGCCACTCTAAACTCTTGAAGTAAATAAATAATCTTTGCTAGCAGGACTATGCTGAATCTCCTTAGGCACTCTCTAATCAGATGTCCTAGGTCCTCCCTATTCTTAGACCTTTTATACCTGTTTTTCTCCTTCTCTTATTCCATTTAGTTTTTCAATTTATACAAAACCGTATCCAGGCCATCACCAATAATTCTACACAACAAATGTTTCTTCTAACAACCCACAATATCACCCCTTACCACCAGACCTCCCTTCAGCTTAATCTCTCCCACTCTAGGTTCCCACGCTGCCCCTAATCCTGCTTGAAGCAGCCCTGAGAAACATCGCCCATTTTCTCTCCATACCACCCCCCAAAAATTTTCGCCACCCCAACACTTCAACACTATTTTGTTTTATTTTTCTTATTAATATAAGAAGGCAGGAATGTCAGGCCTCTGAGCCCAAGCCAAGCCATCGCATCCCCTGTGACTTGTACGTATACGCCCAGATAGCCCGAAGTAACTGAAGAATCACAAAAGAAGTGAATATGCCCTGCCCCACCTTAACTGATGACATTCCACCACAAAAGAAGTGTAAATGGCCGGTCCTGGCCTTAAGTGATGACATTACCTTGTGAAAGTCCTTTTCCTGGCTCATCCTGGCTCAAAAAGCACCCCCACTGAGAACCTTGCGACCCCCACTCCTGCCCGCCAGAGAACAAACCCCCTTTTGACTGTAATTTTCCTTTACCTACCCAAATCCTATAAAACGGCCCCACCCTTATCTCCCTTCCCTGACTCTCTTTTCGACTCAGCCCACCTGCACCCAGGTGAAATAAACAGCCATGTTGCTCACACAAAGCCTGTTTGGTGGTCTCTTCACACGGACGCGCATGAAAATAAGTAAGGTATAGGAACTAGAGTTTGGGTGGTCAGGTAGTGGCATAGGCTGGAAAGATCTGTTTATTTCTAGGGATGATAATGATGCCTGAAGGGTCAAAGAGGCAGGTGAAAAGACTTAAATGGCAGTTTTCTTTTAGGGATCAGTATCTGGGAATGGGAGTCCCAAAGGCAGTAGAAAAGCAGACTGTGAACTTAAGCAGAAAAAGCAGAATGAAAAAGGGCTGGAATTTGATAAAAGAACACCACTGCTCGCGGTGGCTCCTGCCTGTAATCTCAGCACTTTGGGAGGCCGAGATGGGCAGATCACAAGGTCAGGAGATCAAGACCATCCTGGCTAACACGGTGAAACCCCGTCTCTACTAAAAATACAAAAAAAAAAAAAAAAAATAGCCGGGTGTAGTGGCGGGCGCCTGTAGTCCCAGCTACTCCGGAGGCTGAGGCAGGAGAATGGCGTGAACCCGGGAGGCGGAGCTTGCCGTGAGCCGAGATCGCGCTACTGCACTCCAGCCTGGGCGACTGAGCGAGACTCCGTCTCAAAAAAAAAAAAAAAAATCAGAATGAGATTGTCTGAGATGTTACAGGTGGGAGGCAAAGCACCATATTACCAATATTGATAAAAGTCTGGAGAAGAGATGTAGACTGGATGGGACTGGCAGCTAATCAAGGTGCAGTGGACAAATTCAATCGTGATAGACCAAAAGGTCTGAGGCTAGATCAAACTATGAAAGCTGTGTCAACCAGTAGAATTATCAAGCAATCAAGGGCCACATAGGTACTGACAAGTAGACCCCTTAGTGCCAAAAATGTCTACTGACAGGCAGTGATTACATAAACATAGAAATGGGAGGCCAGCAGGACTGCCAGTCACTGGAGACTGAGTCAAAAATGCCAGACACTGGTTCAGATGGAACTCTGATCTGATCACTAGCAAGGAAGCTGCTTGACTGAAAATCACCTTTGTGGGACACAGGGCAATCAGCCTTTTCTCACAACCTTACCGATGAATAGTTGAAAAGTCTATGGCATACGGCACTTTTTTTCAAAAAAGCAAAAAACAAAACAACAACAAAAATCCCTTACTTTATTAGGGTGGACCCATCTCCATAGTGGTTTGGCAAGGGGCACATAGGCTGATTTCAGCACCCACGTGAGTCTTTCTTCTGCTTTCTTGTGCGATGCAACTCTCTAGGGGTGTTGCAGCATCCCTGCCTGAAACACAGTCGCTAAAAAGTGGACTATAAATGGGATCAACAAAAAGAAGAGTTTCGTTCTTCTTATTCATTCATGGAAAACTTATTGAACCCCTGGTCTGTTGTCAGTATTGTGCTTGGCTCTGACCCAGACATTACTCAGATAAATTACCACTTCAAAGATAAGCACAAGAGTCCCATGGAAGCTGCAAAAATGAGTGATCAGACATAACTAGCTGTGGTAGAGTAACAATCCATCTATCTAGCACCATCAGTAAATCTACATATACTTCTATATATAAATACATTACTAAAAAATGAAAACTCCTCTCTTAAAGAATAAAAACTTTTCATTTAAAAATATTGAGATAGAAATTTTAAAACATGGAGTGTAAACATCCCTATATTTAAACTAAATTTGTTTTAACCTCTTCTTGGTAGCTAGGAACAAGTTGATGAACAGAAATTACTCACTCTAACATACACTGAGGACCTAGGCTCTGATACTGTCTCAGTTTCTGCTTGACATGTAGATATAAATACCATACTTGGCACTCTTGTGTCTCAATAGCTGATCTGCAAGTTCCCTTCCAGCTCTGTAGTTCTCTCAGTTTATACAATCTATTGGTCTGTCTAATGTCTAAATGAAAGCCAACATTTATACAGCACTTAGCATGTGACAGGCACTGTTCTTAGCACTTTATGTACAGTAATATACTCAATCTCCTTAAAAGCCCTATTAAATGGCCACTACCATTATTTCCATTTTACAGTTGAGGAAATTATTGGAGAAGGGGGTTATCTGATAGGTGCAAAGTGAAAGAACAGAGATTTTCACCCAGTTAATCTATCTCCCAAGTCACTGTTTTTATCCAATATGCCACTGCTGACCAAACTTCTTAGACAACAAAAATTGTATCCAAATGTCAGCCCAAATGGAAGCCTAATACGTGAAGCAAGTCAGTGCTGAGATGCTTCAGATGAAGAAAGAGTATTGGGTGGGGCAGGACAGAAGACCAGATTCCTTGGCCCTCTCACTTCTCCTGGCAAACCCTCTCATTCTAAGGAGAAGAGACTTTAAAACTACCAAAATGGTCGGGCGCGGTGGCTCACGCCTGTAATCCCAGCACTTTGGGAGCCCGAGGCAGGCGGATCACGAGGTCAGGAGATCGAGACCTTCCCGGCTAACATGGTGAAACCCCGTCTCTACTAAAAAAAAAAAAAAAAAATCAGCCGGGCGTAGTGGCAGGCGCCTGTAGTCCCCGCTACTTGGGAGACTGAGGCAGGAGAATGGGGTGAACCCGGGAGGCGGAGCTTGCAGTGAGCCGAGGTCGCGACACTGCACTCCAGCCTGGGTGACAGAGATAGACTCTGTCTCAAAAAAAAAAAAAAAAAAAAAAAATTCCAAAATAAATGATCTCTAATTTTTTTCAAGCTCTAATATTTTGACTCTATAATTTTAGAGTGCACTCACGTTCACCTTTATTTAAAACATACTTATTATGCTTTATATATGTCTATATATCAAGAAAGCAAAACATAAAAAATTCTATTTTATACAAAAAATATATTTGCAGATTCTCCTTGTCAGCCTAAAAGATGAATATTAGCCTGTAGGTGTGCTTGCTGCATTGTAATTACTTTCTCAGCAGTGTATTAATTAGTCGACTCCAGTAGTCTAGAACTCTTTGATGCTAGGTAATGAGATTAATAATAGATTCCTATCAACCCTCCCAAAGCTACAACAGGCATCAAGTACTTCTAATCTGTACTCCCTATACACAGAAATGAAAAGCTCTTTAGAAATTCACAGCTAAGTGGGGGCCGTAGTGTTCGGAATACCACAATATCTAGTGCTTACAAAAGTAATATCTATGTGAGCAGCATTTCAATATTCTAGTCCACGCCTGGTGTAGAATGGATTGGCTTAAGTTATGTAAGCAGTTGCAAGTACTTTCTGTGTAGGAGTAATCTGATGCTGGCTGTAGCCTGATGGTTTATAGCTTCTAAGAGACACGTGGCCTGGAGGTTAGGAGGCACTAAACACACAGCAGATAGTGTTCCTTGAGAAATACCTGCTGCAAAAAAAATACATATTTCAAGATTTTTTCTCTTAGGGCAGGCATAATTTTCTGACGAGAGGATTCTCTTTTGCATGAGATAATAATGAGTCATAGAAGTATCATCTAAAAATTAAAGCGAGACTATATACTATGCATTTTAATATACATGCATGTATATAAACACTCAAATCCACACTTATTTCTGTATATAACTTTTCAGACTTGTACAGTTCAGGAATATTGGTTTCCTTTTTAAAATCTCTTAGTACATGGTTACTTGACCCATGGAAATATGCCATCATGTATCTTCTGACATGCAGAACATCCTGGTCATCATAGCGAAAGCCCAGTGGGCCATCACCTTCTTTTTTTTTGAAACACAGTCTTGCTCTGTCACCCAGGCTGGAGTGCAGTGACGCGATCTCAGCTCACTGCAACCTCTGCCTCCTGGGTTCAAGCGATTCACGATTCTCCTGCCTCAGCTTCCCAAGTGGTTGAGATTACAGGCACACGCTTCCATGCCCAACTAATTTTTGTATTTTTGGTAGAGACGGGGTTTCACCATTTTGGCCAGGCTGGTCTCCAATTCCTGACCTCAAGTCATCAGCCCTCCTCAGCCTCCCAAAGTGTTGGGATTACAAGTATGAGCCACAGTGCCTGGCTGGTGCCACTGCCTTCTATGGCTCCTTTCTGAGGAAAGACCACTACAGGAATTGAACTCCTACATACTGCATTATGTCTCATGGCTGCTTGGAGCATAGGCATTATAAGTATGAGTTTAAGTTTTTCCCCTTTCCTTTTTTTACCAAGATATGACGAGTGACATTATATTATCTTCTATGGTTTTCCTTTCAGCTATATCCACATAGCATTTCTGGGTGAGTATCTGTGCAAGATTATATGAATTAACCAGTATTCATATATATATCAATATAGAAGTGTACATGTAATATATATATATACATATATATACACACGTGACATATGTGTGTGCATATATATTATATAATGTGTAATAAATATACATTCATATGTGTGTATTTATTAAAATAATAAATACACATTATATAATATACAAACACACTTGTATGTCATGTTTATTTGTGAAAATATTATATACACCTATAGTATATATTATTGTATATAATATTGTATATATAAGGTATATCTAAATATATAATATACAATTACATATACAATACTATGTATAATATTGTATATATAACATTGTGTATATAATATACAATAATATATACAATATATAATGTGTATATTATTTATATAATATAATATATTTATATAATATTGTAACATTATATTATACTATATATTTATATAATATTGTATATAATATACAATATATGGTGTGTATATATTATTTCATAAATAAACACACACTTTGTTTATGAAAAGTGACATTATTCCAGATGTTTTGTCAAATTGACATTTTTAGGCCTAATGTTCCTGAAGATTTTAGTGTGTCAAGGATTTTCTTTCTTGTAAAATAAAAAGAGATAAATATAACAAATTTGTGAATATGAACTATTGTTTTCAAGTATGTTACAGCAAGATTTCTAAGAAACTTCATCAAAAAGATAAAATTCACCTTTGCACCAAAAGGAACATGTGCTGTTTGTTGAGCTCCATAGAGCTCAACAGTGTACACACTGTTAACACTGACGTTATAGATTAGAGGGAGATCTGCCCATTGAGACTCTCTCAAAGAAGCAAAAGGCTTCTTTAAAGAAGAGGTCATGACTGGACCTCTTCAATGCTTGTTACTTCTCTCCCAGGAGAGGCTATAGGAAGATTCAGAATATTCCCCTGCTCAGAAGTAAGTGCTTATATGGTTCCAGGAAAAAGCTTGGTGTGGGCACACGGCAGGATCAAAAAGCCTCTCTACACAGGCATTTGAAAGAATTCATCTCCAATGGAGGTAACAGAAGCCAGTGTGATAATATCTGAATGTTGTACAAGTTTTTACATTTAAATATAAATGATCCAATAAATAACTCTTTATTGGATCTTTAAGTTCTTTGATGTTCTAAAATGTTAGCATTATTGCTTGTTATTACAGAAAAACAAGCAAAAACTTCTAGTTAGACCAGGGAACAAACTAACACTTGGGTTTAGTCAGTGCCTAATGCATGGTTACAGGTTCAACATGTTCTGGAATTCTTTTTAAGTTGCCTTGACTCTAACCAGAGACTGTGAATCATGAGAAATGCATGGGAATAGATAGACTGCAGTATATGTGTGGCTTAGCATATGAGTTGATGTGAGGTGTGAGGAGTGTGTGTGTGACTGCAAGTAAGCATGTGAGTGAGTTTGAATGGGTGTGTGTGTGTGTGTGTGTGTGTGTGTATACATGTGTAGATAGTGGAGTTGGAATAATATAAACCAAAACTCTTTTTAGAAGAGATGGTTTATGCTACCTTCCCCTTCTTCTACCTCCTCCCTTTGACGTAGTGGTCACATCATTGTAATGAAGGATTAGATTAATACAGTTAAGTTAATGAGAAAAATGAGGCCTCTACTTTTCAGACTTGACTTCTTAGTGTTTTCTACATGTCTTACTAGGTTAATTTATTATTGAAATTTAAATTTTGTGTTGTAAATTGCCAATATTAAGTGCACTACAGTGTTCTAAATGTCTTTCTAGGTTACCAGCTGTTAGAAAAAGGATTTAAGATTATGAGACTGACGCACTGCCCACTGTGCTAAGAGGGCAACAGAGACACAAAAAACCCTTCAAAAAATCAATGAATCCAGGGGCTGGTTTTTTGAAAAGATCAACAAAACTGATAGACCACTAGCAAGACTAATAAAGAAGAAAAAAGAGAAGAATCAAATAGATGCAATAAAAAATGATAAAGGGGATATCACCACCGATCCCACAGAAATACAAACTACCATCAGAGAATATTATAAATATCTCTATGCAAATAAACTAGAAAATCTAGAAGAAATGGATAAATTCCTGGACATATACACCCTCCCAAGACTAAACCAGAAAGAAGTTGAATCCCTGAATAGACCAATAACAGGCTCTGAAATTGAGGCAGTAATTAATAGCCTACCAACCAAAAAAGTCCAGGACCAGACGGATTCACAGCCGAATTCTACCAGAGGTACAAGGAGGAGCTGGTACCATTCCTTTTGAAATTATTCCAATCAATAGAAAAAGAGGGAATCCTCCCTAATTCATTTTATGAGGCCAGCATCATCCTGATACCAAAGCCTGGCAGAGACACAACAAAGAAAGAGAATTTTAGACCAATAATCCTGATGAACATTGATGTAAAAATCCTCAATAAAATACTGGCAAACCAAATCCAGCAGCACATCAAAAAGCTTATCCACAATGATCAAGTGGGCTTCATCCCTGGGATGCAAGACTGGTTCAACATATGCAAATCAATAAACGTAATCCAGCATATAAACAGAACCAAAGACAAAAACCGCATGATTATCTCAATAGATGCAGAAAAGGCCTTTGACAAAATTCAGCAGCCCTTCATGCTAAAAATTCTCAATAAATTAGGTATTGATGGGACGTATCTCAAAATAATAAGAGCTATTTATGACAAACCCACAGCCAATATCATACTGAATGGACAAAAACTGGAAGCATTCCCTTTGAAAACTGGCACAAGACAGGGATGCACTCTCTCACCACTCCTATTCAATATAGTGTTGGAAGTTCTGGCCAGGGCAATCAGGCAGGAGAAAGAAATAAAAGGTATTCAATTAGGAAAAGAGGAAGTCAAATTGTCCCTGTTTGCATATGACAGGATTGTGTATTTAGAAAACCCCATCGTCTCAGCCCAAAATCTTAAGCTGATAAGCAACTTCAGCAAAGTCTCAGGATACAAAATCAATGTGCAAAAAATCACAAGCATTCTTATACAACAATAACAGACAGAGCCAAATCATGAGTGAGCTCCCATTCACAATTGCTTCAAAGAGAATAAAATACCTAGGAATCCAACTTACAAGGGATGTGAAGGACCTCTTCAAGGAGAACTACAGACCACTGCTCAATGAAATAAAAGAGGATACAAACAAATGGAAGAACATTCCGTGCTCATGGATAGGAAGAATCAATATCTGAAAATGTCCATACTGCCCAAGGTAATTTATAGATTCAATGCCATCCCCATCAAGCTACCAATGACTTTCTTCACAGAGTTGGAAAAAACTACTTTAAAGTTCATATGGAACTAAAAAACAGCCCGCATTGCCAAAACAATCCTAAGCCAAAATAACAAAGCTGGAGGCCTCATGCTACCTGACTTCACACTATACTACAAGGCTACAGTAACCAAAACAGCATGGTACTGGTACCAAAACAGAGATATAGACCAATGGAACAGATCAGAGACCTCAGAAATAATACCACACATCTACAACCATCTGATCTTTGACAAACCTGACAAAAGCAAGAAATGGGGAAATGACTCCCTATTTAATAAATGGTGCTGGGAAAACTGGCTAGCCATATGTAGAAAGCTGAAACTGGATCCTTTCCTTACACCTTATACAAAACTTAATTCAAGATGGATTAAAGAATTAAACATTAGACCTAAAACCATAAAAACCCTAGAAGAAAACCTAGGCAATACCATTCAGGACATAGGCATGGGCAAGGACTTCATGTCTAAAACAGCAAAAGCAATGGCAACCAAAGCCAAAATTGACAAATGGGATCTAATTAAACTAAAGAGCTTCTGCACAGCAAAAGAAACTACCATCAGAGTGAACAGGCAACCTACAGAATGGGAGAAAATTTTTGCAATCTACTCATCTGACAAAGGGCTAATATCCAGAATCTACAAAGAACTCAAACAAATTTACAAGAAAAAAACAAACAACCCTATCAAAAAGTGGGCGAAGGATATGAACAGACACATCTCAAAAGAAGACATTTATGCAGCCAACGGACACATAAGAAAATGCTCATCATCACTGGCCATCAGAGAAATGCAAATCAAAACCACAATGAGATACCATCCCACACCAGTTAGAATGGCAATCATTAAAGTCAGAAAACAACAGGTTCTGGAGAGGATGTGGAGAAATAGAAACACCTTTACACTGTTGGTGGGACTGTAAATTAGTTCAACCATTGTGGAAGATAGTGTGGCAATTCCTCAAGGATCTAGAACTAGAAATACAATTTGACTCAGCCATCCCATTACTGGGTATATTCCCAGAGGATTATAAATCATGCTGCTATAAAGTCACATGTACATGTATGTTTATTGTGGCACTATTCACAATAGCAAAGACTTGGACCAACCCAAATGTCCAACAATGATAGACTGGATTAAGAAAATGTCGCACATATATACCATGGAATACTATGCAGCCATGAAAAAGGATGAGTTCATGTCCTTTGTAGGGTCATGGAAGAAGCTGGAAACCATCATTCTCAGCAAACTATCACAAAGACAAAAAACCAAACACTGCATGTTCTCACTCATAGGTGGGAATTGAACAATGACAACACTTGGACACAGGAAGGGGAACATCACACACTGGGGCCTGTCATGGGGTGGGGGGAGGGGGGAGGTATAGCATTAGGAGATATAGCTAATGTAAATGACGAGTTAATGGGTGCAGCACACCAACATGGGGCATGTATACATGTGTAACAAACCTGCATGTTGTGCACTAGAACTTAAAAGTATAATAAAAAAAAAAGAAAAGAAAAAGGATTTAGGAAACTTTCCAAACAGTAATATTTAAAGTGCAGTCTTACATGTATGGGTTTTCTTTCAGGTCACACTTCTGAATTAAGCAGACAAGGATCCTCGTTAATTGCAACTATCATCTATGTAAGAAGTTACTTTTATCATAAAGATTTGTTTTCGTTGAATTCTCTGCATAAAAAGTGATTACTGATGTGAAGCATACTCTTTAGTATAGCAAAAAACACATTGATTTGTGTGACTAAATGCATGTTTACCAAATATATAGTGCTTTGCCTGGAATTCCAAGGACATATTATAAGGTTCTAGCACAATTTCATGGTCAGGAAGAGTCCCTACCCCTACCTGCCATCACTTTCTGCTTATTGATGGCTTATGTTTGTTAATTAGATTTGATTATTTGCTTTAAGGTTAGGTTAAGAAAATTTTTGTATTGTATTGTACAGCCTTAAATACATAACGATGCTGTGTCAATCAGAGTTCTGCAGAGAGAACCAATAGGATGGATGGGTAGGTGGGTAAATAGATTGATAGATAGATAGATAGATAGATAGACAGACAGACAGACAGACAGACAGACAGACAGATAGATAGATAGATAGATGAGAGGAGGTTTATTGGAGAAATTGGCTCACACGATTATGGAGGCTGAGAATCCCCACAAGTGGCTGTCTGCAGGCTGGAGAACCAGGAAATCCAGTAGATTGGCTCAATCTGAGTCTAAAAGCCTCAGAACCAGGGAAGCTGATGATGAAACTCTCAGTCCAAGACCAAAGGCCTGACAACCTGGGACTGCTAGTGCAAGTCCCAGAGTCCAAAGGCCAGAGAATCTGGTTGGAGTTCTGAGGTCCAAGGGCAGGAGAAGAGCATTTCAGCTGTAGAAGAGATAATAAACGAATTTGCTTTTTTTTCTGTCTTTTTGTTCTATCTGGGCTCTCAGCCAATTGGATGTTGCTTATCCATATTGGATGAAGGTGTATCTTCCTTACTCAGTCCACTGATTCAAATGTCAATCTCTTCTAGAAACAGCTTCACAGACATACCCAAAAATAATGGCTTTCTAGCTATTTGGATATCCCTTCATCTAGCCAAGTGGACACTTAAAATTAATCATTGCACATGCTTTGTGAATCTGTCAAAGAAATGTATATTTTGTTTAATTTTCTACAGTTATTTTAATACAGAATTCTCTTTCTTAAAATAAAAGTTAATACCTTTTAGAATGTTGGTATTCTGAAAACAATTTGGAAAATTCTTGTAAAAGGCTTTGTTACCTGTCGAAATACAAATAAAAACACATTGAGTTGTATACATATACAGCTTACAAATTCAATATAAATTAAATACATATAAATTTAATTTATCCAATCTTTTCCTGAGAGATTTCAGATAAGGGAGACCTGAGAGGACTTGAGGACACTGGTGTTGGTAGAAGTTCAACCTTGGCCTAGTAGACAGTTTTGTTTGGTCACTGTCTGGGGCAAAAAAAAAAAAAAGGTAAGGACATATTTTAAATCTAGGTACAAAGCATTCTAATCTCAACTGAGACTATGGATACTTGAAGCACGTTTGAACAGATAATTGGCTTAATGAGACCAAAGAATTCAGTGGTTTCCTCTATGTGGTTTATTAATATTTATATTGGTCATTTTTTGTATACATTAACATTTATACAATATTTAATGTATAATAAATTGTAAAATGGATAAAATATTTAAGGTAAAATTCAAAGACTTTTAAATTCAAGACTTTTAGAGTCAGTGATAATCCAGCATGATTGGTCTTCTTATAAGAAAAAGAGATTGGGACACAGAGAGAGAGATGACCATGTAACAACATGGCAAGAAGGCAGCCATCTACAAGCCAAGAAGAGAGGCCTCAGAAGAAATCAAACCCGTCAACACCTTGATCTTCTTTTTCTAGGCACCAGAATTGTGAGAAAATAACTTTCTGTTAAAGCTACACTGTGTGTGGTATTTTATTATGGCAGCTTTAGCAAATGAATAGAGTGGTTATACAAGATATTTTCTATTCTTCCCTCTAAATCCAATCTCTACTCTTCTCCTGCACTGAAGACCAATGAACCCTGATCAGTAGCTTCTACCACCAATGGCTTCCCCATCCTCTGGCTTCAAGCTGGGTTCAGTGAAAGCAAGGCATCAGTAGAGACTCTGCCTACAGCCAAGAGAGTGAGATATGGGCATTATTTTCCTGGCTTTTCTGATCTAGATGTCTTCAGGTATCTGAATCCCCTTAAAAGCCCCAGCTCCTAAACAGCAGCCCTCAACAATAGTTTCAACTACTGGCTATGGGTTTCTGTAACCTCCCTCCCCTTGACCCTTCAAGTCTAATTCTGATAAGATTAATGTCTGTTGTTACCTCTCCTTGAGGTGCTTCTTTGTACCTTGACTGCATCTTTGCACATAACCCCTTTGGCAGTCCTCAGTTACCCCATTTGAACCTGCCGGCTGCTTCTGCCAGGACACTTAGGCAGCAGATTAGTGGATGTAAAGGAAACATTCTGCTCTTAGCAAGACCAAATCAAAAAGTCAACATTACCTGATTGGAATAAATACTTTATGATAGTACACTGTGTCTTTGTCCTATTCCTTTATATTAAATCTGATAATGCCTTAAATACATGGTACAATCAATGAGTAATTAGTGAGTAGCTATCTTACAATACCTTCTAAAGATGTTCATCTGTGAGAGTTGATGCTTTTAATCTCCTAAATGTAATTGCAGGTTGCTCTAAGGAATTAGAGAGGAAGAATTAACGTTAGCATTTCTTAATTCACATGGTATCAAAATGTTTTCTCACTCAACTTCACCACATTTATTTCTCTTTATCTTACAGAAAGCTTAAAGGCATTCACAAATCAAGAAACTAGGAAAGGTAAAAAATTTGGCTTACTATACCTACTGCATATTAAATATCATTCAATAACTCATTTATATTCAAAATAGTTACTTAAAATTAAAACTGTTAAAGTTATTACATCATGAATGGCATAAAATAATTATTTAACATACTCTAATATACCAATAGATTATTTATCAATTTTAATCTTTTGTGATTTCTTCATCAGATATCAAGATTTTTGAAGTTTTATGTTTTTCTCATGCAACTTTTCAAAATATTGTGCTAAATATTTTTTAAATTTATGATGATTGTATTTCTGCTGCCCACTAGACTTTAAGGGAAAGCATTGCTTTCAGATTTCTCAATATTAGATGAGTTATTACATAAAAAAAAGAAATGATGCATAAGAGGATTATCTGAAAATATTTTGTTTCATTAGTTTTAGCATACATACTCTTGCAAAAATTTTCATGAGAAACTTGCATTTATTTAATTATAACATTGTATAACATACTCAAACTTTGTTTATTAATTAACTGTTAACGGAAGAAGAAAGAGGAGGGAATATATATGTAAAATGATGAGGTAACATTATTTTAAAAGATTTAAATAAAATAAGTAAATTAACATGATCAATTAAAGTTTATGTCACATATGTTTAGTTTAACATTGAGCTATGCAATTAAAATTAATCTACAACCATTAACTGCTCTTTTATAGTATAGACACCCACATCCATTAAATATCCATAAATTTTACTGGGAAGCAGGAGAGTGAAGCTGTTAAATGTCAGGCTCTGCAGAGAGTCTGCATCAGGTTCAAATCCAAGTTCTGACACTTACAGGCTACGTGAACTTTGGCAACCCCCTCGTGTATCATGTTTCTCATCAGTAAAAAGAAGAGAATAGTACCAGCCAGGTAGATTTGTTTAAGGATTAAATTTAATGACATAATACCTGTGCTAGACACTATGTTCAGGATATTTTACTTAAAACTAGAGACACCATTATTCTCAGTACTCCAGCCAGGAGTTTCACTGAACTTCCTGTACAGCTTGCTGCCGTTCCCTGACAACCAAAAACAGTGTTTAATGTGTACTATGTATTATTTTTGCTGTTTCATTTTCCTAATCAGCATGTTGATACACATTTAATTGATAAAATTCAGACACTACACACCTTCTATATGTGTGTGTGTGTGTGTGTGTATACATACTCTATTCTTCACAATTCCACCCTTTCATTATCCTCAAAAGAAATCTATCAAAGGCACAAGCATATTGTTCTCTTTATTTTTTCTATACATCTACTGGCCTATATTTTGTTATTTTTCACACTAATAAGATCATACCGTGCATTTAGTTGTAAGCTGACTCTTAACTGCAACTCCCTGAGCTGAATTCCACTCAGTTTGACATCCATTTAAGCATATTTTCACATCCGGGAATTAGGTTTTATTTTAGAAACACTGAAAAATAATGCAAAACATTACTGGCATTTTCTTAAGAAATGGAGGTATCTGCAAAGCACCACTCCTCATTTCCAATGCTACCTCTTCTTCCTTCCTTCCTTTCTCTCCCTCCTACAGTTTCTGCAGGCCCCAGGGTTTAGCTAACCCCACGATATTCACAAGTCTCCCTGTTACCTAAAACTCTGTTATTTCCTTGGAGAAATTTAGCTTTCTTTTGACTAATGTCAAACAAAAGATTTCTTCTAGATTCTCCTCAAAATGTCTACAAAGAGCTAAACGAGGGTAGGAGAACTGTATTTTTGGGGGGTGGTTCATTGTATTACTTTCCAAGACACTTTTTGACTTAAAAGGATTTTTTGGGTATTGTATTAACCAAATATCAGCAAGAAAAAGATGGCATACTCAGAAGGTCTAACTGAGGCACCGGGGTCTTTCTTCTCCTGCTTTGGCTCACTGCCTGGCTCTGCGATCCACTGATGACCAAGCCTTTTCAGCTGTGCTGCTTCGTGCCACATTTGCTGAATTCCTCCAAGTCTCTGTTACAAGTTTAACTGACCTACGTAGGAAGTTTTGATTATAGGCATTCAGGGGCAGGCATATAGGATTAGACCCTCATTAAAGGTGCTCAGGGACATGTGTCTCATCCAAGACCTACTGTGTGTCTTAGACTAAATCATGTGTCTTGATTTCAGCATAAGCTGTGACTGACATTAGGCTCTGCTGAAAGACATTTTCTCTGTGATCAGTTGGTCTCACCTGTGTCACCAGACATTGGACCTTGTTTTATAGAGTGCTCTGTCCAATATAAGACACACCAGAGAGTTTGTGTGAAGGACGAAGAGTTACAATTTGAAGAGCATTCATTATTTGAAGATTTGACTTACTGAGCCCCACGAAATTCCTGCTGCTGCCTATGCCACTGTCTCCAGAAGACATCCTGATCCTCAGGATGAGGAAACACTGATGGAACCTCTGTAGCACAACCAAGGAGTTAAATATTGCCATGGGGAGTTACTTAATCCTGATGATACTGATTTGAGGCTCTCTGAAGGAAGAAATTTAAAAATAATATCAGGGCAAAAGGAACCCCTCAAAGTATACCTAATAACCAAAAATAGAAAACAAGAAAGCAAGCAAGAAGGAAAAGGAGAATGAAAAAGCAAGAAAAAAGAAAGAGAAAGGAGTGGAAGGATAAAAAAATTAGAAACCTGCATATAGGGAAAGGAGTAAATAAAAAAATAAAACAGATGTCTACATTCTCACTGAATTAGAAATCCAAAATTTACTGAACAAATGTAAACAACAAAGGACAAAAGGATGACGATTGGCTGATGATTGGCTTGTAAACATCTACAAAGCAGATTCTGAATTAACTTTAACATCTACTCAAATGCACCTGCTGACAAACCTTTATGACCATAATCATTACTGAAGTACAAATTACAGTCATACCTGAGATTCCACTAAAGTTAAAAAAATACCATCTATAATTTTAGAAGAGTAATTGAATATAAAGTAGAAGGCAAAAATATGTTACCTTAACAACTGGAACTATTTTCTTGCCTACATTTTCATGATCATAGCACCCATAGACCTAAAATATTGCACAGTGGATACAGGCAGTATGATTCATAAGTAGTAAATTAAAATTAAAGAAAGTCTTTGACACTAACAAATTGACTTGATACAATCAGACCCATAAACCTACTTCCTTGTTCCAGTTAAAATAGTTAATACAATTCAATGTAAATTAAAACAAAGTTTTTAAGAATTAAAATTCATCATACATGAACTATTTAGAAAATAGGTGCTTATCTGCACTGTTTCTCCATTTAACGCCCCTCTGTCCTTTTTTTTTTTTAGATGGACTTTCCTCTTGTTGCCCAGGCTGGAGTGCAATGGCACAATCTTGGCTCACTGCAACCTCTGCCTTCAAGGTTCAAGTGATTCTCTTGTCTCAGCCTCCCGAGTAGCTGGGATTACAGGCGCATGCCACCACATCTAGCTAATTTTTGTATTTTTAGTAGGGATGGGGTTTCATCATATTAGTCAGGCTGGTCTCGAACTCCTGACCTCAGGTAATCCGCATGCCTCGGCCTCCCAAAGTGCTGGGATTACAGGCGTGATCCACCCCGCCCAGCCTGTCCTGTTCTTTAAATTGAAAAGAATGAACAGTGGTCTCATTGTGGATTACTGCAATTTTAATTCTGTAGTCCCACCCATGAAAGTCCCCATACTCAATATTATTGAAATTTAAAATTACTAATTCCATCCAACCAGCAACTGGTGAATAATTTTTGCTATTGTGGATTTGGCTAATTTGTTCTGTTCAGTGACCATTTTAACAGCTTTTCAGGTGCAGCTTGCCTTCACCTCCGAAGGGACATTAACCTGGCTAATCATAGGGTACTTCAACAGTCTTGGCATCTCACATAGTCTTTGTAGGTGAAGACCTTATTGCACGTGACTTTCTTTAGAAGCATAGGGATGAAATTACATTAACGACATCATCTTCTGAGGACATCCATTTGACATACTCATTCAGGATATACAAATGCTCACAAACAGTGGGTGGGCCATTTTCCCACAAGTAGTACAAGAGCCTGCCACTTTAGCTAAATTTGTGAAAATTACTTGTTAAAATAAAGGACCACTCCATCTATGACACTCAAGAAATAGCTATTAATCACCTCAGCTCTAGAGCATTAAAACACACTTGACATCTATCAGGCCTTTTGGGGTTCTAGAGGCAACATATTCCTTATTTACGTATTTCAGTTAAGTCAGTTTGTGCTGGTGCTTGCAAATCAGCCCACATTGAATAGGAACACCTCCAAAAAAGGAATATATGATATTTCCAAATTGCAGTACAACAGGCAATCCCATTAGTGTCCCCAGAGATACCTTTACTTCAGGGATTTTAGCCACTTCCTTTCATTCCTCCTGGAGACTCTGTACCACTCATGATGGTCATAAATTTCCTCTGGACTTCTGAGGCATGAAACTATTCTCCTTTGCCCTGCATTAGACACTCTTAGAACATAAATTTCTGGAAAAATACTGGGCTTTCCTGAAAATACAGGCTTTCACAGACCCTGAGCAATGGCTGACCCTCTATATCTATTTGTTTGTTAGCCTTGGGTCATGGAACAAGTATCTCCTCAAGCTTAGCATGATGGAGCAAAACTTGGGTTCTCCAGCATACAACACATGTAGTAAGTGGTGCCTCCCCTGTGCTTAGCTCCCTGTCATATGCTGTGGTGCAAAAGAGGACTGTCAATTTTCTTAATCCTTTGATAATGTGAGGGGTCCTTTGGGTTAAATTTAGTGAACAGTGATTTAGTCTATTTTCTGTTGCTATAACAGAATTCCACAGACTGGGTAATTTATAAAAATAGATGTTTATTTACTTCACAGTTCAGGAAGCTGGGAGGTCAAATCCCAGAACTCTGGGAGGCCAAGGCAGGAGGATCACAAGGTCAGGAGTTCAAGACCAGCCTGACCAACATGGTGAAACCCCGTCTCTACTAAAAATACAAAAATTAGCTGGGCGTGGTGGCATGTACCTATAATCCCGGCTACTCAGGAGGCTAAGGGAGGAGAAACGCTTGAACCCGGGAGGTGCAGGTTGCAGTGAGCTGAAATCGCGCCACTGCACTCCAGCCTGGGCGACAGAGTGAGACTCTGTCTCAAAAAAAAAAAAAAAAAAAAAAAAGCATGACACAGGTATCTGGTGAGGGCCTTTCTGCTGCAACAGGACATGGCAGGTGGCATCTCATAGCAGGAGGGCAAAAGCATGCCAGCTCAGGTATCTCTTCCTCTTTCTTATAAAGCCACCATTCTCATCATGGGGGTCTGACCTTGATGATCTTAGCTAATCCTAATTACCTCCTAAAGACCCCACCTCCAAATGCCATCAACATATGAATTTGGAGATTAACTGCATGATACACAAAATTTGGGGAACATATTCAAACCACAGCATTTCACCTCTTAACTTGTGCCAGCACCCACTCAGAGTCCAAAGTTCAGAGTCTTATCTACATCAGATATGGGTGAGATTCAAGGCATGATTCTTCTCATGGCAAATATACTCCAGCTGTGAACCTGTAAACTGAAAACAAGTCATCTACTCCCAGAATGCAATGATGAGACAGACATAAGATAGACATTTCCATTCCAAAATAGACAACAAAGTAGTGACAGGCCCCAAGTAAATCCAAAACCCAACAGGAAAAACAACATTAAGTCTTAAACCTCCAGAATAATCTTCCTTGACTCCATGTTCTACAACACAGCCTTCAAATAGCCTAATCCTTCAGATTCTTCCAGCCTTTACCCATTACCCAGTTCCAAAGTTGCTTCCATATTTTCAGGTATTTATTATGGCAACAGCCTCATTTCTTGGTACCAATGTTCTTAGTCATTTTTTCTGTTGCTATAATAGCATACCTGAGGTAGGATATTTTGTAAAGAAAATACATTGATTTCTCACAGTTCTAGAGGCTGAGAGGTCCAAGGTTGAGAGGCCATATCTGGTGAGACTTTCTTGCTGTGTCATAACATGGTGGAAGACATCACATGGCAAGAAAAAGGAAGCATGTAAGCGTCCTATTTCTCTTCTTATAAGGCCTCAGTCTTATTGGATTAGGTCCCCACCCCTATGACCTCATTTAACCTTAATTACCTCATATAAACCTATCTTTAGATATAATCCCATTGGGGATTATATTTCCAATGCAAGAACTTTAAGGGGACACATTCAAACCATATCGAGGGGCAATGAGAGAGTTCATACACTGTATTGATGGCATCCCCACTGTGCTTACTGGATGGCTGCTCCTGTTTATTCTCCAATAAAGGACAGACATAGAGATGAGTACAATGAAACAAATATTAGGCTGTCATCATAGCACTGATGTCCTGGACAACAAGCTGCCCCATCTGCACGTTTTTACTTACTTTTGGGCCATTGCCAATGATCTCACTGCCTAGTCTGGCTAATGGCAGCAGTAACAATTCTTTGTCCAATTTGGGGTAAAAAAAACTCTAATAATTTTTTGCATCATAGATACTCAAATATAAATGAATGTTACATATATCTATATACATATTAAATTCATTATCCAGACCTTATCATGATACTACTCATCCTCCTTGGAGTTTCAGGCATTTCTGGTAGCAACTGAGGCCCTATTTTCACTTTCCAGAATACACAGTGCTGGGCTCTTGAGTGAAGCACTGAACAGAACTTTCACCTTTCTTACTGGACTCAGTCTACAGGCCATATAAGATTGCTTAGTTATAAAGTTAATACTCAACTAAACAAAACATGGTACATTTTAGTCATCAGTCAAAAATCATGGGTGAATGATAATAGTCTGATTCCAATTTTTGATGTCAGACTGTTGCTATCATTTAAGTCTCATCATTCCCTCTTCCTTTCTGCTGCTGAACATGTTGGCCAGTTAGTGAAAAATCCTAGGTGCTCCTTCTTTAAACACCTGTGGAAATTTATCATTGTGCAAGCCCCCACCTGAGTGAGAACTCTCACTGCATCCCCATTACCTAAATACCACTGTAAAACCAAGCCAGTATCTCTTCTCTGCTCTCTCAAGCCATGCTCAGACCAGTTTTGAGGTCTGTCCTGCTCTACCCAGAAAGCCTCATTATTCATATAATAAATGTTTTTATACCCTCCTGATGTGTGTGTAGTACCATCAGTATTGACATCCAAACCAAATTTAGGGTAGGGATATATCCTGCTTCTTTGGAGAGACTACAACAATCTTCTTGTTTCATTTTTATGAAGACAGTATGATATAGTAAAACAACATACACTTTAAAGTTAGACAAACATGGGTTTTTATTACTGACTCTACTACTTCTTAGCTAGGTAACCTTTGAGCAAGCTGTTTAATATGTTTCAGGCTGTTTATGAGACATAAACATTTCCAAGATCACAGAATGTAGAGCTGATTTCAGATGCACACTCATGTAAATAAGGGAGGACCAAAACAACATTTTCCAACTTAAATGATTTTTTTTTCATTCATTCTGGAACGTGCATGCAAACATGTTCAAATTCTCAATACCAGGTTAAGAAAGAGATTCCATAGAACTAATAATCTTATTTCATATGGCTATCAACCTTCAAAGAACTTTTCTCACTTTGGCCCTTATACTATTTTCTTCATTCTCCCTCCTTATTGTCATGACTAATTAACAGCTTCCATCCTTTCTTTTCAGTCCCCAAACCCAATATATACCTTTCTTAACTTTTCTAACACTAGTTTTTAAAGAGTGTTCAATTCTGTTGACCTATGTAGGTGGGCTATAGAACAACTTATAGAGGCTGAGTATAATTTGCACAAGTTAGCAAAGAAATCATTCTCTAGTGGTGGGAGAAAGAAGCTTTCTATTGATATGATCTGGAGAAATGTCAAATCACGTAAACATCTCTTCGGTAACATTCAAGAGGGAAGACAAACTTACTGGTTAAGAGGTAAGACTGCATTTCAACCTCTGTACCTCTATTTATTAGCTAAGACTTAGGGTCATTTATTTAATTCTTTTAAGCCTGGGTTTCCTCATCTATAAAATAGGGAATATATTGCAACAACTTAGGACTGATTTGATCATTAAATGAAACAAAGTGCTGTAAGTATTCAGCACAATATCTTATATAATAAGAGGAAAATAAATATAATGTTTCATTACTACTCAATGAATGAATAAGAACACCCCTTGAAGAGAAATTCCCTGTGTCCTCCTCTAGGTTTCCTCCTAGGATACTCCATCTGAATAATAAAATGACAGATTCTTCCATATACACACAGATTGCATCAGAAATACAGGATGAAAGTTATTTTCCTTCTCTTATTAGGTGAAGTACAGTCTTTCTATGCATAAGCAGTGTGTAGGAAAGATTTTATGCAATAGGAAAATAAAATATCTTGGAATATCCAAAATAGTAGTATTTAAGAAACATTACTATGACCATAACATGTAGTATGAGGATGGTAGCTTTAAAAACATGCCAACAAATGCATTGATATGCCTCCCTTTAAAAGACAAAGAAGGATTTCCCTCTCTTTGGGTGTGGAGTGGAGTTAGTGATTTGGTTCTATTGAATAGAATATAGCAGAAGTGATGGTATGTTACTACTGAAATTCGTTTATACAAACATTGTTGCTTCAGTCTTGGGTTCACTCACTCAGATTACTTGCTCTGGAGACATAAACTGCCAGGTGAAGTCAGGCAGCCTTTCAAGAGGCCCATGTGTGAAAAACTGAAGTGTCTTTCAAGTAGCCAGCAAGGAACTGAAACCTGAAAACCACCATTTGAATGAGGTTGGAAGGGAGTCCTTCAATAGTTCAGTCTTCAAATGAGACAACAGCCCTGACTGACAGTTTTACTACAACTTCATGAGACCATGAACCACAGGTATCTAAATTAGCTGCTCCCTGATTCCTGGTCCACAGAAACTGTGAAATAATAAATCCTTACATCTGTGTTGTTTTAATCTCCTAAGATTCACAGATGGTTTTTTGCATAGCATTAGATAACTAAAATAGATGGACTTGAGGTTGCTGTATTAATTTAAGTGTAATAAAGCAAGGAATTAGAACAAATAAAGTTAGTGAGAATGGATAGAGTATACCTTTAATGAGAGTTTAGAAATAATCAGCGTGCATTATAGTCATTATCAGAAAAGGTTATTAGTAAATAAATTAATTTTAGTATCTAATTAGATGAAGTAGAGGTATGAATGCTAAAGTTTTCAGCCTAGAAAAAAAAAGGCAATGATATAAATTGCTGACTCAATTTGAATTTAAAGAATCACAGCAGTTCTCACATTTGCATTGTGCCAAATATGTGGCTCTAATGATATGGGCAACGACCTCAATAATTTGCAATAACACAGCACAGAGCAAATTGCAACCATATATTTGTTAATAAATATACCTTATACGATAATACATTTTTGTGTGGGCTTATAGATAGGGGACATTTTAAAGGATTTGCTAATATAATCTTTTCTATATTTTTAATGACAAAAACTATAGATATTACATTACAAAGGTTTTGCAATGTGTGTAAGTTATAGAAAATATGAAGTTTAGTGGCTATAGTGTAAAAATTTAGGTTTTATCAGAACATGTATGGTAACCTGACACCATAAAACCATAAGATGAACCATAAAACTTCTAAAGGAGTAACTTCTAATGAGGGAAGAAATAATCAGTTCATAAATTTTGTGGTTCTGCAATTCAGTTTTGGTTGATGGAGCAGGCTAAAGTTTAAAACTGAGGGCTCATGACAACTGAAAAAATGAGAATTTGCAACTAGTGTTGGTTAAAGGATTAACTTTAACATATACAAACATAAAATGTACATATTCCAACATAGAGTCACCATATTTTCCTATACTGGATAGACCATAACCTATGAAACTTAATGTTTGTTCCCAGAGAGAGGCTATTATAAAATTTTCCCATATACCTATGGTTTCATTTTCTAAATAGAGATTTCAAGAACCTGTATGCTGGAGACCCTCCAGCTTTTAGGGGTCATAAGCCTTGTGCACAAAGAACTGAAGATTTTCATAAGGTAACCCTGCATTCTATGACAAATAATAAATGCACCAAAGAAAATATCCATTTATTTACACAGAGTTGTCTATTTTTCCTGCTTTATTGTGGTATAATTGGCAATTAAAAATTGTATATAAAGTGTACAACTTGGTTTGATATATACCTACATTGTAAAATAGTCACCACAATCAAGCTAATTAACATATCCAACACCACACCTTAGTGAGAACACATAAGCAAATTTGCAAATTTCTTAGCAAATTTGTTATATACAATAGAGTATTATTAACTATAGTCACAGTGTTGTACATTCGATCTCAAAACTTGTTCATCTTGAATACTGAAACTTTGTGCCCCTTGACCAGCATCTTCCCATATTCCCCTCTGCCTAACTCCTGGTGACCACCATTCTCTGCCTCTGTGAGTTTTGACTATTTAAATTCCACATGTAAGTGAGAGCGTCCAGTATTTGTCTTTCTGCAACAAGTTTATGCCACTTAGTATCATGTCCTCCAAACTCATCCAGGTTGTTCTAAATAGCAGGATTTCCCTTTTTTTAGAATGCTGAGTAATATTTAAGCATGTAAGTGTGTGTGTGTGTGTGTGTGTGCGCGCGCGTGTGTATGTAGTACTAGTCAGGGTTCGCTAGAAGGACAGAACTAATAAGATATATGTATATATGACAGGGAGTTTATTAAGGAGAATTGACTCACACAATCACAAGTTAAAGTCTCACGATAGGCTGTCAGCAAGCTGAGGAGCCAGGAAGCCAGTGGTGGATTAGTCTGAGTCCCCAGACCTCAAAAGTAGGGAAGCCGACAAATTCAGCTTTCAGTCTGTGGACAAAGGCATGAGAGCCCCTGGCAAACCACTGGTGTAAGTCCAAGAGTCTAGAAGCTGAAGAACTTGGAGTCTGATGTTCGAAGGCAAGAAGCATCCAGCACAGGAGAAAGATGGAGGCGGGAAGACTCAGCAAGTCTGCTCTTCTATCTTCTCCTGTCTGCTTAATTCTAGTTGCACTGGCAGCTGATTAGATGGTGCTCACCCAGATTGAGGGTGGGTCTGCCTCTCCCAGTCCACTGACTCAAATGTTAATCTCCTTTGCCAATACCCTCACAGACACACCCAGGAACAATAATTTGCATCCTTCAATCCAATCAAATGCACACTCAATATTAACCATCATATTATATATATACACATGCTTATATATGTAATTATATATGTATAATTTTCTTTATACCTTCATCCATTAACAGATATGCAGGTTATTTCTACATATTAGCTATTGTGAGTAATGCTGAAGTTAACACAGGAGTGCATACATATCTTCAAGATAATTACTCCATTCCCATTGGATATATACCCAGAAGTGATATTGCTAGACCACAATAGTTTTATTTTTAATTTTTTGAGGTATCTCTATACTATTTTTGTGGAGGCTGTAACAATTTACATTTCTACCAACAGTGTATAAGGATTTCATTCTCTCTAAATCTTCAGCATAATTTCTTATCTTTTATCATTTTTGATAATAGCCATTCTAACAAGTGTGAGTTTTTATACATGGGAACCCTTATACACTGTTGGTAGGAATGTAAATTGTTTTAGCCTTTACAAAAAATAGTATGAAGGTTCCTCAAAAAATTAAAAATAAAACTATTGTGGTTTTAATTTGCATTTTCCTAATAGCGAAGCTAAGAACCTTTTCATATATCTATTGGCCATTTTTTATTTCTTCTTTTAAGAAATGTTTACCTGGTTTTTTTTTTGTTTTTTTTTTTTTTGGGGGCGGGGAGAAACAGGGTCTCACTCCATCACCCAGGCTGGAGCATGGCTCACTGCAGCCTTGATCTCCCAAGCACAAGTGATCCTCCTACCTCAGCCTCCCCAGTAGCTGGGACTACAGGCATGTACCACCATGCCCAGCTAATTTTTAAAATTTTTTGTAGAGATGGAGTTTTGCCATATTGCCCAGGCTGGTCTTGAAATCCTTGGTTCAAGTGATCCACCTGCCTTGGGCTCCCAAAGTGCTGGGATTAGGGGAGTGAACCACCCTTTTAGCAATTGATTTGCATGAGACCCTTATATATTTTGGATATTAAATCCCTATCAGATATATAGTTTGCAAATATTTTCTCCCATTCTGCAGGTTATATTTCTACTCTGCTGATTGCTTCTGTTGCTGTGAAGAAGCTCTCTAGTTTACCATAGTCTCATCTATTTTTGCTTTAATTGCCTATGCTCTTGGTATCGTATCTGAAAATCATTGCCCAGACCAAGTAAAAAATGTTTTAGCTATGTTTTCTTCTAATAGTTTTATGATTTCAGGTCTTATGTTTGTTTGTGATCCATTTTGAGATGACTTTTGTATATGGTGTGAGTTAAAGTTTCAGTTTCACTCTTCTGCCTGTTGATATCCAGTTTTGGCAACACCATTAAAGAGACTGTTGTGTCCCTATTATGTGTTTTTGGCATCCTTCCCAAAGATCAGTTGACTGTAGATGTATGAATTTATTTCTGAGCTCTCTATTCTTTTCCATTGGTCTACATTTCTCTTTTTATGCCAGTACTATACTTTCCTAATTATTGTAGCTTTGTTATATATTTTGAAATCAGGAAATGCAATGCCCCCAAGTTTGTTCTTCTTTCTCAGAAATGCTTTGGCTATTTGGGAATTTTGGGGGTTCCATATGAATTTGGGGGTTATTTTTTTCTATTTCTGGGAAAATGCCATTGAGGTTTTGATAGAAATTGCATTGAGTCTGTAGCTCGCATTAGATAGTATGGACATTTTAAGAATATTAATTCTTCAAATCCATGAACACAGGATACAGAATATATTTCTATTTATCTATGTTTTCTTTAATTTTCTTCATCAGTGTTTTACAATTTTCAGTGTACAAGTCTTCCACCTTCCTAATTATTTCTAAGTATTTTATTCTTTTTGTTGCCATTGTAAATGGGATTGTTTTATTAATTTTAGGTAAAAATATTTCATTGTGACAGAAATGACTAACTTTTATATGTTAATTTTGTATACTGAAAACTTATGGATTCATTTATTAGTTCTAAGAGTTTTTCCATTGAGTCTTTAGGTTTTTCTATGTACTTCATTATATTATCTACAAACAGAGATAATTGTACTTCTTTTCTAATTTTGATATCTTTTTTTTTCCTGTCTAATTGCTCTGGCTAGAATTTTCAGTACTATGCTGAAAAGAAATGGACAGAGTAGGCATCCTTGCCTAGCACTGAATCTTAGAGGCAAAGCTTTTAGGTTTTCCCCATTAATTAGCCATAGCCTTCTCATATTGAATAATCAAAAACCTCCCAACAAAGAAAAGCCCAGGACCAGATGGTTTCACTGGTGAATTCTACTAAACATTCAAAGAAGAATTAATACTATCTCTTCATATACTCTTCCAAAAATTAAAAGTGGAGAAAATGTTTTCAAACTCATTTTATGGGGCTGGCAGCACCTTGATACCAAAACCAGAAAAAGACATCACACAGAAACAAAAACAAAAGCAATATCTGATAGAAAACTTGTATAAGGTACTGGAAAGGCTTACCTAAGACTTCAAAAATTATAAAACATACTACTATGTTATTTATTTTTGAGCTTATATTTCCCAAAAAGAAATATAATTAAATTTCTCCAATGACAAACATAGTTTTACTCACCTTTTTGGACAGCCACGTACACTTTTGGTTCTGTGGTGGGTGGAAATTCTAAATCATATGTTAAGGGGAGAAAAATGTCAAAATATATAAGAAATTGTGGCAGCTACTGAACAACAATAAATCAGTTTTAGTCCTTGGAGTATGTGGCAAAAAATAAAGAATCTCTGGAAAGTTGATGGATTTAGCTTTCTCTTCTTCAGAGCAGATAAATACCTATGTTATCTTAAACATGATCTTACGATCTTAAGATACTATGAAATGCAATGTTATCATTTGTAAAATAAAGATATTAAGAATATTCACCTCAAAAAAGTATTTAGAATATTAAGAGTGATGGTATATTTTAAGCACACATCATAGAATCTGGCAGTCACCATAGTACTGGCAATATTCATATATGTAATGTTATCTATTTTATTATTATCACCATTATTAGTAGTATAATTTGTTAAGCAGAAGACTTTAGACAAATTACATTTAGGAGCTCATTTGAGCAAAGAATAATTCATGAATTGGGCAACATTCAGAATCAGGAGCAGTTCAGAGAGCTCCAGGCAGCAGTGTCAGCACTGAGCTTGTATAGGGAAGACACAGAAGCAAAGTAGAGAAGTCATCTGATTGGACTTTATTAATTTTACTTATATTATATAGTAGTTGCAGCAGTAATAATAATAGTTGGAGTATTAGTAGTGGAGGTGAGTTCATATTTTATATGCACAAAACATGGTGTTAGCCTTTTTTGGACATGGTGTAACGAGGCATTTTTGTTATTTGGGCATGGTATGATGAGTTGGCTACTTGTAATTGGCTGAAACGTGGCTGTTTGTTTTACTCCTAAGTTTGATTTCAGTTTATTTACATGCTAAGTTAAGTTGCAGTTTATCATGTAGGAACTCAGAATACAAAGGAAGCCTCAGGTAAAATTTAAGTTAATTTAACCAATCAGTACTCTCATGGTCATCAATACTACAAAATAGGTATTATTGTTTATTTTGAATTCATAAAGAAGCTGAGGTGTTCAAAGTTTAAACAATTTGCTTATATTCCCACAGCTAGGCAGTGGCAGAATTGTGACATAAATTTTCAGCTTTCCTGACACACAACTCATGCTCTTTCAATACACCGTAATACTTCTATCTCTCTTTTCAGAGGCAGAGTAGAAGCCATCAATTGCTCAGTATTGCACAGCTTACCTGTGTTGAGAATGAGGTTGTCAAAATAGATATAAATTGCTGAGATAGTTATCATATTAAGTAGATAGATTTTAAACTACCATGAAGAGTGACCATAAAATTAAGGTAGGATTATGTATAGTATCTATCTATCTGCCTATCTATCTATATATTACATGTGGATATGTTATTATATCCACATGTAATATATAGATAGGCAGATAGATAGGCAGATAGGTATATATAGGCAGATATATATATAGATAGATGGATATATATAGATATATATATATAGATAGATATATAGGCAGATAGACAGATATATATAGGCAGATAGATAATATATAGATAGATAGGCAGATAGATATATTTAGCTCTGAGGATTTGGTCAAAAAATAAAATTTAAGTAGAATAACAAGAGATTTGGCCTTGCACTACTTAAAGCCTTTTAAAACCTAATAATAATGAAGCCATGATATGCTCAATGAAAGTTAAACAAGAAGATGAGAATAGATGAGAGAATGGGTAGTAAAAAGATGAATATATGTATTTAACTTTGATGAAGATGAGTATATAAAAGAGTGCTGATATGGTTTGGCTGTGCCCCACCCAAATCTCTTCTTGAATTCCCATGTGTTGTGGGAGGGACCTGCTGGGAGGTAACTGAATCATGAGGGCCAAGTCTTTCCCATGCTGTTCTCATGATAGTGAATAAGTCTCATGAGATCTGATGGTTTTAAAAAGAGGAATTCCCCTGCACAAGCTTGATCATTTCTTGCCTGCTTCCATCCATGTAAGATGTGACTTGCTCCTCCTTGCCTTCTGCCATGATTGTGAGTCTTCCCAAGCCACAGGGAACTATAAGTCCAGTTAAACCTCTTTCTTTTGTAAATTGTTCAGTCTCAGATATGTCTTTATCAGCAGCATTAAAACAAACTAATACAGTAAATTGATACTGGGAGTGGGGCACAGCCATAGATACCCAAAAATGTGGAAGGTAATGGGCAGGGGTTGGAACAGTTTGGAGGGCTCAGAAGAAGACAGGAAAATGTGGGAAAGTTTGCAACTCCTTGGAGACTTGTTGAATGGCTATGCCCAAAATGCTGATAGTGATATGGACAATATAATCCAGGCTGCGGTGGTCTCAGATGGAGATGAGGAACATGTTGGGAACTACAGCAAGGGTGACTCTTGTTAAGATTTAGCAAGAAGACTGGCAGCATTTTCCCCTGGCCTAGAGATTTGTGGAACTTTGAACTTGAGAGAGATAATTTAGAAAAACTGGTGGAAGAAATTTATAAGCAGCAAAGCATTCAAGTTGTGACTTGGGTGCTATTAAAAGCGTTCCGTTTTAAAAGGGAAACAGAACCTAAAAGTTTTAAAAAATTGCAGGCTGACAATGTGATAGAAAAGAAAAGCCTGTTTTCTGAGGAGAAATTCAATTTGGCTGCAGAAATTTGCATAAGTAACGAAGAGCTAAATGCTAATCCCTAAGACAATGGTGAAAATATCTCCAGGGCATGTCAGAGGTCTTCATGGCAGTGCCCCCATCACAGGCCAGGAGGTCTAGGAGGAAAAAGTAGTTTTGTGGGCTGGGCCTAGGGTCCCTGAGCAGCTTAGGGACTTGGTGCCCTGCATCCCAGCCACTCTAGCCATGGCTGAAAAATGCCAATATAGAGCTCAGGCTGTGGCTTCAGATGGTGCAAGCCCCAAGCCTTGGCAGCTTCCACATGGTATTGAGCCTGTGGGTGCACAGAGGTCAAGAATTAAGATTTGGGGAACTCCACCTTGATTTCAGAAGTTACATGCAAACATCTGGATACCCAGGCAGAAATTTGCTACAGGGCCGGGACTGTCATGGAGAACCTCTGCTAGGGCAGTGCAGAAGGGAAATGTGGGTCAGAGCCCCCACACAGAATCACTACTGGGGCACTGCCTAGTGGAGTTGTGAGAAGACGGCCACAGTCCTCCAGACCCCAGAATGGTAGATCCAGCCACAGCTTGCACCGTGCATCTGGAAAAGCCACAGACATTCAACATCAGCCGGTGAAAGCAGCCAGGTGGGAGGCTGTAGCCTGCAAAGTCACAGGGGTGGAGCTGCCCAAGACCATGGGAACCCACCTCTTACATCAGCATGACCCGATGTGAGACATGCAGTCAAAGGAGATCATTTAGGAGCTTTAAGATTTGACTGCCCTGCTGGATTTTGGGTGTGCATAGGACCTGTAGCCCCTTTGCTTTGGTCAGTATCTCCCATTTGGAATGGTTGTATTTACCCAATGTCTGTACCCCCATTGTATCTAAGAAATAACTAGCTTGCTTTTGATCTTACAGGCTCATAGATGGAAGGGACTTGCCTTGTCTCAGATGAGACTTCGGACTGTGGACTTCTGACTTAATGGTGAAATGAGTTAAGACTTCGGGAGACTGTTGGGAAGGCATGATTGGTTTTGAAATGTGGGGACATGAGATTTGGGAGGGGCAACAGGCAAAATGATATGGTTTGGCTGTGTCCGCACCCAAATCTCATCTTGAATTCTCACATGTTGTGGGAGAAACCTGATGGGAGGTAATTGAATCATGGGGGCAGGTCTTTCCCATGCTGTTCTCGTGATAGTGAATAAGCCTCATGAGATCTGATGGTTTTAAAAAGAGGCATTCCCCGGCACAAGGTCTCTCATTTTTTGCCTGCCACCATCCATGTAAGATGAATGACTTGCTCCTCCTTTCTTTCCCCCATGATTGTGAGGCTTCCCCAGCTACATGGAACTGTAAGTCCAGCTAAACCTCTTTCTTTTGTAATTTGCTCAGTCTCAAGTATGTCTTTATCAGCAGCCTGAAAGTGGACTAAATACAAGTTCCATTAGGAGAATGAAAAGTATTAGAATTTGAGGCTTGATTCATACTGCTTGTAGTATGTTTCTAAATACTGCAAACAAAATTTGCTCATTTGTAAAATAGTAAAGATAAACTTCCAATTGGATTATTAGATTCATTGAAGTAACACAAGTAATTCACCAAACATCATGTTTTGTACATACAAAATACGAACTAACCACTACTACTATTACTCCAACTATTGTTACTACTACTGCAACTATAACATAATGTAAGGAAAATTAATCATTTGTGATAGAAAATTAAACATAACAAAATCAGTTAGAGGTTGATTAAAGAGTTTAATGTAAATAAAATGGAACTAGAAGATATAAGTGTGTTGTAATCTATAAAGCAATAAGAAAAGTGACCAAAAAGTCAATTGATTTCCAGGTATAAAATACAAAGCATTTTCATATTGAGAATCATCAAAAGCTAAATGAAAAAAAAAATTTGAATCTCCAAAATTTATTTGCAACAGTAAAATAAATTATGAATATCCTTAATATGGAGAGACTTTTCAACCAACAAGTAAAACACTAAAACTTCCATGTGAAAAAAGCAATATTCCATAAACATAAAATGTATAGAAACATTAAAAATAGTTGTTGAATACATAAAAATGTTTAACCTTATTAATAAATTAAAGCAGTCAGATTAGCACAATAAGAATTTATTTTCATTTTATCAATTAGAATCTATTGTCAAATGATGTTATACTTAGTGTACAGTAGGTCAGGTTGTTCAATACCTAAAGAATGGGAGTATAAATTTGGCAATATGTATCAATAAATGTAAAAAAGTTAGTAATTTAACTTCTAGCTATCTTAATTTAATAACTAGCAATTCAGATAAATGTCTGTTTCTAAAGTGTTGATCTCAGTATTTTCTATATCAAAAATGAGAAACAAGTCAAATATCCCTGAATATAACATTAATCTAATACATCATATCATTTTATGTAAATTTATATTATTACATTTGTCCATTACAAAATACAACTACTCATAAGCATGAAAAATTGTAAGTGAAAAAAATGATTACAATACAAAATTGCAAGAAAGAATCATAAGGCCAAAGGTGGTATTAACACCTATTTTTCCACTTATGACAGGACCCATTTCCCCCAGCTCAGCTTCCACTCACAACTTTGTGATTCAATGGCACTCTGCAGAAGTAGCTGGTGATGCAAATGCCAAAGATCACAGGCGCTGGCCTTGGGGAGGGCCACGCAGAGGAACTCTGCAGAATACCTGTAGGGCAGAGTTGAGGCCTGCCAGTGCCCAGTCAGCACACTTCCCACTCCAGTCTCAGTCAGCCTTGCCTCCACAAACTCTTCTCTGGCTCTCAGCAGTCTAGACTTAGTCTGTGTCTTCAGCTTTAGCGGCTTATTTTTGCCTTCACTAGGAGCTGAGCCTCACTGCTTACAGCAGGCACCGGGCATCTCATGAGACCACTCCAGCCCACCACCTCTTTCATCAGTAGTCAATGTGGAATTACAGATGATTTTTATTTCCTTACATTATACTTATATAGTATACTCTTTATAATGATCACAAAACTGTGTCTATAATTAGATTATAATTAAACAATATGTTGGCTTAAGTCCATAGAAACTATTCTGTCGATGCTGGAGTGTTGTATGGACTCTCTACATTAAAGGTACATTAAAAAATTGATGTAAAAATAAATGAAAAAAAATTGATGTGGAGGATTTCTTAATGTCCAAGCCTGACCCCTAAATGAATAACACTGTCCAGCCCTAGTGGAATGAGTGGTCAAAAGGCAAGGACAGGTATTTATGTCCTCATTTGTTTCCAGTGAGAGCCAATTCATCTCCAGCTTGAATGAAGTGAGAACACTGATTTTCTTACAAAGGTTAAAATGAAAGAAAATCTTTGACTACTTTTTTTGTTTCTATAAACCAACATAATGAATTGTTTGATTCTAATATGCTGCATAGCAATTACACACAGTGACAAATTGTTTCTTGAGATTGGTTCCAGGTGCTGCACCTGATGAATAATAGAGGAACGCAGAGAAAAATGAACAGTTTTCATTTTTCATAAGGTTTATGTGAACTAAATGATTAGAACATCTTAAATCCAATGCACTGTGCTCGCTCTTACTAGCACACACTCTCTCTCACTCTCTCTTTCTTTTTCTCTCTCACACACACATATACACACACAGAGAGTACAATTAAGGCAGCGTAGTCATGACACATTTTCCCTTTTCCAAGAAGACATGTGTATTCAGTAAAAACAAAAAGAAGCAATTTTAAAGATGTCATTTTTTAAAAAGGTAATAGTAAATGACACATTCTTTTTCAGCAAAGAAAATAATTGCGTTAGTGGGAGAAAAATGAAGGGCTCCAAAGATTTATAGTAATTGAAAACAAAAAAGGCAAACTGTGACCTGAAGAAACTGCTACATCAGCAACAATAAAACTCTTCATAGATAATATGACAGCTACATGATATTTTTATATATGCATACATACACACAGACACTATATATACACATACATACATATACATGTGTGTCTGTCTATATACATATATTTCTTTGATATGTATATATACACACACATATAAATGATATATATGTATGCATATATGTATGAGTATGTACATATGTATATACATGTCTTCCTTCATCAGGGTTAATAAATAGCAACCTGATAGAGAACTATATGAAATGCATCATTTTATAATCCCTAGGGGGGATATTAGTATGATATAGGAGCTATCTCTCCTTATGTATATGGAGAATTAATAAAGATAGATAATATTTTATCTCATTTTACCGCATCATTCACCCTTCATCACAAGAAGAAATTATCACATTACTGTTTGCAAACTAGTTGAAAACTCACATTGGTAAAGTTTAAGGAGTAAGCCAATATTAAGCTGTTAATTTTATGTAAAACATATTGTTTATCCTGTGAAATGTAATGAAAAGTTAGAAGAGAGAGAAAGGAAAAGGAAGTTTTCTTGTGTCTCCATGACTCTTCATTTATTCATTCTTATATTCAGCAAGTACTCATGGAGCTCCTGCTACATACTTGGTACTCTTCTAGGCCCTGTGGTACATGCATAGGAAACAAAGCATCCAGAAATAGCTATGTTCCTCCACTCTGCTTCCTCTGCACAAGTGTACAAAACTCATATGAAATTAACTCAGGTATATGGACATGGGATTTCATTGTTTTAAAAAATTTTATTTTCATTTAATTTATAATCTAAATCTTTTTACTACTCCACATCACTTAGCCACCTAGTGTCAGGATACCAAATATGGATCATATTAAGCACAATGAAAACTTTATTTTGGAGGGCAGTGAAGGAGATAATGAAGTTGTTTTAGCCTTCATAGATGTCCAAAAAATTTGTTTTGAATATAAAAGATTCAGTAATATGGCATTCAATGAAGTTTAAAAATATGTTCATGTTTACTTTTTTTAAATGATAATTCTTCCCAAGTAAAGGAACTGACAAGTGATTTTAAAAAAATCCTTAAAAGTTCTTGATATGGTTTAGATTTGGGTCCCCACCCAAATATCATGTTGAACTGGAAGAAGGTCCTGGTGGGAGGTGATTGGATCATGGGGGCAGGTTTCCCCCTTGCTGTTCTCATGATGTTGAGTGAGTTTTCGTGAGATCTGATGGTTTAAAAGTGTGTGGCACTTCCCCCCTTGCTCTTTCCTTCTCCTGCTGCCGTGTAAAGAAGGTGTTTGCTTCCCCTTTGCCTTCTGCCATGACTGTAAGTTTCCCAGTCATGGCTTCCCAGTCATGCTTCCTTTTAAACCTGTGAAACTGTGAGTCAATTGAACCTCTTCCCTTCTTAAATTACCCAGTCTCAGGTAGTTCTTTGTAGTAGTGTAAGAATGGACTAATACAGTCATTAAAGAAATAGTTACTCTAGAATATATGTGCTTCAGACATTTAGAACTAAAGTAGGAAAATCTTGTCCATTGGCAAATATTTGGTGCCATTGGGAATGCTTTTGTTGTTTTACTGAAAACTTACATTATTTTAGTAAATTATTTGGACCATGGCTCAAGACAACCAAGCCTCTTTTGTTTAGTTTTATATTCATTTACAAATATATATATATTTTTTATTCTTCTATCTCAGCTATCTTTTAGATTCTTGAAAAGTAGAGCAAAAAGAGCAGTAAAATAAAATTCCTGCCTTTTACTTGGGAAAGACAAATAATAAACAGAATAGCAAGTATTATTTCAAACAAGAGTAAATAATATTGAAATAGTTAGATAATACCGTGACAGGGACATTTGAGCAGAGATCTGAAGGATTTGGGGTCTGTCTGAAAAAGACCATTATGAGAAGAGGGAGAGCAAATGCAAAGTCATGAGTCTAGAGGGTCCTTGATTTGTTTCAGATACAGTGGAGAGGCCCACATGGCTGGAGCAGAAAGAACAAAGGTGAAATTGTGGGAGATGAGGTCAAAGTGACAGATATTAAAGGTGAGGTTCAAATCATATGTAGCTTTTGGTCATTAGAAGACTTTTGACTTTTATGCTGAGTAAAATGGGGACTCACCAGAGTGTTTCAGATGGAGGGACATGATCAGACTGTTTTAGAAGAGTCACTTGGAGTTCTGTGCTGAAAATACACTGTGTCTACAGATAGAGGATATTAATCTGCAATTCATAGGCTTAGAGATGACATTTAAAGCTGTGAAGTAGATTTAATCCTATTATGTCTAGTTATAATGTAGAAAGTCTCAAGTAACTGTTGTTTTTAGGCTAACAACAAAGCACACTGGAACTACATAGTGATTTTTCCCCTTTATCAATCAAAGAGCTAAAAATGCATAGAAATCATAACTTTTTTAGTCTGACTTAATCATAGAGATGAAAATGCATGGAAATCTAACAAAACTATATTTCAAAAAGGTGCGAGCATTTCTTGGGAGAGAAGAGACAGACACACAGCTACTTTCATCCATGTTGAAGCATTATGAAGAGAGAGAACCCAAAATAGAAGTTAGTGATTAAATATTGGCCACTTTTTCTCCAAGATTAGTAGCCATTGCAAAGATGTTTACCCTCAATACATTTACTCAACATTGTACCAAAATTGCTAGGCAGTATGATGTAAGTAAAAGAAATACTACAAAGGAAGACTGGAAAAAGTAAAACCTTTTTTATTTTCATACATAATTATGTAGAAAACTATGAAATATATAAAAAAATTCAAATTAATACATGCATTGGGAAGGTTGCAAGATAAAAATGTCAATATAAAAATCAATTGTATTTTTATATACTGGTTACAAAATATGGAGAAAAACAAAAAAAGATACAATTTAAATTAATATCTAAAAATATAAAATGCCAAGAAGTAAATCTAAATAAAAATGTAGTGTAGGAAGACTACTACAGTGAAAATTACAAAATGTAGTTGAGAGAAATTTAAGAAGACCTAACAAATGGAAAAATATGTTCATGAATAGGCAAACTTGCTTTTTCCCAAATTGATTTTTAAATCCAGCACAGTCTCAGTATAAATCCAGTTAACTTTTTTCTTTTAAATTTTTATTTATTTATTTATTTATTTATTATACTTTCAGTTCTGGGGTATGTGTGCGCAACGTGCAGGTTTGTTACATAGGTATACATGGGCCATGTTGGTTTGCTGCACCCATCAACTCATCATTTACACTAGCTATTTGTCCTAATGCTATCCCTCCCCGAGCCCCTCACCCCGTGACAGGCCTCTGTGTGTGTTGTTCCTCTCCCTGTGTCCATGTGTTCTCATTGTTCAACTCCCACTTTTGAGTGAGAACATGTGGTATTTGGTGTTCTCTTCTTGTGCCAGTTAGATTTTTTGGGAAGAATTTGATGGGAGAATTCTAAAATATATATAGAAAATCAAAGGGACTTGAGATAGAAAAAAGTCTCGAAAAAAAGAAAAAGTTGTAGAACTTAGACCACCAAATTTCAAATTTTGTTCTAAAGTTGCAGTAAGCAGTTTACAGACAGATCAGTAGAATACAAAGAATAGAAAGTCCAGTAATAGAAGCACACATATATGATTTATAGATTACTAAGCAAGTTACCAACTCAATTAACAGGGAAACATGTCTTTTTAAATTGTGGTAAGCTATACAGAATATAAAATTGACTCTTTTAACCATTTTTTTTTTCTTTTTGAGACAGGTTCTCACTCTGTCACCCAGGCTGGAGTGCCGTGGCAAGATTTCGGCCCACTGCATCTTCAACCTCCAAGGCTCAGGTGATCTTCCCACCTTAGCTCCCCCAGTAGCTGGGACCACAGGCACATGACACCACACATGGCTAATTTTATTTGTAGAGACAGGGTCTCACTATGTTGCCCAGGCTGATCTCAAACTCCAGGGCTCAAGCTATCCACCCACTTCGGTCTCCCAAAGTGCTGGGATTACTGGCATGAGCCGCTGCAGCTTCACTATTTTAACGATTTCTAAGCATAAAATTTAGTGGCATAGATAGTCACTATCTACTTCCATAACTTTTTTATTATTCCAAACTGAAACTTTTTCCCCATACAAAACAAATGCTCTTTAACCCTTTCCCCCCATTTATTCCGTAGTAACCACTACTCTACTTTCTGTTTCTCTGGATTTAACATTTGACTTTTCTGGGTATTTTGTGTAAGTGGGATTATACAATATTTGTCCTCTGTGTCTGGGTAATTTCACTTACAATAATTATTTTAAGTTCCATTGATGTAGCATTTATCAGATTTTCATTCCTTTTTAAGGCTGAGTAATATTCTATTGTATGTATGTACCATGTTTTGTATATTCATTCATCTATCAGTGGACACTTGGGTTGGTTCTACCTTTTGGTTATTGTGGATAATTTTGCAATAAATACGGGTGCACAGATACCCATTGGAGACCCTGCTTTCAATTATTTCAGGTATATACACAGAAATGAAACTGCTGGGCTATGTGGGAACTCTATGTTTAATTTTTTAAGGAAACATCATATTGTTTTTTACAGAGACTTTACCATTTGACACTGCCACCAGCATTATACAAGGGTTGCAATTTCTCCATATCCAATGACAACTGTTGTTATTTTTTATTATTTTCGTTTATTAATAGCCATCATAATGTGTTAGGATGGGCCTCCATAACAAAATACCACAGACTGCATGTTTTAAACAATAGAAACTTATTTTCTCACAGTTCTGGAAGCTGGGTAATTCAGTTTCAGGTAAGGTCTCTCCTTGGCTTGTAGAAAACCAGCTTCTCACTGCGTTCTCTCACATTGTTTAGAGAGCAGAAGAAGGCAATCTCTCTCTTCCTCCTCTTACAAAGTCAAAGTCCAGGTGAATTAAGGTCCCACTTTTATGCCCTCACTTACCCTTAGTCACTTCCTAAAGATTATCTCTCCAGATACGGTCACATTGGGGGTTAAGGCTTCAAAGTATAAATTTTGTGGGGACACAATTCAGTCTATGACAGATGTAAAGTGGTATTACATTCTAGTTTTGATTTGCATTCCTCTAATAGGTAATGTTGAACACTTTTTCATGTAGTTATTGCCATTCTATATCTTCTTCAGAGAAATGTCTGTTCAAGTCCTTTGCCAATGTTTCAACTGAGATGGTTGTAATTATTGTTGAGTTTCAGAAGTTCATTATATATTCTGGATATTAGTCCCTTATCAGATATATGATTTCTAAATATTTCTCTGTATTGACAGTATCCTTTGACATATATATATATTTTAAATCTATATAAAATTCAATTTATCTATTTTTTCTTTTATTGTTCACATTTAGAGTGTCATATCCAATAAATCATTGCCAAATTTTATGTCATGAAGATTTTCCCTTGCATTCTCTTCTAAGTGTGATCATTTTAGCTCTTACATTTAGGCCTTGGACCCATTTTGAGTTAATTTTTGTGTATATTTTAAGTAAGGTTCCAATTTTATTCTTTTGCATGTAGATATTCAACTTTCTCAAAACTTCATTGAAAAGACATCCTTTCCCCACTAAGTGGGGAAACTCCCCAATATAGGGTCAAGTGATTTATTTTATTTTTTTTGGTTAGGTTAATTCCTAACTTTGGTATTATTTTTCATGATACCAAATCAAAGACTTTTATAACGAGGACTGTAAAACATTGCTAAAAAAACTTAAAGAAAACATATATAACTGTGAACATTTCCCATATTCATAGTTACTCTGTATTTTTGCATGTTGACTTTATATCCTGCTACTTTACTCAATTTATCAGTTCTATTAATTTTCTTTTGTGGAATCTTTAGGGTACTCTACATATAAGATCATGTCATCTATAAACAGAGATCAATTTACGTTTTTCTTTCTAGCTTGGTTGCCTTTTATTTGATTTTCTTGCCTAATTGCTCTGGCTAGGATATCATTAATGTGTTGAACAAATATGGTGTAAACAGGCATCATTGTCTTGCTCATGATGTTAGGGAAAAGCTTTATCTTTCATCATTGAGTATGATGTTAACCGTGGGTTTTTCCTATAGGACTTACATTATGTTGATGTAGCTTCCCTCAATTCCTAGTTTTTTAGTGCTTTTGTCATGAAAGAATATTGAATTTTGCCAAATGCTCTTTCTGCACCATTTGGGATGATCATGGTTTCTCTCCTTACTTCTGTTAATTCAGTGTATTATGTTGATTGATTTTTATATATCACGTTTCAGGAATAAATTCCACTTGATCATGATATATAATTATTTTTCTATGCTGCTAAATTTAATTTGCTAGTACTTTGTAAAAGACTTATGCGCCAATTTTCATGATAAATTTTAATCTGTAGTTTTCTTTTTTTGTAATGTTTTTGTTTATTGAAACATGTCTTTTTAACACATGAAAACACAAACCTTTTCATCTCACTTTATACAAAAATTTAATTTATATAGACTATAGACCTGAATGTAAAAACTTGCAAATAACTTCTCAGAAAATAAAATAATAATATTTAAATGATTTTGGATAGCCAAGCATAACTTATGCAGGACACAAAAAGAACTAACTATAAGAAGGAGGAACTTAAATTCTAAAATTTAAATATATATATATTCTGGCTAGCAAAATGACTATTAATAAAATTAAAAGGCAAGCCAATGTTTGAGAAATCTGTTCAAAATATATATAGTAGAAAAAGCACCTGTACCCAAATCATGTGAGGACCTTTTGGAAGTCAACAATAAAAAGGCAACAACTCAATAAAACATGAACAAATATCTTCAATGGAACCTCTCTCTAAAAAGAATTTAAACAGACACTAGAATGACTAAAATAAAAATGACAAATAATGGAACATATTGGCAAGGATACGGAGCAGTTGATCACACATTGCTGGTGGTATTATAAAATGGTTCAACAATTTTGGATAACAGTTTGGAAGTTTGTTGTAAAATTTGTTATATCTACACTATAGCCTAGCTTTTATGTCCTAGATACTTATTAAAGATAAATAAAAATGCGTCTACAAAAACAATTTGGAAAACAGTATCCACAGCAGCATTATTAATAAGAATATCTAATTGGAAATAATCCAAATTTCCATCAACAAGAGAATAATTAAAATGCAACATATTTTTGAAATTTAATACTGAGTTATCATATTGATACCTATTGATACCTGCAACAATATGGATGATTCTCAAAAACATTAAACTGAACAAAATAATCCAGGCACAAAATAACACAATTATATTCGTTGTTATGATTTCCAAAAGGCAGAATTATTCTAAGACAAGAGAAATAATAAAATGGATCCCAAGCTTTATATTGGGGCAAAAATGAGGGACTGATTGAAAAGGGAAAGAATGGAACATTCCAGAATGATAGAAATATTATGTATCTTGTTTTTGCTGGTGATTTCCTGGATATACATAACTGCCAAGATTCATCAAATTAATCACTTAAATATGTGAATTTTCTTTTATTTAAATTATACCTTACAGGTAGTGAGAGAAATTCCTTTTCCATTATAGAACACTATGCTACTAAGTCCAAGCTTTCTGTGTATAGGTAACAATTATAAATTCTGGACATAATAGTAAAACACAACTGTCTGAGGACTCAGAGAAGTGAGTCAAATTAGGCAGAGTTGGAGGAAAGTTAAAATTTGGGGACTATATTTGATTGAAATGAATTTTCCATATGTGCAGCTTTATCATGACAGATACCACAGCTGTGGCTACAGCATGGAATTTCCCAAAATCTTCCTAGCCAGAGGAATCAGGGGAAGAAACCTGGGGGAACTAGGAGTTCCCCATAGAGTGAGGGGAGAATTTCTAGAATGAAGAGAACCAGAGAAAAAGAATCTCAGATTTGGTGCCCACTATATATCTGGCTAAATCCTGAACTATTTATTTTATGGGGAGACAGAAATTCCAGTTGAAATCTGAGCCATTGCCTACCCTAGTAATGGCACAGTAAACAAACTCTGAGAAATTAATCATTTGCTAAAACAAAAACATTAGCACACTTTAAAGGAATACAAGTGAATCCATAGTTACTACTACATAACATTCACAACGTCTAAGATACGATAACAAAAATTTTAAATTGTAAAGAGTTGGAAAAATGCAAACTGTTCTCAAGGGAAAAGACAACAATAGATTCCAACTTACAGATGAACCAGATGTCGAAATTATCAAGCAAGGACTATCAAGCAGATATTATAATGATGCTCAATGATGGAAACTCAAATGTACTAGTATTAAATTTAAAATATGGAAATTTTAGGGAAAATATGCATGTGAATATGAAAGTAAACTAAATACAAATTTTAGAGCTGAAAAATATTGGAATTAAAGAAAAATATATTTTATGGTCTTAAGAAAAAAAGGGATGTGACAGAGAAACTAACTAGTGAATTTGAAGATAAATTAATAGAAATAATTCAAGTAAAAAAAAGAAAGCAAGATATATTAAAAGTTAACAAACTCCAGGAACCTGTTGAACAATGGTCTAATTGTTCAAAATGTCTAATATATGTGTATCTGGAGAGCCAGAAGGAAAGGAAAAGGTAAATGTAGCAAAAATAAATTATTTGAAGAAATCATAGAATAAATTTACAGATTCAAGAAGCTCAGCTAACCTCAAATAGAATAAATGCAAACAAAGACATTTCTAGGTATAGAGGCAACACTGATGCAAACAGATGTGGAGTTTCTATCAGGAACCATAGAAGCCAGAAGTCAGAGGATGCAGAAAAAAAAATTGAAAATTTCATGCTTATTCATGATTAAAACTCTAAGCAAACAAGGAAGAGAGGGGAGCTTCCATAACTTGATAAAGGACATCTACAAATATGTGATAATATTGAACACCTTCCCCACCCCAAGATTTGGAACAAGGCAAAAAGATCTGATGTTACTTGTTCTATTCAATGTCTTATTAGGGGTCCTAGCCACTATAATAATGCAAGAAAAAAAAAGTTAAAACAATAAAAAAGTAGGAAGGAAAATGTTCTCTATATGTAGATTACAGAACTGTTTAGATAGCAAATCTTAAGGAGTCTACCAAAAACAAACAAACAAACAAATAAAAACTATTACACTTAATATGTGAATTTAACAAGATCATGTGATACCAGTTTAATATAAAAAAGAGTTACTTTATGTATAAGAATTAAGCAATCCTAAAATAAAATTTTAAGGTACTTATTTTTCATTAGCTACAAAAGCATAAAATACTTAGGAATAAAATTAACAGTTTTGCAAAATCTTTCTACTGAACACCACAGAGCTCTACTTAGAGAAATTAAAGTAGATCTAAACAGATGTTTACATAGATAAACAGATGTTAGAACAGATAAACAATGTTCATCAACTGCAACACAGTGTTGTTAAAATGTCAATTCTTTGCAAATTATCTATCACTGTAATCAAGTACCAATCAAAATTCAAATATAATTTTGTAAATGAAGTTGACAAATGTATTCTAAAATTTATATGAAAATTCAATTCAGATTACCAAAACAAGTTTAAAATTGAAAGAGAAAGTTGAAAGACAAACTACTTGATTTTAAGATTTAAATTAAACCTATAGTAATCAAGAGACTGTGGAATTAGTGAAATGATAGGCATAGAGGTCAGTGGAATATAAAAAAAAAGAACTCAGAAATAAACCCACATATATACAGCATTGAAGATATATATCTCCAGAAATATATATATATATATATACACACATAAATATATGTGTGTGTGTGTGTGTGTGTGTGTGTGTATGTATTTTCCCCTAAGGATTACCCCTGTATATCCAGAAATTAGAGAAAAATTAGCTAAGAAATTTGGAAAATGTAAAAAAAATATAAATCTGCAAGCATTAAGCTTACATAAAGATAAAATTTGAAGAAATCTACTAACAACAAATCAAGAGAAATAACAGAAAACACTAACACATGGTCAGGAAGTTTAAGACCAACATTTGCATGAACTGGGTCCAGAGCATGTAGGAAGGAAGGAGTCACAACGTTTGTAGCAGTCGCCATGTTTTATTTGTGGGTCTGTAGTCCCATCTACTCCTAATGGTGAATCATTGCAAATAAAATAACTGTTGATAAGTTTAAATGCATGGTATGCTTTTTGAAAGCATACACCTATGAGTGGTGTTTCCAAGAAGTAATATGTTTTGGGAGAAGAATAAGTCTTTAAATTGGCAATTTCAGCAAGTCATTTTGTATAATGCATTAAACTTGCTAGGAGATCCAAATGTTACATTATTCAAATGCTACCCAATAAAGTCCACTGGTGTTTTTCAGTGTTTGAATATCCACTATAAGCTAAAATTCTTTATAAATACTGTAAAAGGAAACATTGCAAAGATAAGAAGATGTTATTGTGGAATACTTTGTCAATACTTTTAGAAACTGTCTTAAATTCTGAATCATCAAAGCAAGATTACTTTTTAGGGCAAAGCTAAATAAAGGCAAGCAGAAAACAGTTTCCTAATCTAAAAGAGAAACAAGCTTATGTGTTGGTAACAATTTTCCATTGATCTCTAATGTGTCCACATGTCAAGATAATAGCTCATTTTCTCCAAATAGTATTTTTAAGATGTTTAAATACACAAGTGTCAGGGAAGACAGAGATATTTCTCCACAAAGGATTTCCTTACATCTCAGGATATTGAAGATAAAAATCTCTCTCACTTCTTTCACTGGTGCATATCTGTTATATTCCAAGGTAATAAAATTAATGTCTCTCTCTGAAGGGGAGAATAGGCAGATTTGCCAATGGCCTCCTATATAACAGTCAAGCCTTTCTAATATTAGTGATTCTCTGTCCTAACATACTCCATTGTGTGTATAGACAACAGCCACCCCTCATCACATCATCTTCTAAGGAAAGGAACTAGGGTAACTGACACAGCAATGCTTCTCTGGCTTCTGCTATTGCTCTGAATAACAAGCTGTCTTTTATCTCTGACCCAGGATTCTCATGTCTTCTGACATATATGAAGCAGTGCCAAGCTACCTTGTTAGATGCAAGCACTGTAAAACCTCAGACCTTTTACATTTTCTCAAAATATAAACATGTATCCTAAAATTTTAACTTGAAAATTGTTTTAGATTTTTTTTTGGAAGAAGAGAATTTGAAAAGAAGACTAAGAAAGAATAGCCAATGAAGTAGGGGTTCCACCAAAAGATAGTGGTTCCATACAAAATCAAGTTAAATGAGTTACACTCTAAAATATTGTTGGCAAACAAACAACATGTGGGAGGAGATTTGACCATCAAATGTATTAGTATAGGAGCCATTAGCAACTTTAGCAAGAGTTCTTTCAGTGGAGTGGTAGAAATGAAAGTATATCAGGGTGTGTTCAACAGAGAAGAGCAGAGAGGAGCTGAGATGGCAAGTATAGATATCCCCATTTTAGAAGTAGGAGAACAGGAGTCAGGAATTTAGAAAAAAATACCCTTAAAACCTCACTGGTAAGTAATGATGCTGAGATCATCTGGTGCTGTTGGCTCCCATTCTCTTTCCATTATAACGTGTAGCCTACCATACAGAATGTTAGAGCTGTCAGGGTCTTAATTTTCTTGACAGATGAGAATTTAGAAGTCATTTGTGAATTAATAGCACTATTCTGAATCATGATTGAGAGGGACTCTGCATTGGCTAGCTATACTTTTATGTAAATGAAGATATATTAGATTTAAAATGATGGCTAGGTGATTTAGATTTCAATTGACTCTCAGAATTTAGGGTTTATTGCCTAGGGAAAACTCTAATTCTCATATATTATGATTGACTGACTGCTCTTTTGTTATGGGAATATAATTTGATTTTAGTCAGGTTTTACAATGGAGTTTAGCTTTTTTCTTCTTATTTTTTTAATGTACAGTAGTATCTATTTTGGTCCTTGCATAAATTTTGTGCCAGAATGGCCATCTCAAACCACACAGCTGCTCTCAAATTTCAGTCAATTTTGATTAATGCTACATCTGCCCTGTCTGTCTTGTGCTTGCCCATGTATTAATACCCAGCTTTGTATGGCTCCAAGAGTCTCTCAAGCATACAATAAATAAGTTCCAATGACTTAGAACCTTCTGCTTCAGCTGATTGTAAAAGTTTTTGTTGTTGTTTTCTCTTTTTTGGCTAGTTTAAAATTTCTCCTGTTCTCTCAGAACAGCTCAAATAATCAATGATTAAAATATATATTTCAAAAAGGTTAGTGTTTCTGTGTTTCCCCAAGAAATATAAGCTTCCTCTTTGAAGAAAAAGTAACTGATTTTGAAACAACTTATAGCTAGATATTATAATAGGAGTCTTACGTCAGCTCATTAAAATGGTTTCCATTTCACAGTGAGCTGAAATACTCTATATTGAGGTTATTCTAAAAATCAGAATTAAAAATTTTAATTGTATTACATTACATTTTGCTAAGTATATATTTTTACTATATACTTTAAAACAATTCAAAGCTAAAAATATTTATAAAATATGATTTTCCTTAATGAGATTTCTATTCAAAGAGGCACAAAGAAACAAAAAAAGAAATAAAGAACACTGCTAACTTTAATCTTCTACAAGACAGATTCCATGTGAGCGTTATATTTTAAAAAGTCAATCAGAAAAATAGATATTGCTGGGTCAGAATAATTTATGGACATACTAATTTCAACCTTGACTTTATTTTTCCATCATATATCCTCTTGCCTGTTCTAAGAATTTTGCTGCAGGCCAAGAGCCAAGTTATCAATAGACTACTTGGCAATCTGTTTTTTCTCTTTCAATTTTCTCTCTAACTTCATAGGATTATATTAGACTAGAGAGGTGAGTGGTCAAGGCGTTCAAGAAAAGAGAAAATCTCTCTAATTTTTAGAGGAACATTTCTGTAGGTGGATGGTATGGACTGATGGGCCATGTCTTTTCATTTCCCTAGGTTGGCAGCATATCCTCCTGGTGGGGAGAAGTTTGTATGTAGCACCAAGGCAGTCTGAACCCTAGGTATGAGGGTCCCCAGCCTCAGCAAAAAATCATGGGATATGAGAAAGTGACCAACTTCAATCTCAAAGGTAAGTCTTAGGCAAGAAGTATGTCAGCATGGGAGTTCTTATAATCTCAGATGCGCTAAAAAAGTCCCAGCAATGACAAATTGAATTTCACTAACCAGGAAATAATAATGGCTTACAGTCTGATATAATAATATTTCAAGAAAATAAATATTATGAAATTTCCTATATGAAGTGTCTCTAACATGTTAAGTATAATATTGAAAACTGTTACTAAATTAAAAGTTAAATTTCACACATGAAACTTTTTATGCAATAACAGATCAAATATTTTATTCTCATTTCATATAACCTTCACAATAATCACATGAAAAAAGATAATCATTCTCCATTTAAAAAATTTATAAAATTATACTCAAAAAGCTAGATTGCTTATCTAAGAGGGAAAGAATGATATTCAAATTCTGTCCAATTCCTGTCTTTCCAGTATATGTTACAGTTTCAAGAAGATACTTTTATTTTAGGAAGTAACCACTGTATCACTTCCTCACAAGAGACTTCTATTGGAGTAATAATGCTAGCTTTTCTGTGAATATTTCAGTCTTTCTTGCCTCTAAGAGGAGGCAGAGGGGTCCTTTTAGACTTTGTTTCTGAGCCAATCAACCTGTCTATAGAACACACACGTTTTGTGCTACTCTTTCTCTTAAGTTAAAGGCGGCAACTGTTTGGAGGCCTCATGGCTTCTCAGCTCTGACTGAGACCAAGTGGGCAACTTAATTCTTGAGTCCAGAGTTGGAAAGACCATGCACATCCTATCAAGGTTGTTGGGTTTTTTTTCAGTAATATAACTCATATTTTTATCTCTTTCTTTTGAAAACTTGTGCTCATCTCTTAATTGTTTCCAAACTTATAAAGGTAGAAAGGTATTTGTTGGTCCCCATCAAAGTCTACCTTCTGTGCTTGAGTAGCAACTTTTAAATTCCTTTACTTAAATTCACTCAGTAGCTCCTCATGTGGACTCATTTGGCTGAAAATAGTAGCAATCCAAGTCAATCTAAAGTTGATTAGGAGAAAAAGGATAATGAATAAGATCAGAAGATAGTTTAGTGTGCAAGCAGGTATCAGGAATGCTGAAATCCTGAACTCGTATCTTCTGGTCTTTTATCTGGGTTTATTTTTATGTTGCCTTCATTACTTTGGCTGTACAATTACTTTCCCCACATGGTGAGTGACATGACCATGATACTCCCAATGCTTCATTCTTTTTTTTTTTTTTTTTTTGAGATGGAGTCTTGCTCTGTCACCAGGCTGGAGTGCAGTAGCATGATCTCGGCTCACTGCAACCTCTGCCTCCCGGGTTCACGCCATTCTCCTGCCTCAGCCTCCCGAGAAGCTGGGACTACAGGCACACATCACCATGGCCAGCTAATTCTTGTATTTTTAGTAAAGACAGGGTTTCAGCATGTTGGCCTTGATCTCTTGAACTCGTGATCCACCCTCCTTGGCCTCCCAAAGTGCTGGGATTACTAGCGTAAGCCACCATGCCTTTTTAATGCTTAATTCTTTACTTCTGACTTACAGGTCTCATAACTGCAGACATAGTTTCTATCTATACTCATTCAGATGTTTAGAAAAAAATCCCAGAGAAAAATGCTGACTATTGCAATTTCATTCAGACACTAGACTGAACTAAGCAATTGTGACTAGGGCAGTTAAGTTTTATAAGAATATGACCAAGCCAATGGTGGCAATCACATAAATCAGGGAAAAACAGACAATCCAAGGGTAACTCATGCTGGTTCCTCTGCCTGACATAATCTTCCCACGTATGTGCATTTCTTTCTCCTGCTCTCTCTCATTTTATTCAGGTCTTTTCTCAGCTCATTTCACATTGAAGAGGCTTCCCTGACTACCCTAACTGAAATAACACCTCTCACTCTCTGGCTATTTACTTTGCATTGCCTTTCAAAGATAATACACCCAGCATATGCCTAACATATAATAACTGCTCAATAAATATTTGTTGAACAAATTGATGGAACAAAATATAAAAAAAGAGAAAGAGGGGAGGATCACAGCATCACAAGTAGCTTTCTCTTGTCCTTACTAGTCAGGTTCCTCTATAACTTTGTCACACTTGGAATGTAACATTGTCTCAACTTCTCTGCAAAGAAACTAGTTTTCTTCACTTTCTCAGTGAAATATTTTAAAATTAAAATCTTTGCTTCTGTGATTTTGCCACCACACTCGAAATGCTATCTTTAATAAATATGAAGATATATTTAAATAAAATATTAGTCATTTGGTTTGATGCATGGAATTTTATTAAGAATCAAAGTTGTATTCCTAGGTATTTTATTCTCTTTGTAGCAATTGTGAATGGGAATTCACTCATGATTTGGCTCTCTGTTTGTCTATTATTGGTGTACAGAAATGCTTGTAACTTTTGCACATTGATTTTGTATCCTGAGACTTTGCTGAAGTTGCTTATCAGCTTAAGGAGATTTGGGGCTGAGACAATGGGGTTTTCTAAATATACAATCATGTCATCTGCAAACAGGGACAATTTGACTTCCTCTTGTCCTAATTGAATACCCTTTATTTCTTTCTCTTGCATGATTGCTCTGGCCAGAACTTCCAACCCTATGTTGAATAGGAGTGGTGTGAGAGGGCGTCCTTGTCTCGTGCCGGCTTTCAAAGGGAATGCTTCCATCTTTTGCCCATTCAGTATGATATTGGCTGTGGGTTTGTCATAAATAGCTCTTATTATTTTGAGATATGTTCCATCAATACCTAGTTTATTGAGTGTTTTTAGCATGAAGGGTGTTGAATTTTATCAAAGGCCTTTTCTGCATCTATTGGGATAATTACGTGGTTTTTGTCATTTGTTCTGTTTATGTGATGGATTACATTTATTGATTTGCGTATGTTGAACCAGCCTTGCATCCCAGGGATGAAGCCGACTTGATTGTAGTGAATAAACTTTTTAATGTGTCATCATTCTCAACAAACTAACACAGGAACAGAAAACCAAACACTGCATGTTCTCACTCATAAGTGGGAATTGAACAATGAGAACACATGGACACGGGGAGGGGAACATCACACACCGGGGCCTGTCAGGAGGTGTGGGGCAAAGGGAGGGATAACATTAGGACAAATAGCTAATGCATCTGGAGCTGAAAACCTAGATGATGGGTTGATGAGTGCAGAAACCACCATGGCACATGTATACCTATGTAACAAACCTGCACATTCTACACATGTATCCCAGAACTTAAAGTATAATTTAAAAAAAAAGAATCAAAGTAATGGTTATTGAATATGGCTGATATTATTTAAATAATTAATATTCCATTTATTAAAAGTAATTTACCTGAAAAATTAAACACATTTTTTCTTTTTCTTCCAAAGACATGGAGTGAAACTTTATTGCCATAAATCAACTAAAACACATGAGAGTAGATTTTAGGTGCTCTTGCCACCGAAAAAGAAAAACATGAAGGGTATGTTAATTTAGTTGGTTTTCATGACCATTTTTTGTGTACGAGCATGTCAAAACATCATGTTATGCAACTTAAATATATGCTATAAAACATATGACATCTACAAAGGCAGAAGCATAGGACAAGAGAGGAAGGTGGTAACACTGTTGCTGTTGTTGCTAACAATTGATGATGATGAAGACAGTAGTGATTATTTGCTGCTGTTGCTAACGATCAATGATGGTGATGACAGCAGTGATTATGACTAGTTTATTTACAATTTCAATCGAGACTGTCTGAAAAACTTAGAAAATGTATTTGCTATATATAAATTGTAATTGGTTATCCACAAAGATTTAATAAAAATATTACTTAGGTTTTCGTTTTTTCTTTGGAGTGAGGCAGGGAGGGACATTAAAATCTTTTAAACAAATAAAGTTTCAAGAAGCAAAAGTGGAGTATTTCTTCAATCTTGGCAGCATCAATTAAATGCCATCATGAAAAACATTTATCCAAATTCACTTTTATTTTTTTTAGTGTCAGCAGTTTTCCAGCTTGTGTTACTGCCTATTCAAATGAAGCTCTATCAATCTTTTAATTCATTCCTCTCTTCTGTGCCTTTGACATAAGACTGCTGTCACAGAATTATCTTTTTGTTAGAAACAAAAATAAAACATGCAAGAAAGAGATATAGAAAGGTGACTCCATGTGTAGCTTTTTGAATTAAAATTTTCATGCTCCAGGTGTGCTCTGAATATTTCCACAAGCAAACAAAATTCTTCTACAGTTGTCATTCCTAAATGTCCACGTAGAGACTTCAATCCTTTCACTCAGATGAGTTTGGAATATCAAGCCTTTTGCTTCACATATTGTTTCTAAAACATGTCAGGTACTGGCAGGTCCTGGCTAGAGCAAGTTATGACTGTTATGGTGGTGCTTCAGAGAAAGAGGACAAAAAAGAAGATTGGGACAGAAAACTGCCTGCCACACAAGAGCATGGGGCTAACAGGGCAGGAGTCAGGACTCAAAGATTTACTAGCTGTGTCATGTGGCTCTTGACTGACCTAGAAAAGGCTTGAAGTAACACTGAAATGAGGGGTGAGTGAGGGTGAGCAGTTTGCAGGTGTAAAGGAGCCCTACTAATGTTACTTAACAATCACAAACATAGTGCTTATTCTAGGACAGGCACTGTTTTCAGCTTTCTGTGGAAATCTTGCAACATTATCTGCTGGGTACTATTATTTCCATTCTTCAGAAGGAGAAACTGCAGAGGTTATGTAATTTGCCTGTGGTTACACAGCTGTGGCTCTGGGATTCAGTTTAGCTTCAGAGTCACTTCTCCTTAAGAGAGGCACTATGCTGTAGTGACTCCCATTGTTGTTAACTGTGACTTCAAGCTATATAGCCTCACAGTTTTCTAATCTGTGAAATGAGGGTGTTCTATTATGTTATTTCCAAGGGCTCTTTCAAATGTAACAGTAAATAACTCAAAGCCAGTGTGGTGGCCCACAAGGGCTTCACTTTCAAACTTGCCAGGTTTAGAAGAATCTAGAGAATGGCATAGTATCAGGACATGGAATCTGTTCTGCTTAAAGATTCCCTGATCTGCAAATCTCATTATTTCATGGATTTGAAGGCTCTTCTTGCCTCCTTGAATGACTTTGCATCCCTCTCATTTGCTGAGAGTTGTGACAATATTGGATTACTGGTGGAACCAAGAGCATCACATGCTATAAACACACTCTTCCAGACCAATGACTTGACTGAGGGAGTGATGGAGGAGGTGCTGTGAAGGAAGGCAGACCTCATTCTCTCCTGCCATCCACCAATTTTCAGACCTATAAGGCACATAACCTAGAAAACCTGGAAAGAACTCCTGGTAATCCAGGGTCTGGAGAACGAAGTTGGTATGTATTTTCCTCACATAGCCTATGATGCTGCACCCCAGGGAGTTTGCAACTGGTTGGCTAAAGGGCTTGGAGCTTGGACCTCTAGGCTGATGCATCCTTTCGAAGCTTCCAATGACTCCATAGAGAACCCACCGAAGACCTGGACAAAGTCACGTCTGCAGTGAAAAAGAGTTGTGAATGTTTCTGTCGCTTCTTTGTCTCCTGGGATTGATGATGAAAAACAAACATGACTCAGTCTCAGTTATACTCAGAAGACTTTGATGCAGGTAGTGGCTTTTCTCTCCCAGAGCATAAAATGACATCAGAAGACTGAAATTATGTACTGGAGAAGCCTTTGCTTCTACATACTGGAATGGGATGGTTATGCATACTGGATGAATCTATCTCCCTGACAGCCATGACTGAGTAAATCACAAGCCACTTAAAACTATTACATATGTGCTTAGTTCTTAGAGTAGCGAGGACTGAAGAGTTCTAAAGTCAAAGTCGTGGCCCTGTGTGCTGGTTCTGGGAGCAGCGTTCTGCAGAGTATAGAAGCTGACCTTTACCTCCAGCTGGGTAAAGGTCATCCCAGGTGGGATGTCTCATCATAATATTCTGAATGCTGCTTCCTAAGGAGTAAATGTCATCCTTTATGAACTCAGCAACACTGAATAAGACTTTCTTTCTGACATTTGAGATATACTGGGTGCTTACTTGAAGAGTAAGATTAATATTATCCTTCAGAGACAAGCAAGGACCTTCTTTATGTAGTATAACGCAGATAGGAACATCAGGATGACACAATCTACAAATCGATTGGGCCCTTTCAGAAGAGTGTCTTAAAATTTATTATAATTTCTGATTTGTTACACTGGCTCACCACATGTTTCATAGCTCATAAGGTAAAAACTGAAAAATAACTACCATGTTAAAGAACAAATATTTATTATAAACTCTACGAAAGACTGACTAAAATCTATTTACTTAAAAAACGTCATGAATTGGTGAATATTTTTATCATTCCAGCTTTTTAAATATGTGCTGTAGATATATTAAATGCTTTTGCAATTTAATCCAGGATATATGATTAGGTGGTTGGGTACCAACACATATACCAGTCCTGATAGCCCTGCACTTTCCTTTGTATTTTTTCAAGCTCTATATGATGTTAGTATGTCAATTATCCTTTAAGAAAGTTTCTCAGCTGGGCATGGTGGCTCACGCCTGTAATCCCAGCACTTTGGGAGGCAGAGGTGGGCAGAGCACGAGGTCAGGAGTTCGAGACCAGCTTGACCAACATGGTGAAACCCCATTTCTACTAAAAATACAAAAATTTGCTGGGCATGGTGGTGCATGCCTATAATACCAGCTATGCAGGAGGCTGGGGCAGGAGAATCGCTTGAACCAGGAGGTGGAGGTTGCAGTGAGCCGAGATCATGAGATCATGCCATTGTACTCCAGCCTGGGTAACAGAGCAAGACTTCGTCTCAAAAAAAAAAAAGTTTCTAAATCCATTTCCTTTTCCTGAGTTTTTCACTCTTGTACTAATAGGAAATACTTCATATACTTCACCAAGTGCTAATTCTGTAGACAGTGGGTGTCTACTTCTCCATTTCTCCATTTGTGCCAGGACTGTGACTTAAAGATTGGATATTCCTACAGTAGTAATGAAGAAGAGTAGGATTGGGTGGGTTAGCACCATTTGAATACTGAAAAAAGTCCTCTAGCAGTACAAAGCATTCCTTTTTTTTTTTTTTTTTAACCACCCAGGACTCCAAACCTTGGGTTTGTCTTAGTACAGGAAATTAGAAATATCTAGAAGAGATTTACGGGCACTAGGAGGAATTTTCAGAACTAAACAAGGGTAATGGCTCAATGAATATATTAATTCTTTGTTATATTCATTTATATGTATATTAATTAACTCTGTTTATTGACTGACTATTGTAAGGCACAAGACTAAATTCTACAGGTGAGGAATTAAAAAAAATTAATAAACTAACATCCCAGCCTCAAGATTACTAATAAGTAGGTTATACACAATTGGGCAAGTAGAATTTTAAAGTCTCTTATATAGTTTTTAAAAAGATCCCCTATGGGACCAAATGAAATACTTGGTCCAGACACACCAGAAAAGGAGAAAGAGAAATATCTGATATGTATAGCAAGCATGGAAGGGTTTAGTGTAAACCCTGGGTAAGAGTGGAAGACGTCAACATCTTGCACTAAATGTGTTAAAAAATGTAAGACACTACTAAAGTTTAGAGAAAATCTAGAGCAGTCTGTAAAAGGAATTCCAGTTGACTAGACAGTAGTTCTTAGAAATTGTGGCAAGATGCACTAAGAAAATTTAAAGAAAAGCAATTATGATTAAATAAATACAGCAGAAGTCAGCAATGTGTCCATTAACATGACAATTGGAAAACAAGGATCAAGAGCTACTTGGAGATCCAAATGGGCAACAGGATGATTTCCAGCAGAAATATGGTCTTAAATACAAAGTTTGGTATCAGGGGAGGATTCAAAGTTCTAGGTATCAAGATTGGCTTGAATAAGTTGCAGCTGAAGTCCTAAATATGATAAGGAATCAGGCTGATGATCATCTGCACACTGAAATGCAAGAGAATAAAATAAGGGAAAGATGGTAGTAAAAAATAAAAATGAATCTCAGTCACTTAAGTGTGATAAATAGTTGGAAATAAATACAAATAAAGATCATTAATACTAAGCAATCTGGATATAAATGGTGCTAACTTTCCTGTTATCTGGTACATGACTAAGGCTGTTATATATCCCAGCTCTTAAGATAAAGCTGATCTTTTCCATGACAGTCCAAGCTTCAGCTACAGGGAATTGAGGAATGTTGAAGCCATGAAATAAGATAGTTCCATCAAAGATCTATTAAAAAACCTGGACACTGCCTTTGCATCATGTATTATCTAGCCCCATCACCACAACTTTTCCCATTCTAACCGAATCCCAATTTTGATGCAAGATTTACTCCTCCACTGTGTGACTCCAGAGAAGTTGAACTCATTCTCAACTCTAGGAATAGTTCTGAATTAGTTGCAGCCAATCAATGGCTGGCAATCCCCAGAAGATTAACATTGATCCAAAGGATCCAACATAACTATGTTAGACCAATTAGACTAGAGTAAGGACTTACATTCCTTCCCTGGGAGATATATATTTTTTCTCTCTGTCATGACCAAGAAAGAATGCCTATTGGAGCTACCTGAAAGTCACAAGGAAAACTAGTCTTAGGATGAATCGAATATCCAACATAGTAAAATGGTAATATGGGAAAATAAATTACTTAGTAGCATCATTGAGTCATTGTAAATAAACTTACTCAACCTCTGAACTTTTAGACATGGGAGATAATAAATATCTTTATTACTTAATTCATTTTGATTTTAATATATATTCTTACTATTTAATGTCATTTGTGTTCGGGGTTTTTATTCTTGCAGTCGAAAGCATGCTTACTGATTTTCAAGGTTCATTGGTGATTCAAGTGCTTAATAGTAAATAGTAACAGTGTACATGATTTATCTTCCCTTCCTGAATCTAAGATTCCCCTTCTCATCCAACATTATTTGTTTCACCCCGTTTGATCTGTTCATCAGCTTTTGAAAATGTTCCCTTGAGGTTTTAGAACAATTTTTCCTAATCTAGTTAAAGGTTCAAATATAAATGCCTTTGAGGGCAGGTTAGGTAATGAAACGTGTGGCATTTGCCAAAGGTAAGAGAAGAGACTATGCTTTCAACTTCAGGTTGAATTTGGTGGGCCAAAGGCAGCAATTTTCAAATTAAAAAAAAAAAACAACAACTAATAGAATAAAATACAATAGATCAATCAGAACATACCCCACAAATGTGGTAAGCAGTAAATACTGTGTATGTGTGTGTGTATGTGTAACAGAGAGTTTGGGTAACAACACAAAATGTGTGTCTTACTATAAAGATACATGCACATATTTATGTTCATTGCAGCACTATTCACAATAGCAAAGACATGGAATCAACCCAAACGCCCATCAGTGATAGACTGGATAAATAAAATGTGGTAGATTTACACCATGAAATACTATGCAGCCATAAAAAGGAACAAGATCATGTCCTTTGGCAGGCACATGGACGGAGTTGGAAGCCATTATCCTCAGCAAACAAATGCAGAAACAGAAAATCAAACACCATATGTTCTCATTTATAAGTAGGAGCTGAATGATGAGAGCACATGGACAGATGGTAGAGAACAACACACACTGGGGCCCAACTGGGGTTGGGGGGATGGAGAGTGTCAGGAAGAATAGCTAATGAATGCTGGGCTTAATGCCTAGGTGATGAGTTGATCTGTCCAGCAAACCACCATGACACACATTTAGTTATGTAACAAACCTGCACATCTTGCACATGTACCCCTGAACTTAACAATTGAAGAAAGAAAAAAAATATGTTTCATACTGGACACTTTCACAATTTAAAAAACACTGAAGCAGATGAAATATGCTCCATTTAAAACCATCACATTTAAAACAAATACATAAAACACTATCCTAGGAAAAAAAAATTTTAATGCAGGTGCAACTCATCCTAGATACAACCATCTTGTGACTCCAAGTGGAATTCTGCATGTATAATACTAATTTCTATTTATGTATTTATGTATTTATATTTGAGATGGAATCTCACTCTGTCACCCAGGCTGGAGTGCAGTGGTGCGATCTTGGCCCACTGCAATCTCCACCTCCTGGGTTCAAGTGATTATCCTGCCTCAGCCTCCCGAGTAGCTGGGATTACAGGTGTGTAACACCATGCCTGGCTAATTTTTGTATTTTTAGTTAGAGATAGGGTTTCACCATGTTGGCCAGGCTGATCTTGAACTCTTGACCTCAGCTGACCTGCCCACCTCGGCCTCCCAAAGTGCTGGGAATACAGGCATAAGCCACTGTGCCCGGCCAGTCATTTCTATTTTAATTAAAGGTGATTGAGAATATATAATCTGGAATTGAATTATACTGAATTTACCAGTATTCATTACATTTCCACCACAACCTGAACTTACTGAGATAATTATAGCTCTATTACCAAATCACCTTTATTTATATGGCTCCATGTCTCACTTTTTCCCTAAATATTTTTCAAATCTTATCACCAGGTTACAACTTGATAATCTTCTGATAAAATGCTGTCTTGTCAAATATGGAACATCAGATTGTTTTTACTACTTTAAAAGTAAGATATCCATCAAAAATGTGTTAAGATACTTTGAAGGCCACATTATGTACCAAAACTTCCTGATCTCCTGAATTATTTCCTTTCAGTGAATATACACTGTTCTTGCCCACAGGTAACCTGAAAACAGATACTTTTTTTTTCCTTTAAAAGAAAACAATGTGCATTGAAATTATTTATCTAATATGCATTTTATAACCATAAAAAACTGTAAATTCCCAAAGCTCTCATAAACATTATAATTCATGAATTTTATTTCAATAGCATTTTAAATCAAATATTTGAAATATCTAATATAATAAAAATCAGTTTATACTAGAAAATTTCAAAAATAGTCTCTGAGTCCACTCCCTTACTAAATGAGAAGATACTTGTAGCCTAGTAAGAAAATATCTTACTTTTGTTTTATTATAAAATTTTAAAAATTAGAAGAAACAATATGCTTGAGAAATAGAATCATGAGCTCATCATACCAAAGTGTTTCTTATCTTTTCATGACAATTTTTTTTGCCTTCTCATTTTAGTAGGGTCAATTTTCTTCATTTGTAATTCTCAAGATGCATTGGTTTCATTTTTGTATATGTACACACAAACACCCTTAAATATAAATACCAAATTCAGAAGAATCAAACAGATAAATTTAAGAAACTAAAACCATGGAAGAAAAGACCAGTTACCACATTTTACAAATGCTCTTCTGAACACCTTCTCTGACCATTCACCTCTGTATACTCTACATACTATCTATATACCTCTATATACTCTATATACTATCCCAAATATATATATCTCATGCCACTTGGTCTACAAGTTCTTCCTCTAGAATTCTGAAGCAATCAATGCTAATATTTTCATGAAGATGGATCCTGCTATCACCGTTTTGGAGTCAGGGAGGACTCATCCATAGTAACTGGGATCATCTTTTGGATATTTCAAGAAAAATCTTGATTTAAATGTGTTTGGATGACCAAGCATGGTGGCTCAAGCCTCTAATCTCACAACTTAGGGAGGCCGAGGCAGGTGGATCACCTGAGGTCAGGAATTCGAGACCATCCTAGCCAACATGGTAAAACCCTGTCTCTACTAAAAATACAAAAAATTAGCCCGGCGTGGTAGCGTGCGCCTGTAGTTCCAGCTACTTGGGAGGCTGAGGCAGGAGAATTGCTTGAACCCGGGAGGCGTAGGTTGCAGTGAGCTGAGATTGCACCATTGCACTCCAGCCTGGGTGACAGGAGTGAAAATCTGTCTCAAAAATAAAATAAAATAAAATAAAAATAAATAAATAAATGAGTAAATTTGCTTGGACTTGAAGCTTTTTTTTTTTTTAAAATTATCTTTGTTTTTCTCACATTTAGTTTTTTGATGCTGGGGGTTCCTTGAGTGATGAGGATGTTTTGCTAATCTCTTGATAATAATGCTTCTGTTTCATCTGGCTGAGACCTATTGCCATGGTTTTCTATTTCTCGAGAACGTGTGAAATCTGGGAAATACCTCATTCCCAGCACTGACTATTCTGGCTCTAATTTTTGCTCCAGCCTACTGCTTCCATACTCTTTTTTTTCTTCTCATGTGTTTTCTGTTCCTTTCTTCCTCCTAAGCTTTCTTTCCTCCTTTTCAGGCTCATCTTTCCATTAGAATCAGAAGTGCTTGGTGAGTAAATTCTTTACTGTTCCAGTTTTTAATTTCAATTTGCTTCCTCCTTTTATGGCACCCAAGAGAGTCAATATAAGCTTTGTAGCTTTTCGTGTGCATCTTTAGTCTAATTTTCAATCATGTTTAGTTCTGAGGTCTCTGCTGGCTTTACAATTTTTATCAATCCTTTAAGTCTCTATAGTTTCATCAGTTCAAAGTTCTCAAAATTTCTTCTGGGACATACCATTTAATGAATGAATTTCTCTATTTCACTTCTGACATGAACACATCTAAAGAAGCCTGAGATTGTGATTCTGATAGAACTTTGCTTGAGGCTTCAGATTTCAGCATCATTTAACTTTGCAACCAGTAATGCAAAGGTCTCTGCCTTCTCATCAATCTTCCCAGCCTTTATAATTTGATTCAGACACTTCTCAACCAGGTCAGCTGAATGAAAGAATATGTCATCATCACTCTCATAAAAGTCTTCATCTTCCCAGTTCCGAACTTTCTTTTTCTGATATACTGCCTCCTGATGCAGTGGGAATCTCACAGTACAGAGAAACGAACAAGCTTCGGCTGACCACTGGATCTTTGTTTCCTTTTTTCTCTCCTAAGTGCATGGCTTCAGCCTGGCGTTGTTTTCCAGATGAATCAAACCTCATCCTGCAGAACCAAGACCTGTCTGTGCCCCTGTTCATCAAATTCATATTCTAATTTCTCTCTTCCTTGGTTTAAAAAAATGGTGGGGGAGCTTTGTTTGGTTATTGATATAAAAGACCTCCCTTTTCTCTGAAAACTCTTAGACAGTAAAGTTCTCTTCAGCTTCAGCTTTCACAATATCTTCTCTCATTCTTCATGGACAGCCCATCTCATCGTTTTTACTTGTATTTGTTTTCCTTCCACAGGCATCCATTTCTTCTTCTAAGTCTTCTACTCACGTCTTCTCCAACATCTTTCATTGCTGCTTGTCTAGTTCCTTCAACTGCACTACTGTTCACTTGGATTCAGTCTTTCAGTCTTCTTCTGGTCCTTGCAGGACAAAGTGCTAGTGGTGCCTCCCAAGCAAAGAGCATGCCCCTCATGGACCCAACAATAAGTGCACTGTGGGATACCAGTTTTGTGGAGAGAAGTGTCATCCATGGGTGTTTCACAAATCACTGAAGCAGTGGCAAATCCTTGGTGATATCATTACCTTTCAGGGCCAGACACATACTGCAGCTAGATGGTGCCTCAAAAAGCCAGTGACTCATCCTTTTTAATCTATGGGGTCTAAGGATGGTTCTTCTCTTCAGAGTTCTAGGCTGTAGGGAGTGATGGATCTGCAGCTAGGAAAAGAAGCTGCTGTGGGTGGGAAGATGAAGCTTCTCCTCTTCCAGGTTCTACTCTCCCCCACTGTCTTGCTAGACATCAGGTTCCCAGGAATCAGGGTACAGCAGCACCACGGGTCTTTCCTTATTACCTCCTCAGGTTTTGAGCAACTGGTAGCCCCAGGCCTTCCCCTGCACCACCTGGACACCCACCAGGCTAGCTTCTTGAAGTCACCACGGAGTGTTTCGATGCCAGAGAATATGTCTGAGAGGAGAGATCATAACTGGTTTTTGATTCATCAGTTCTCTCAAAAACAGCAGAAACAAAAACATCAAAATCAGAGCTTATGTTCATTTGGTAGTGTCATGCAAGACATACATATTGTATTTTTTTCCAAGGATGGAGTTTGATTTGACTTTCTCAGAATATTTCATATGTAATATCCCAGACTGGAAATCATTTGGCCCTTAAAACTCTTTTTGTGTAGCATTTATCCTTTGTAATGGGATAAGAAATTTGAATAAAGCTGGCATGTTGGGCTTTAATATAAAGTAAGGGCTATGAGGCAGAAAAATAATTAAGTATTCTTTATTTATGTTTTATACAAGTAATACCAATCACATTCAGTTAACATAAAATATAATCTTAAAAAGGTAAATATTTATTTAAACTTGATATATGAGAACAAAAAGTGCAATCTCTTCTATTGACATTGTTGGTATGAGAAGATGAGGTCTTCTCCAAGCCCACATATGGGAAACTAGTACTACGAAGCTGTTTCTTAAGTTACAATGTAGTAAGTTAACATGATTTATTATTAGTTTCTATGTAGGGGAAAGCTAGCTATGAGGTTTTATCGGAAGCATTAGTCTTAAACTCATTCTGTTGGCTATTCCAAAACATTAACCGTGTTTTCAATTTTTGCTCAAAGCCTATACAACCCATGAGAAATCAGAGGCAGAGACACTAAGAAGATCTGCCTTAAGCTTAGACAGGATTTTGTCGGCACTTTCCCTTGCTCAGTAACACTCTTTTATACCCACTTCACAATGAGGCAAATGTCACGTACAAGTTCAGAGCAATTGAGCCTCCTGGAACAGCAGATGGGTGAGGGAAGTGTCCTCGGATGATGTCCCTGAAGCTGGTGGGAACAACCTGCCTCTATGGGGCTGTGTGTGTCTGTGAAAATGCATGCATGGCCAAGTATGCTGCAGTGGATCTGTGATGGTGGGGATCTCCACTGTATAACTCCACAAGCTCAAGTTTGCGGGACTCAGCCAGGAAGCCAGGAATCTATCTCTGCTCACTTGCACTCATATAGGTTAACAGTGTTTGCAATGTAGTATCTTTCTCCTTAGATACAGTGCCCTGTGAGTGTACCACCTGAGCTCCTTCAACAAGCAGCCTTCAGAGTGATGGATGGGGACTTTACATTATTTTAAGCATATACAATAGAGCCATTTCATTCTTCCTCCACTGGCCGTCCCACGAATTATTGTCTGAGTGCTTTGGTATCTTAGTGTAAAGCCAGAGCTTGGAACATTGTCCTAATTTGCTGTATCTTAGGCATAGTGTGGCAGAAGCCCATCCAAATAGGAGACAGGAGACCTAGGTTTTGTCTCCACTCTGCTAGAACTTGCAGTTTGTCCTTGGAAAAGTTACTTCAATTTCTTTGTGCGTGTTGAGAAAATTGGGCTCAATGATCTCTAAGTGTCCTTTCAACTCTGAGATTCTGTAGTGGGAAGAGCTCATTGTTAACACAAATAGGATTTCTCTAACTCAGGAATTGTTTATGTGGACTGAAGCTGGAGTTTTGCAATGCTTTGTTTTATTTCTAATATTTCTTTAGACCTTATTTGGTTTATTTGGTCTAATATTCTTAACTACATTTCATTGCCAATATATTTTCTGTATAGAAGTAAATTATCCTGAATTTTTATCTGTATGACATCAAATATATTTGACTGAAATTCTAACTGTGTCCGGAATTGGTGGGTTCTTGGTCTCACTGACTTCAAGAATGAAGCCGCGGACTCTCACCGTGGGTGTTACAGCTCTTAAGGTGGCGCATCTGGAGTTTGTTCCTTCTGATGTTCGGATGTGTTCGGAGTTTCTTCCTTCTGGTTGGTTCGTGGTCTCGCTGGCTCAGGAGTGAAGCTACAGACCTTCGCGGTGAGTGTTACAGCTCTTAAGGCAGCGCGTCTGGAGTTTTCGTTCCTCCTGGTGGGCTCGTGGTCTCGCTGGCTTCAGGAGTGAAGCTGCAGACCTTCGCGGTGAGTGTTACAGCTCATAAAAGCAGGATGGACCCAAAGAGTGAGCAGTAGCAAGATTTATAAAGAACAAAGCTTCCACGGTGTGGAAGGGGACCCCAGGCGGTTGCCACTGCTGACTCCCGCAGCCTGCTTTCATTCTCTTATCTGGCCCCACCCACATCCTGCTGATTGGTAGAGCCGAGTGGTCTGTTTTGACAGGGCGCTGATTGGTGCATTTACAATCCCTGAGCTAGACACAAAGGTTCTCCACTTCCCCACCAGATTAGTCATATACAGAGTATCCACACAAAGGTTCTCTAAGGCCCCACCAGAGTAGCTAGATACAGAGTGTTGATTGGTGCATTCACAAACCCTGAGCTAGACACAGGGTGCAGATTGGTGTGTTTACAAACCTTGAGCTAGATACAGAGTGCCAATTGGTGTATTTACAATCCCTAAGCTAGACACAAAGGTTCTCCACGTCCCCACCAGACTCAGGAGCCCAGCTGGCTTCACCCAGTGGATCCCGCACCGGGGCTGCAGGTGGAGCTGCCTGCCAGTCCCGCGCCGTGCGCCCGCACTCCTCAGCCCTTGGGTGGTTGATGGGACTGGGCGCCGTGGAGCAGGGGGCGGCGCTCATCGGGGAGGCTCGAGCCGCACAGGAGCCCATGGAGTGGGTGGGAGGCTCAGGCATGGCGGGCTGCAGGTCCCGAGCCCTGCCCCGCGGGAAGGCAGCTAAGGCCCGGTGAGAAATCGAGCGCAGCGCCGGTGGGCTGGCACTGCTGGGGGACCCAGTACACCCTCCGCAGCCGCTGGTCCGAGTGCTAAGCCCCTCATTGCCCGGGGCTGGCAGGGCCTGCTGCTGCTCCGAGTGCGGGGCCCGCCAAGCCCACGCCCACCCGGAACTCCAGCTTGCCCGCAAGCGCCGCGCGCAGCCCGGGTTCCCGCTCGCTCCTCTCCCTCCACACCTCCCTGCAAGCTGAGGGAGCAGGCGGCTCTGGCCTTGGCCAGCCCAGAAAAGGGCTTCCACAGTGCAGCGGCGGGCTGAAGGGCTCCTCAAGTGCTGCCAAAGTGGGAGCCCAGACAGAGGAGGCACCGAGAGCGAGCAAGGGCTGTGAGGACTGCCAGCATGCTGTCACCTCTCATATCTATGCTGACTGATGGAGTCAAGTGACAGGTAAGTTTTCTCCTAGACTCTTGGATTCTACAAGGATTGGATCAGGAAAACTCAAGGTAGGGGCACCAGCACATCTCTACACCAAGACTGTACCAAGCACCCACCATCATTCCTGGTCACATTTCATAGTGCACAGGTGGATGGGGGAATTGGATGGTGGCACACACAAAGCACAAACAAAAAGCATACTTTTTATTATATTTAGATCTAATCCTTCACATGTGAATTACATATGAAGAGGAAACATAGCATAAACTGAGTAATATATGTACACTAAAGTTTTACCTCTTCTTCATTTGTGAATAAATATGCAGAGAGAGATATAGAAGACAGAATGGGAGAAAATAATAAAAGATTTTTACTTGTGGAAAAGAGTAGCTGTGCAAATAAAAATAGTTTAACAAACATGAGTCTGAGTCAATTCGTTTTAGTATCAAGTAGATAGATGATAAATAGGTAGATGAAATAATTTTGGCTACTAACCAGCTTTAGAATAAAAATATATTCTTTTTATTATTTTGATCAGGTTTAAATTTGCACCAAAAACAAGTTATGATTTTTTAATTGAAATTTCATTATTGACTAGTATACATAAATGTAGGTTTAATAGATGATTGCAGTGGCTAGTAAGGAGCAGCTAATTCTTTCACCTGGCATAGCTTTTTCTTGAGTAATTATTTTATAATTAGTACTAATTTATAGTAATGAAATGTCTTCCTAGTGAAGGAAATACTGAATAATGTATTGACAGATAGCAAATGTTGAATAAATGATTGAGTATAATTTGAAAGCAATAATTAAATTCATGTTAGTTTGACAGTGAAATACATCGTGTACAAAATTTTCGGAATACATGGTGTTTTTTACGGAAAAATTATGCATTTGTATTCCAAACACAGAGATAGAAATACTCCAAGTATATGATAAAAACAGTATATTTTTCTGCTGATGTAATATATGTTTAGGATCTATGAAACTAGGTGAACATTTCAAACATTCAATCTAGTTAACGTTATTAAATATTATACAGCTTAAAAATATATTCCATATTTGAACAGCTAATGATGATAATACTGTTCATCATTAGAATGTCACAAGTCAGGGCATGACTAAAGTAAGGAGCTAACTAGAAAGTTCTGCCCTAGATTTATTTTAGCACTGATAGTCAGAAATAGGTTGCCTTTACCAGATCTTATCATTTCAACCTATGGATTTATTATTAAGGTGTTTGTATTATCACAGATAAAAATACGTATCTATGTTTGTATGTAGCCTAGAACAAGAACTAAAATATAACAAATTAAAATAGAGAACAAAAATTATCTATATTATTTACCAAAAAGATGTTCTGAAGAGAACAACAGAGAACAAAATATCTCATGTGTCTCATGTTCTAATTATCAGTTTATCAGAGGCATTTGGGAAAGCAGAGGATCACTGTGAATTGAGGCTGTTGAAGTTGGCATAAAAGACTATAGCCTCTGGCCAGGCGTGGTAATCCCAGCACTTTGGGAGGCCGAGACGGGTGGATCACCTGAGGTCAGGAGTTCAAGACCAGCCTGGCCAACATAGTGAAACACCGTCTCTACTAAAAATACAGAAATTAGCTGGGCGTGGTGGCACACTCCTGTAATCCCAGCTACTCCGGAGGCTGAGGCAGGAGAACCGCTGGAACCCAAGAGGCGAAAGTTGCAGTGAGCCGAGATCGCACCACTGCACTCCAGCCTGGGTTACAGAGTGAGATTCTGTCTCCAAAGAAAAAAGAAAACTATAGCTGCTGAGCTGGGATTCAGTGGGTATGTAAGAGTCACAGGGTAAACAGATCTACCCTGGATTTTGTGAAAAATATAAGCAAAGGGAAGTAAGCACAGCTTGGAGTACCACCATCTAATAGAAATGTCAGCCACAAATGCAAGCCACATGGGTAATTTTACATCTTCTAGTGGCCACATTAAGAAAAGTAAAAACAAACAAGTGAAGTTAAATTTAATAACATATTTAATGTAACCCAGTATATTCAACATATGATCTGAACTAGTAATTAATATAAAAATTATTAATGAGATATTTTACATTTTCAGACAATGCTTCTGAAATCCAGTATGTATTTTATACTGATAGCCTGTCTCAAAATGGACTAATTGCCCTCCAAGTGTTCAATATCGACATATGGCTGGTGGGTGTGGAAGGTCAGCTTCATTCACTCTCCTCAGGCCTGACTGGCTATGTATTTTCATAAGTGAAGAATTTTCTGGTGAATTCATGCGATGCGTTCATCAGAGAATAAGAAACGCAAACCATACTGATAGTTTAGAATAATGTACAAATTTTATAAAAGGCTAGGCGAAAAGACCCCTGTCTCGTTAGGCCTCTCTGCTGCATTTGCCACTGTAGACTACTTCTTAAAGCTACCCACTGATGCCTTCTCTCCTATTTCAGTGACGAGTGCACATTTTGCTTCTCAGTTAGGTCCTCTTTTTCTGCCCTTCAGTGTTAGTGTTTTACAAGGTACTTTTTTTAAAACCCCTTCTTTGTTCTCATTCTACAGACTTTCCCAGGAGTATTTCAAGCTCTCATATATGCTGATGTTACTCAAGTCGTACCTCTAAGCTTTGCATCTGTTTTAAACTCTTCACAACCTCATCATCCTTCCTTTGCCACATATTCCTCTAGTCCATATTTCATGTTGTCATCACCATTTGTTCAATTAGAAACCCGATGGTGAGCCTTGATACTTCCCACACTCTTGCTAATAATCAGCAAATCCTGCTGATTTTACCAACTAACTATATATTGGTCCTTCCGTTCCTACATTTCTACTAAAACTGTTTCACTTCCTTTCCCTACTATCTATTTCTTGGAATGAGGCAAAGATCTTCATTGATTCCCTGTTCCATTAATCATATACCCTCAAACCCATTCTCCCAATTTCTAACAAGGGAATGTAAAATGAACATCGATCATCTTTACTCTCTTGCTTAAAACATTTCAGTGGCTGCCACTGCCTAAAGAAAAAGGTCCAGGGCCTCTAGTCCTCTTTATTCCCTTGTTCTTTAATTTTATTCCCTTATTACTTTCTGAATCAAACTTCACACCCTATCAATACAGAACCCCATGTAGCTTGCCACAAACATCAAGCAGTGTGTGCCTATTGAACCGTGTGAATCATGTTTACATAACTCCTTTTGCCCTCCACTTTCTTCAGCCCTGGACTCTTTTCAGCTATCAATAGCCCACATGTGTATCAAATCAATTTTTAAGGGTTATAAATTGACCACCATCAAAAACTGCTTCAGACTAAAATGGATTCTCTTGTTACAGCTATTGCAGTATTCAACATATATATTAAATTATCTTATGTAATATGGCTCCACCACTAAGTTGTACATATGTAGAGGGTAGTAATCAGTCATGTCCTATCTACTTTTGTATCTCTGATATCTAGCACAGCGCTTTTTATAAGGATTTTCTGAACTCAACTGCAATCAGGCTAGAAACACAACCATTTTGTATGTTCACTCTCACATACAAACGTGTTCACATGTACACGCAAACAGAGTCAGGGCTACTTAGGTTAAACACAACACATATGAAGAGACCAAAATATTTTCTCAAATTAAAAGTTGAATATATGTGACAACGATGCAGCTCCCACAAAACTTGATTTGTGTTTCGACTGCCTTATTTAAAAATTATATGACACTTTCAACTCTAAAATTCCTTGTCTGCACCTGAAACATTGCGTTTAGTTCTTGGTAAACAGACACAAAAAGAGCCATAGTGATTAGTGTTGAAATATCCTCATACAATCCACGGTACCAATTAACCTCTCTAACCCTCAGTCTCCTCACCTGCAAAATGAGGAAATTAGGCCTCTGAGAACCTTCTTGGATCTCAGATGTTTTTAATTAAATGCCATGTCAAGATAAGGAATAAAGAACAGAAGGAGTAGAGTGAGAGGAAATAAAACAAAACTTGCTTACCTCTCAATGTGTGCTTCATGCACCTATTAAAACACAGATACATCATTTTGATTAAAACAAATTTATGAATCTAAACTTTTCAAAATGCGTGAGTGTTTATATGACATTACAGAAATACAGGAGAAGGTGAATATGTTTTATTCCTTATAAATCCAATAGGTATTAAGTAACAATGCCTATAAACATTAATAATCTTTGTTTTATTTTTCTATCCCCAAGATAGAAAGAGTTGCTTTAAGATAATGTTGAATCTGAAAGGAATTTAATTCCTTATGTGGCCATTCCCAGAAAATCAATGGGATAATGCTGAGATGTCAGTGCACTTTCATTTTGTTAGTCATGTCATGTATTAAAATCTTCATATTATTGTATGTGAAGTTCTGAGAGCCATTAAAAATATATGAACTCACTGTGGCCTTAAGTGGTACCTAGAACATTTTTGTGTGCATTGTTAGTGTGCAATAAATTATTATTAGCTGAATTATGAACACTCTAGTAAAAAGTGTTCCATAAAGCATAATGGTATAGTTTTAGAAACATCACCAATGACCAAAAATACACTGAAAAGCAAAGTTTATGATGACAGTAGATAGAGTGATCTCTGCTATTTTGGCAGTTTCTGTAGGTAAACATTAGTTTAATTAAATATTCTTTTATGTAAAGAGCAGTATTTATTGAAAAGATGCTGACAGTACAGTATGAATAAAATAAAAATAGACAGCTCACTCTTCTTTTCATCCCATGTCCAAAATAACTTCCTGGATGAAACCATTGATCATAGTTTGGTATGTAAAGATCTCCATACTTTCTATGTTATTGTAATGGGATGTCAAGTGTAACTTTTCCCATTCTACTGGAATTATTAGAAGCCGGAAGTGAGAGCAAAAGGTTACATGCTGACAATTAGAGCAAATGTCTTAACCTCTCTGATCTTCAGCTTCTTCATGTATACAGTGGGAACAATAATGCATTTTCTTCCTAACTCATAGTATTTTTTCTTTTAATTGATATAATGCATGCAAAAGCAGTCTATAATTATAAATCATTACATAAATAGGATATTATTCTGATTTGTGTAGAATAAAAATAAGCTTTCCACAATATAATGCCAAAAACAGGCAAGGAGTCCTTTAAACCTATAAAAATATAATAGGCTTAAATACATTAATTAATTTAAATGTAAATTTTGTGTTGAAATAAGTCAAAATGCCTGTTCAACTGAAGAGCTTTTACTAAAACCAATATTTTTTAATATTTCAAAAACTATTTATGAAATTGCCATATATTATATAGCCTTTAAAACTTATAATGTTTTTTCTCTTGTTTCAAAATAATCTATTAAGTGAACTTTAGAATATAATCACATGCTGTACATTACCCTTATAACAATAAAAGGCGTGGACAAATACAGAAAATAATGTGCCTAAAATGGAAATAGTTGCAATTAGCTTGTGGAACTGCAACTTTTCAACACTTTACAAGTTTTTTGTTTAAAACATGTATTATTGTGTATCTCTTAATTTAAATACAGGGAAAAGTGAGAGAAAATCGAAGTTCTAGAAGTTACTTCTTTACTACTTCTACTATACTTCTACTATACTTCTTTTACTTCTACTATACTTATACTTCTACTATACTTCTTTTACTACTACTTCTTTACTATAAGGAGATAAAAAAATCTGCATATACTCATATAAGAAGTTATCTCAGTGATCCTCTTAGTCTTACTTTGTTCAGAGTGTTATAACAAAATGCTATAAACTGAGTGGGTTACAAACAACAGAAATCTGTTTTTGAAAGTGTAGAAATCCAAGTTTCGTGTATGGTGAGGGCCTGCTTTCTGATTCACATATGATGTCTTCTTGCAGTGTCTTCCAGTGGCAGAAGGGGCTAGCTCTCTCTGGAACCTCTCTCATAAGGGTACTAATCCCTATCATGAAGGCGGAGCCCTCATGACCTAATGACTTCCCAAAGGCCCCACCCCCTAATTACCATCACCTTGAGGGTTAGGATTGCAACATGTGAATTTGAACACTCAATCTACAGCAGTCCTATCATAGCCCATCTCTAAAAACATAGTGGGAGTAAAAGGGGGAAAGGGATTCTTTCCATAGTGGCTTTGGACTTCACTAATACTGTTTATTTGTCTTTGCTTTTTAACATTATTTCTTCAAGACCAGAGCTCACAGTAGCTTGAAGAATTTTGAACTCTTGCTCAGACCCTCCTTAATTTGGGACAGGAAATGTTTTTTAGCTTTGTAGGAATCATTATCATTGGATACAGTGTTTGAAGAAAAATCGTGTTTACGGAAGTGTCTGTTTTCCTGTCACTTCTCTTCTTTCTGTCAGGGACATAGAGAGGACCAGGCCCAGATCTACCTTCCCAAAAATACAAGTCTAACAAAGAAGGCGAAAGACTTGGATGTCAGCATGTCAGCATGAATACTGTCTTCAACGCACGGATGCCAGCTAGATAGAGTCTTCATTCTTCATGTTAAAATTGCACCAGCTGTATTGAGTGGGGGGCTGAGGGGACATAGCATGGTGAAAGTTGAGGCTGAAGGGGTCAGAAAAGCCTAGAGCAGCACATCCAGAAGCTTCAGAATTGTTCTGTGGGAAATAAGTAGCCATGGAATGGTTGAAACAGGAGGTCACCCAAGCAACCAAAAAGGATAGGCCAAGGAGGGGGCCATAGAAACAGGAGAACAAGAATCCCAGGGATTGGAGAACACTAAGTCCAGTCAATTTTCTTTGCATCTAGGGAAACTGAGGGCAAGAGAGGAAAAGAGACTTGTCCATGGTCACCAGTTGGCTTCTGAGGTTCAAAATAAGGGGGATGGGGAAATCCAAAGAAGATCTGTTCTTACTCTCTGAAAAGGACAAGCAAGTGATCGTGGGGTCGCTAATTGGAACAACCAAGGACTAGATGGGCCACTTTGGGGGTTTGGTGGGTGGGAAACGGCAGCAGCAGGAATGTTTATTTTGATCAGCTTCTCTCATTTCATCTCCTCCTCCTACCCTCTCCCACTGAGAAAGCTTCCCTGTGTGCTGGCTGTAGACGCCGCCCCCTCCCCAACACACCTGCCCTGGCCCCACACAGCCACAGTGCTGGGTCACTGCCAAGGCACAGGACAGCCAGATGATTCATGCAAATGGCAAATCTACAAAGAGTACATTTCTGCTCTTAACTAAGGCCTGCAGAGGCTGCAGCAGCCCAGAATCCATCTCCATAAACATCTTCCTGTAACTCCACCTCCTTCAGACTGCAGACAGGGTTAGCAGATCTGAAAGGGGGCAAAGCAGGGGCCTGCAGGGCCCAGGCATAGGGGTCAGGGTGGCTATGCCCTGCTGCTGTCCCAGCCTGGGGAGATGCTGCCTCTTTTCACATCTGATCGCTCCCATCTTCCATTAAGCTCTGTCCATGGGCTATTTGTATTTTACTTTTCAGTTGAACTGAAACTACATTATGTTTCAGGAATTTTAGTTTTATATATATATATATATATAAAATGCACTAGATTAAATTCCAAAAGCTGCCATTTTAATTGGATTTAAATATTACCAAACTTTATGAAAAACTGGAAATTTTCTTATTCACAAATAGCCAAAATCGACAGGGATGATACATAAAATAGCCTTAAAATGCTATTAAAAGCACATCTTTTCCCAGATAATTTTACTTCATGAGACTGACCTAGAACTCTGATCTCTATAATCTGTCTAGTTTTTAGATACATTAATGTTTAGTCTTTAAACTGGACAAAAAATATTGTGAAAGATAATTCCAAAATCAGCCTGTAACCCATTGCATCTCAGTGGATTTGGCAGCCTGATCTTTTCTCTGGTGTAACCCTGGCATCCCTGGTTTATTTAATTCTTTAAACTTTAATTAAAAAACAGCAGGAAAAGCCAAGAAGATAAGGCAGATGAAAATCCCTTTATAGCCTGAAATACACTGAATACCAGTTTGAGAGAATGAGAACAAATTTTGTTCAAAAATGAATGTGACCCATGAAAATGTATTTCTTGTGGTCTATCATTTTGCAGAGAAAAACCATACCAATCTTTTGTCTTGTTGCACTAGAAATATCAGAATCAAGCATCTGAAAAACTTGTTTATCAGAAATACAATTCTTTTACCTAGCTTTTTCCCCCTTTTCCAGTATTATTTAAGCTTGTTGTTAAATCTACTGTATTGTGGTGTCAGATTCATAGGCTTGCAATGCAATCTCCACTGAATGATGTGGCCGTTTCAATAATGTAGCAAATATGAGAATTTTGCTGTTGGTTTGTTGAAGGGCAAATTAACCTTCTAGCAATCTTCTGTGATATAGAAGTGATCTATTTGTAATAAAACTATAACCTGAATTGGGATCCAGAGGTTAATAAAAACAAGACACACTACCTAGCCCAGTGCCCTGTACATCAGATGCATTGAATACATGTTTACTGCATGTATAGATGAATAAATAAATAAGTAAATGCAAAAAGAAAGTGTTTGGGGAGGAGGAAAATAAAATGACTTTTAATACTAAAGAATATTTCTAGAAATTAATCTTGATAAAAATTTTTTAATAATTTCCATCTTTTCCACTGGTATAGTTAGTACATTTTAAGCTCAATTTCTTTATTGAGATAGACAAATCAAATATGCAGGCTTACTTATTTGGTTGTATTAACTTATTTTCATGAACCAAGCACAATTATGGACCATCACAACAAGGCAGTTTTGCTGTGTCTCACAAGGAGAATTTTAGGAAGGACCAGTGGTCTCTGAAAGTTTGCAAACTAGAGGCAGAAAACAAGGAAAGAGTGAAACTATAAATCACAGGAACAAATGCATTCACCCAGGACATGCACTCTGCTTTTTCCACAATCGAGTGAAACAGCTGTCTTCTGTGTTTACCTTTCCTACTGTTGGTGGCATTATCATTCTCCCAGGCATCCCATCACAGACTTGGAGCTCATTTTATAGCTTCCACAAAACACTGCCTGACTGCTTTAGTTTGTCTTCTCCCCTGGAAATTCTGGCTTAAATTTTTATACCCCAAGAACATAGTTCCTTTAAGAGAAAGGTTAACTCTCTGACCCATGCTTCTCCTTCTCCCTGAAAGTTGTATAAGTTCAGGTAGTCTTGAGTCATGCCAGGGTCCAAAGACCTTCAAAGAACAATTTCTCTAGGACCACTCTATCTTCACTCCACCTTATTTGTTTGATGCTCTTAGCTGATCTTGATTTCTGATTTTCTTACAAACCTAGCTTTGTCTCAATGTTCAGACAGGTGTCCCCCTGCATTCTGCTTATTCCAGGGTGGAGAACCTAAGACACTGCCCTTCTTGTTCCGATACATGACATATGTGTTCTAATATATGACATATCTCCTATCGTTTTTCCATGGCTTTACAGTTGCTGGTGGCACACCCCCTGGCGTGTTAACCAGAACTCATAATCTCTGCTGAGGTTATCCTGCTGTTCTTTAAGATCCTTCTTTAAGTTATATCTACTAAAGTCTCCTATTATGACTCTACAACTCTTCGCAGCTCTTTTTATTTTTCTCAGATGCAAGTGAATATTGGTCTCTTGTACTAACTAGTGTCAGTATCAATGGTGCAAGACTGGTGATGGAGTAATAACTGGTGCTGTTAATTGTCATTTTCTGAGTACCAAAAGACGTCTGTGTGGTCCTGAAGTCTTCAAGTGCACTGTGCATTATTTATATACTAACTAAATAGGACAATTTTACTCCTTAAATAAGCATATAATGTTAGGATTTATAAAATAGAAATGCTTCAGTTGTGGAATTCAGATTAACTTGTGTCATTATTTACTTCTTCCATAGGTGCACAGTAATAGTACTAGCAGCAGAATTGCTGTTATGTGCAATTTGAGACATCCCACACACCTTTTCCATATTGATATAGGTCATCAAATATACCCAATGTATGATGAGAGACTTTCTGATTATTCATCATTATTGGGTTGACTGCTGCTCATAGAATTTTGCTTGTATTTTCTTTATTTGCTCTCACAAATAGAACCTATTAGCAGGATTTATTACTATCCTTGTTTTGGAAATGAGAACAATAGAGCAAAAAAGACTTAAGTAATTCACCTAAGCTCACACTATAAGTAATTGAAGAGAGACAGGAAATCAAGCAGTTTTACTGGAGAGCCAGTGCCCTTAAGCACTTTACCTCATAGAGTTTTTTTCCCTGTATGCCAAGGTTTGTATCAAATTCACTATTGGCTTATGTCAATTTGGCTATTAATAAATATTTTTTGACAGTGATGATGAGAATGCCAAAAGATATCACAGATAGTTCTGGCAGCAGGAGAAAAAAAAGAAAAAAAGAAAACTCGAGGCTGTGTGTATGTGTGTGTGTGTGTGTGTGTGCGTGTACATAAGCCAAAAAGCAAACGTTACTTAGAAAGTTAATCAATATTTTGTTAAGCACCTAGTAGACGTTGGCATTGTATTCACTGGCAACCAACCATAGTTGCTTCCCTGAAACAGTGTCTAGCCAAGTTAGGGAGACAGTCAAAAGTAATATTTTGTTGGTAGTAGAGGTGTCATAGGACACCTTAGGAAGCATAGAGCATTCATAGCAAGGAAGGCTTCCGGCCATACATAGCAGGGAAGACTTCTGGAAGAACAAAATAATTAAGCTCAGAAATAAGGACATAAGTCAAACTTTTTCACGTTAAAGGGTCCTGATGGAGAGTGATCAGTCCATGCAGAGAGAGAAAAGAGTGTACTGGAAATTGTGGAGGGTTGCTGTTGTGCAAAGCAGGAGTGACAGGGAGGGGTCTGAAGTGATCTCCTATTTATGAGATGTTTTTATAACTTTCTATGAAAATCCCTCATCCTCTGGGAATGAGTCTGTAGAAATGGTGGGCACCAGTAACAGTGTTTTTCCCACCTGACTCTGCCCTGTAGCCACTGTTGATAGATCTAAGGGTGGGCAAGTGACCCAAAGTGCCACATTTGAAGTCTTTCCTAGGATTTCTCAAACTGGCACCAATAAGAGCAAAGCATTTCCTTCCCAGTGATTTGAACTTCTAAGTCAGTGTGACATAAGAAGTCTTTGTTTCTTCTCATAGAATAGAAGATGATTTGGAGTAAGAAAGAAGCAAGAATAAGAAACAAAGTGAGTACTGGAAAAATGTTTCTCCCGAGAAACAAGGTCCAGGAGAAACCGTGGATATTTATGATGCTCCAGGTTTATCCTTTCAAATTTCCAATTTGCCTAAGTGTTTAGGGTTGGATTCTTGCTCCTTGAACCCAAAGAATCAAACAATAAAATGATTCGTTAAATTGGTGCAATGTGTGTTGTATGTGTATGAGACCGGAACCCTCTAAGAGCTCAAAGTGGCAAGGGGCAGAGATAATATAAAGGTATGTTTTCTAGTTGGTCAGTACATATCACGAGCATAGAGAAAAAATGTTGATTTAGGACAGAACATCCTGAAATAAAGAAATATCATGAGATCTCTTCTTAAAAGAGTTCAGAATTTGTTTTTATTATCAGAAATTCTTTGGTGGCAAAAGCAATTCACAACATCTGGAGCAGAATGTAAGCCATAAGGCAGACATAACCTTCCCCTGTACTTGGAGTCAAGGTACAGAGAATTTTCGTATATCCCTTACCCTCACACATGTGTAGCCTCCTTGATTGTCAACCTCCCCCTCCAAGCAATACATGTGTTTCAACGGATGAATCATACACTGATACATCATTATCACCCAGAAAGCATAGTTTACCTTATGATTCACTCTTGGCCTTGTACATTCTGTGGGTTTGGATAAAGGTATAATGACATGTACCCACCATTATAGTGTCATACAGGGTAGTTTCACTGCCTTAAAAATCTACTGTGATCTGCTTACTCATTTCCTCTTCCCCCAACTTCTGGCAACCATTGATGTTTTTACTCCATAGTTTTGTCTTTTCCAGAATGTCATATACTTGGAATTATATAATATGTAACATTTTCAGATTAGCTTCTTTTACTTAGTAACATGCACTTAAGTTTCTTCCATGTGTTTTTGTGGCTTGATAGCTCATTTCTTTTTAGCACTAAGTAATATTCCATTGTCTATGTGTAGCACCATTTTTTAATCCATTCATCTACTAAAGAACATGTTGGATACTTTCAAGTTTTGGCAATTATTAATAAAGTTATAAGCATTCCTGTGCAGGGGTGTGTGTGTGTGTGTGTGTACACTAGTCTTCAACTCCTTTGGATAAATAGCAACGAATGTGATTAGTGAATTATATAGTAAGAAAATGTTTAATTTTGTAAGAATCTGCCAAACTGTCTTCCAAAGTGGGTGTACCATTTTGCATTCCCACCAGCAATGAATGAGAATACTTGTTGCTCCACATCCTTGCCAGGATTTGATGATGTCAATGTTTTTGATTTGGGCCATTCTACTAGGTGTGTGATAGTATCACACTGTAGTTTTAATTTGCATTTCTCTGATGATCATATGATGAGGAGCATCTTTTTGTATGCGAATTTGTCATCTATGTATCTAGAATAGTGAGCCCAGAAATAGACCCACATAAATACATACTTTCTCTACTGGTCTTTGACAAATGAGCAAAGGCAATACAATGGGGAGAAGGTAGTGTTTACAATAAATAATGCTAGAACAACTGGACAACCACACTAAAAAAAAAGTGAATCAAGACACATACCTTAAACCCTTCACAAAAATTGACTCACAATGGATCATAGAACTAAATATAAAATCCCAAACTGTAAAACTCCTAGAGGATAGCAGAGAAGAAAATCGAGATAATTTAGAGTTTGGTGATGACTTTTTAGATACAACATCCATGGCACGATCAATGAAATTAATAACTGAGATGGATGTCATTATAACTTAAATTTTCTTCTCTGTTGAAGATATGTCCAAGAGAATAAAAAGAGAAGAAACATACTGGAAAAAAAGATTTGCAAAAGACGTGTCTCATGAAAGACCGTTATCCAAAGTACAAAAGGAAGTCTTAAAAACCAAGTTACCAAAGAACACACTTTAAAAATGAGCCAAAGACTTTAATGGGTACCTCATCCATTATATGATTACCTTAGGCATAATTTGAATTAGTTTCCTTAGACACAGATTTTACTATGTTTAGTGTCATTAAATAGCCTAGTGTCTTCTGACACTGGGAAGTGCTCAGAGATGGAGGTGTATGCTGTTACTGGAACTAGGAGTCACAGAGTCACAGAGGGTATTTTCCTCCTCTACAGCCCAGTTGTATCTATTAATGTACTTTTTACCCAAATGGCTGACTTTGCTTGCCCAACACAGAAAAGTGGTGAGTTAGAAAAGTGAATCAAGGTCTGATACTCAGTAAAGCCCGAATTGAGAGGTGAAAGAGTAAGTGTTATTGTTGAAGTGGTGGAATTGGAGCTGAAGATGAACTTGTCAAGGAAGCCCCTTGAAGTGTCTTTGGAATACATGCTAGTTGGTGTGACCAATAGACAACTGATAGATAGATGGTGTCTAAATCTTCAGAAGTGATGTGGCCGGAGGTGAAGAATCAAAACTTGGTGCATGTAGATGATAATTTCTGCAAAAGGACTGTAAGAGATTGCTCAGGATAGGGCACGGCACATCAACAAACTGGAGAAGGTCAGGCATGACCAGCCTCTTATTAATATAAACAAAAATCTCTTTTTTAGGTTTCATGGAAGAACTGCATATTTAATCTTTAATAATAATAAATGTGCTCTTTTAAACATTTTTACTGAAGACCCTTGATGTTTTCATTCTACCATGACATACACACCACTATCTTCTTTTGTCCGGAGCCCAGGTGAAATCTAACCACCCATGAGTAAAATAGTGAATTTAGGAAATACTGTCTTCACCTTCTATATCCATTACTTTCCTGACTAATTTCCATTCACTGGTATCCTTCTTTGACCCCCTGTCTACCTAGAATGACTACAAAGTAACAAGCTTGGGAAAAAGCTGATACTTTTAGTCAGATAAGTCTTCCAATGCCTTTTAAATGATACTGCAAAGAAAGCTGTAGAGTTTCCCTGGGCTTAAAGCCAGCTCTGCTGGCATCCTTCCTAGACTATTTTATCTAAAGACATTCTCTCATTGGATACCCCTCTGTTTGAACACATTTCTTTAGGCTTGGCACAGAAATAAAAGAAAGATTTCACATGGCATAGTAAGCTGAATAATGGTCCCCAAAGGTATCAGGTCCTAATCCTTGGAACCTGTAAATGTTACTTAACTTGGGGGAAAACATGTGTCATTTCAGATGCGATTAAAATAAGAATTTTGAGATGAGGGGGTTATCCTTGATTATGTGGTTGGTCCCTAAATGTCACCACAAGTATCCTTATAAGCGCAAGGCAGAAAGAAATTTGACGTATACGCAGAAGAGAAGACAATGTATACATGGAGTATAGAGAAGTGATATGGGCATACATCCAGGAATGTTGGCAGCCACTAGAGGCTGGAAGAGAAAAGGAAGGAGACTTCCCTAGAGCCTCCAGAGGAAGCATGGTCCTGTAACACCTTGATTTTGGCCCAGTAATGCTGACTTTGGACTTCTGGCTTTCAGAACATGTGAGAGAATAAATTGCTTTTGTCTTCAACCACCAAGTTTGTCGTCTTTTTTTACAACACCCACACGAAACTAACATACATGAGACCAAAACCTACCTTTTATGTGCTTCTCTGTCCCCTTTGCCCATCGTTTATATCTAGTTGGTCTTGCTCTCTATATGACCTTCCACATGTATCTATGTAAATTTTATTTTAATTGCAACCTGTCTGTATTTCAGATTCAGCCCTGTGCTCTGTTCAATCCACAATATCACCCTGGAGAAAAAAAGAGAAAAGAATGCACGAGGAGCAAACTTTATCAAGCAGTAGCCACTCACACTAAAAATGAAAACAATAAATCGGTGTGTATTTTTTAGAAATAAAATTGTTATTTTAAAAAAATACAGGTTAAGTTAAACAAGAGTTGGATATTCTACAGTAGAAAAATTATTAGTTCCCAAGTTTTCAGTTATGATTTTATAATATGTGATCTTTCCCATAGGCACTTGAGTTTTTCTTTGCATATTGTGACAGTCAGGGTGTCAGTGATAGCAGATATCCATGTAGCAGGGTCACTGGTGCTTGCCAACTATTTTAATCCTCCACACACACATTTCCTGGCACCCTTTCATTTAAGTATGCCATGCCCATGTCAATGAAATATGAGCAGCAGTGACACATGTCAATCTTTGCCTGAGGCAGTTAAATTTCTTAGGGCTATTTTCCAGGGGCTCTGCTTCTCTATAGCAGTGACCAAGGAGAGCATGGGTAGCAAATAGTGTATTTGGAACATGATGGAGCCTCCGTCAGCCAGAGGGTGAGTCCTGCTGACCTGTGTGGACCTGTAATGGGAGAATTAAATTTTCATTGTGTTTAACCACTTTGATTTTTGTGCTGGCTATTGCAGCACATCCTAGCCTACTGTGATAAAGGGAGGGTGTTTCTTTCCTGTTCCTAGGTTTCTGAGAATACTAGTGTTCAAATCGAGAACTGGTAAAGAATTTGAACTTACTTATGATTTCTTAGTAACTTCTCATGAAAGAAATTCAAAATTCAGAAGAAAATACCTCATTAGCTTAACCTGAAATTTAGCACAATCTGAGATAATGAGAAATAGTGGATTTTAAAGAATGAATGAGAGTACATAATTTATGTGCAATAGTATATACATGTTCATAAACACATTTTAATTATGACTGTGAGACACATACACTCATCTTATATTCCTTTCAACAGGTTTAAACTCTCAATTTCTTGCCAAAAGTGGTAGCTGGGAAATGTTGTTTTTAAAAAGTACAATATAAAAAATGTTGTTTTAAGAAACTATAACGCAACTTGTTTTGCTTTAAGTAACTACGTTGATAGAATTTTACAAATCTTAGGAATTTTAAATAGAAAAAGTCTTAGAAGTTCGATGATGTATTTCAGTATTAAAAGTTATTTTCGTTATGGTTAGTAATACGCTTGAAATAGAGCTATACAAGATCATGGTTAATAATATATGCATAGTAATAGTTTTATGTCAAGATATTTTAGAGACAAAATATTGCTAATATAACTAAAATATTTGACCGATTCATTTAGCTAAAACAACAAACTGGTTAGGAAGATTGACTTTTTATGTACGGAAAAATAGTTACTAATTCATCATATCTTCTGAACCATGGATAATCTGTAGTTTCTTGTCCAAGAATTCCACATTAAAGATGTTCTCATTGAAGTTCTCCATCAGATGTGAAAGCTTACAGAATTCTCCAGAGAGCTTTATAACAATCAGACTTACAACCGCTTAAACAATGTGTCATTATTTAAAATCTTTAATAGTAAATATGAAATGCACACAATTGAAACAGAAAATAGCAAGCAGAAATCCCTCAGGAAGTTGACTATAGGGATCATTCTTGAATAGAAAAATTTAATGATCCATAAAAATAGAATAATAATCAAATTTCTAGATATAGGAAGACATTAATATAATTATAGCAGAGGTACTAAGAAGATCATAGTACTGTGGGGAAAGGTCAACTGTGTTGATAAGCAAGTAAAATCATTATTTTGAAACTAATAAAAATTCTTCCATTTTATTGAAAGTCATGTCTATCTAAAATCTCTTTCTATTAAAACTTAACTGGAAATCTGATCTATGAGGTTGTGTGTGTGACTGAATTGCACCAATTTCCCACCTGATGTATTGCAATGAATATATATAGCAGTATTTCAAAGTCAACATTTATTTATTTTAAATAATCTTTAGTGTATTCAAGGGCCAAAATGAAATATCAAAAGGGATATTGAAAGATAAAATAGCTTATGCAAATGGAACAAATTGAGGTGAGAAGAAAGTATCCCCTTGATTCCCTTCATCTTGTATTTAAAAGTAACAAATCTGAAGTCATTTAGTAAAACACATTTCCAGCTCAACAAAATTCATACATAATTTTCACTTCCATATGAGGCTTCTTATATTCAGTCAGTTTAATTATCTACAACCCTTGAATGACATTTTTTAATCCTCTGTGGTTCACTGAAAACCCTTGTAAAATATAACTAAGTAGTGTGTTCATTAAAATGTCAGAAACATTTTCAAGTCCAAGTAGTACAGCATATTATTCCTAAATGTAGTAATAATACAATAACTATGCCAGGAGGGTGTAATTAGCAACTATTTGAATGAACAATTGTCTTAAATTATTCAGCATCTTCATGCATAGAATCTTAATTAAGAAACAAAATTATTTTTAAGTTCATCCATAGGAAAAAATATGAAAATAAGCTTAATAAAGAATGCAAGTTGGATGAGCCTATTTAATATGTTTTATACATAAAGTAGCTGCAATTGTTTTGACAGGACACTTCAAATGTCATTAATGTTGACAGAATATTACAGTTTACACAGAATTTCAAAAAATGTGGCAGTGATTGTATTCTACTTGTATCTTCACTGTAATTGTTGAGAATATAGAATTGAGAGTACCAATTGCCATATTCGGTTGAGTGTGCATTAACTTTCAACAGAGGTATAATCAAATCCTTGGGTGACAATCTTGTATCTCTTCATCACCAGGCCTTGCTCAAGTTTTGTTACAGGGGCATCAAGGACTATTGTTGACACATATGTGAGTTTTCCAGGGGCTCTGCTTCTGGAATCATACAAAACATGATCACTAACAAATATAATAATATTACATTAGAAATTAATAACATTAGGATATAGAGCAAAAGAAAAGTGAAAACATATATGAGTCATTCAGATGGCTAGCATTCCTTAGCAGCTACTGAGTGGGTTTGTATAGGAGTAGATGTTATTTTGAAACACATAAACATCTTGAGCTAAAACTTCCTCTCTTGCCTCTGCCTGAAAAAGAGAAACTGGGCTTGTTGCCTCTCTGTTTACCCTACCACAGTGGCTGGACTATCTTTAGGAGACCATCATGTTCCCTAAGTAAAGAAATTTCTCCCAGTCTACCTTAAGTAGCTGGATTTTGAAATAATTACAGTAAATGTAGGGGCACCAAAATGTTCCATAAATAGACTAAACACTACAGTGAAAAGAAAGAGATTGAGAAACTGGAAATTTTAAAAAGGAAGATACAATTATGTATTATATTAGAGAAACAGTTTAAGGATAATACTAATTGAAAATATAAGGGTATCATTATGATACCCAAAACACCAACAATAACAAAGCTGATGCAACTGATGTAGACTTCAAAACAAAGAGGGATATTTCATAATGACAAAAGCATCATGTTATCAAAAAGACACACTTCTAAATGTGTATGTACCCCCCCAAAAAAGCTTTAAATGCATTAAGCAAAATTTGACAGAACTTAAGGAAGAAATAAATCAACAAACATGATTAAAGACTTTAACATCCATCTCAATGAATGATAGAACAAGTCAAGGGTAAAATAAAGCAAATGTATAGGATATTTTAAAAATGCAATCAACTAACTTGGCTTATTGACATTTATAGAATATACATCCAGCGATCAAAGAATACACATTTTTTTCTATTGCACAGGAAATGCTCATTAAAATAGATTATGTTTGGCTATAATATCTCTAACATGCATCTTAATATATTACAAAGGATTGAAATCATACAAAACATGATCACTAACAAATATAATATTACATTAGCAATTAATAACATTAAGATATAGAGGAGAAGAAAAGTGAAAACATTTCAAAAGAATTCATTAGTCAAAGAAAAGTAAAAAGGAAAAATATAAACATCTTAAAAGAATGTGATTAAAATATAATATAAAACATTTAGGGGTTACAGCTAAGGTTTAATAATTAGAAGAGATGTATAAAATCAGTTATCCAAGCTCTTCCCTTAAGAAGATAGAAAAAGAAGAATAAAATAAATGGTGTCAGAATAACAAAATTTTTATGGAGAAAAAAGGAAACCTCGACCCCTTACCTCAGTTTATAAACAAAAATTAGTTTGAGATGCCTCTTAAACCTAAACATATAAGCTAGGACCATTATCCTTCTAAACGACAACATAGGAGACTATCTTTTTCACTTTGCGGTAAAGATTTCTTTAACAGAACACAAAAAGCACTAATTTTGAAAGAAAGAAAAAAGTCATATGGAATTTCATCAAAATTTAAAATTTCTGCTTATCAAAACTTGCCATTAAGAAAATAAATAAGCCACAGACTGTAAAACATATTCAGAGTTCATATATCTTCAAAGGATTCATATTCAAAATACATAAAGTCATTTAAAAAAACACTTAAAAGACAGCCAGCCAAAATTTGAAATTAAGCAAAATATTTAAATGAACACTTTACAAAAGAAGATACATGAATAAGCAATATACGCATGAATAAGTGCTCAATATCATAGTCAATAGGGAAACACATATTAAAAACACGAGATCCCATTTCACATTCACTAGAACATTTAAACAGGCAGACAATTCTATCTTAACGTCAGTGAGCGTATGGAGCAAATGGAACTCACATCTATTGCCATTGAAGAACAATCGGTAACTTCCTATAAAATTAAATGTCACTTGACCACATGACTTAGCAGTTCTATTTCGGGGTATTTACCTAACAAAAATAAAAACACATGCCCAGAAAAAAGATGTGAAAAAGAATGTTTAAAGTAGCCATATTAATAAATAGCTAAAAATTGAATCAAACTCCCCCCATAAAACTCCCATAAACAACAGAAGAATATACAAACTATACAATCAAATATTACTCAGCAATAAAAATCAATGGACTACTGATACATCTCAAAATAAAAAATGGTATAAGGTTAGACACTCAAGTATACTCACCCTGTTCAAGCATTCCTTATGTAATGTATCTATCGAATCTCATTTGATAGACGTTGACATTGATTGACTGGCATAGAGCGATTGCTAATAAATGTTTGTTGACTGCATTAATGTGGTATAATTGAGTAACAAGGCACAGAGAGTTCAGATTTGGCCACCAATTAGCTATGTGATTTCTGACTTCAATTCCCCTAATTATAACTACTTCAGATTTACTAGTTTCAGATACTAGTTTCAAATGTCTGTGATTGTATAAATCTAAGTGACTTGCCCGAGGTCACTTACCCATCTGGTGATAGAGCTCGTACTGAGACCTGCTATTAAAATAAGTTTTCTTTTAAAACAATTATCTTTCATGCCAACTACAGTTTTGAGCTGCAGAATATATGCTGAAGGGATTCATTTTATAGTATTGGCTGCTATTGATTCCTCAAGCCAGTTTCAATGATAACAGCCGACAGTGCCATCTTCAGATTAAATACTGCAGCTAGGACTCCAACTAGCACATAATGCCTAGTGGAGGACCTCCATTTACTGCACCTTTACTGTGTGCAAGAAAATATTCTAAGTGTTTCACATTGACCTCCTGAATCCACACAATAATGCTGTGGGGTAAGTCCCAGTAGTACCTCCGTTATACAATAAAAAATCTTAGGTACGTGTATACACACACACACACACACACACACACACACACACACACACGTGCGCGCGTTGCCCAAAGTTATATAACTAATAAATGCCACAGTGAGTATTTCTGTTATCATTGTATAGTTAGTTGTTTTGTTTTAGAATCAGGATAATAATTACATTGCTTTTCTTAGCAGGAAAGAAAATACAGTGCATATTAGGACAGTTTTAAAAATACAGACTTTATATACAATAAACAGCTATAAGACTAAAATCCTACATGTCAGACTGAAGTAAGTACTAAATGCCGATTTTAGATCAGTAATAGCAATCGAGGGTTTAAAATATTTCTGCTGCACTTGTAACTGTAAATAGATGCGGTGAAGGAACAAGTCTAGGTTAACACAAAACTATTTCTCCTTCCCTCAACTCCAAAACAAAAAGGACATTTTTCAAGAATGAGAAGAAATGAAGCTTTTAGTTTTGATGAAATCAAGTGTATTCAGAAATCAAACGTAATGCATTGTTTTAACAATCCATTAGACTAGTGATTCTTTCCTCTATTGCACCTGACATTCTTTTCAAAATATCACCAAATGCTGACATGCCATCATTTGACAGAGATTGCTTGTCAAAAATGAAATATATTCTTAGAGTGTCTTTCACTAATAACAGTCCTCACAGCTGTGAGAACAAGTAACAACGTTCCACTCCTCCCATCCTCTTTTATTATCTCTCTTTTCTAAAGTGTCAACTTGCAGAAATCTTTAATATGTGGAAGATGGCTCTATTAAACCATAAACACCCCTAAATTCATAAGATGGCACAGCCCACTGAAATACCAGTAAGTTAAGAATGAGGTGTATAGTTCAATGCATTAGTAAAAATCTGCTTCTATTTTTCAAAACCTACCAGCTAATGTATTTTCAGCTTGTAATATTTTCATTCGAAAAGGACTTTGTACATTTCAGTTAGAAACAAACCATTAAATCATGTGAGGATTATTGCATAAATAATAAATGAACAGAGAAAAATTGGGTCATTTAATTTTCTTCACAAAGGAATGGACTCTGGATTAATATTAGAAAGTTCTTTGGAAAGTGAAATTCACTATTTTGTCAAATAATATTCACAGTCTTTCTGTTTTGATTTTCCAAAGCACCCATAGTGTAATTGTATAACCTGCATGCATCTAAATATGCATTCATATTTTAAATACAATTAAATAAATTTAACATGGTAAATACATTCTTTAAGAACACAAAACTTTTAAAGGCACATGTTTGCTAAATAAATATATTAGAATGCAATCACCTTATATTACATTAGCCAAAAAAAAAACTAGATTTAAACATAAAACACACACACATTCATACATACAAAAAAAGTTTAAATCAACATTATTCATAATATTGAAACATAGAAAATAAGCCAGATAGAGACGGACTGATTAAACAATGCTGATATTTATTTAGCAAATGGCAACATAGCTATTAAAATAATGGTATAGATCTGTATTTATTGAATAGGCAATTTTATGACATATTACAAGATAAGTAAATCAAATTTCTTTTGTACATGGATATATAGATATATAAATGACATAGATATATATTTTGTTTTTTAGGCTGATATCTGCAGTCTAACAATTTTTTAACTCCTGTATCAGTTTGGGTTCACCAGAGAAGCAGAACAAGTAAAATAAATGTGTGTGTGTGTCTGTGTTTGTGTGTGTGTGTGTCTGTATAGAGCGAGAGATTGTGGGGAGAAAGAGAGAGTAGGGACAGAGAGGGAAAGAGTTCAAGGAAGTGGCTTTTGTGATTGTGTGGGCTGGGTATGCAAGTCTGAAAACTGTAGTGCAGACTGTCTGGAAAGTAAGATCACAAGTATGCTGGAAATCATGTGCATGGCCAAAGCTATTTTCCCACAAGCAGAATTTCTTCTATTCCCTCAAGAAAAATTCAGCACTACTTTGAATGTCTTCTAACTGATTAAATCAGGTCCATTTGTGTTATCCAGTACAGACTCCCTTACTTAAAACCAACTGATTAGGGATTTTAATTACCTTTGCAAGCTCCCTTCAAAACAACTAGACTAGTGATTAATTGAATAAGTGAGGGCTAAACCCAAATTAAATTGACACATCAAAAAAGAAACCACATCTCTCAAGCAATTATCATCTCTTGCCTGGATTATTACAATAAGCTCCTAACTGGGCTCCTTGATTTTGCTGTTGACCTTATTTAGTTTGTTTTTTTCACTGTAGCCATAGTGATTCTGTCATTACCAAAGACAGATAATGATACCCCTCTGCTCAAACCCTCCAATGGCTTCCCATGTTGTTCAGAGTGAGAGTGAAAGTCCTTATTACATATAACAGAAAATCTTTAAAGCAGTAAGGGAATAAAGATGCATACATAAGAACAAAAAAAGCTAAAGGGAAAAAGAAGCAGAATTCTCATCTGAAACTATGTAAGCTTGATACCATTTGAGACATTTTTAAAAGGTTGAAAGAAAAAAATCATCAATTTGTAATTATATATCCAATCAAAATATATTTCAGAAAAAGTCTACATACAAACAAAACAGGGAATTCATTAAAAGGAATTCTTGAGGCAGAAGGAATATGATACCAGAGCACATAATTGTATCTATATAAGAAAATGAAAAACTGGAAAAGTTAGAAATAAAGATAAATATAAAAGACACTGTTCTTTTATTCTAGTTATTTTAAAAGGCAACTGATAATGATATGCCAATGCATGCCCATCAGTTGTAAAAAATACATCGATCTGTTGGAGGAAGTTTATGGGGGGAGGGCTATACATGTGTGGGGCAGAGGTATATGGAAAATCTTTGTACATTTTGTTAAATTTTGCTGTGACTCTAAAACTGCTCTAAAATGAAGGCTATATTTTTAAAAAGATAACTGACTGTCTAAAGTATATATAGTAGCAATGCATTCAAAGTTTACAGCATAAGAAAAATAAAATGTATGACAATGATAGCAAAAAAGATGAGAAAAAAGATTTGGAAATATACTATAACAGTTATGCACTACATAAAGCCATACATTATTATTTGAAGGAAAACTATAATGAACGAAAGATATATATTTTAAACCCTAGAGCAACCATAAGAGTAATGGTAAAATAAATTTTAAAATAATACTAAATACAAATAACCAAAATAGTAAAAATAATACTAAAATGAATAACACTGAAATAAATGAGAAGCCAATGGTAGATATAAAATAGAATTATTTAAAAATACTCAACAAACTATAAAATCTTTTTTTAAAAAAAGGGAACAAAAAACAGATGGAAAAAAGAGTAAAAAACTAGGAAGATGGTAAAATTCAATCTAACCATAGCAATAATTATAATAAATGTAAATGATCTAAACATATCAATTGAAAATAGTCAGTTTTCTAGACTGAATTACAGATCAAGATACAACTCTATGCTGTCTATGTAAATGCACTTAAACTATAAAGATATGGATAGATTGAAAGCAAAAGAACAGAAAATGATATACCATATAATACTGTGCAAAAAGATGCTGGAATAGCTATACTAATAACACACGAATCAGACTTCAGCACATGGAGCACTATCAGAGTTAGTATTATTATACAATGAAAAAAGTATCTATTTACCAAGAAGACATAACAACCCTGAATGTGTTTTTATCTGAAAATAGAGCTCCAAAATTTGTGAAACAAAGCATTATAAAACTGAAAAGGGATCAGGCACATACACAATTAGTTGAAGACCTTAACATTATTTTTTAGTATTTGATAACAGAAATGTACACAGAAAAGCAAAAAGGTTATAAAAGATGTGAGTGATACTCTCAATCAATGTAATCAAATTATTATATATGGAACATTTCATCAAACAAAAGCAGAATTAACTACTTTTCCAGTAGCTCGTGTAATATTCACCAAGATAGATGCTATCCTGGACCTTAAATCAAAAATCTGCAAATTTTAATAAATTGAATTTGCCCAAAATGTTCTCTCCTACCAAAATTGAATAAAAGTAGATATTAGTAACAAAAGAAATAATTGTAAAATTCCCAAATCATTTTTCTGAAGAACTCATTGTTCAAAGAATAAAACATTATAAAAATTAGAAAACATTTTGAACAAAAAAAATGAAAATGAAACATAAAAATGTTGGTATAAATTGAAAGAAGTGCTCAGAGAAAAATATGTAGCATTAAATTCCTATATTAGAAAAATATAAAAACCTTAAATCAATAATCTATGTTTCCACCTTAAGAAACGAAAAAAGGACTATAAAATTAGTGCTAGAGCAAAAAAAAAAAAAAAGAAAAAAGAAAATAAACAATTATAAAGACAAATGTAACAATGCATTGGTAAATAGAAAAAAAAAATGAGCAAATTCCTTGAAGGACACAAACTACCAAAGTCTATGAAAGAAGGGTTTTTTTGGTTTGTTTTTTGAAGTTTTTTTTTGTTTTTTTTTTGTTTTTTTTTGTTTTTTTTTGAGATAGGGTCTCACTTTGTCATGCAGGCTGAAGTGCAGTGGCATGATCACAGCTCATTTCAGCCTCAAGCTTCTGGGCTCATATGATCCTCCCACCTCAGCCTCCAGAGTAGCTGGGACTATAGGCATGTGACCACCATGCCTGGCTAATTTTTGTATTTTTTTCTGTGTATGGAGACAGGGTTTCACCATGTCGCCCAGTCTAGGCTCAAACTCCTGGATTCAAGCAATTCACCCACCTTGGCCTCCCAAAGTGTGGTGAATACATGCACCACAGCACCTGGCCTTATGAAAGAAGATATTAATAATTAGAATAGTCTTTAATGATGGTTATTAAATAAATTGAATTTATAGGCAAAATTCTTTCAATAAATGGCAGAACAAGACAGCTTCATTAGAAAATTCTACTACACATTTGATTAGAAACAGTTACCAATTCTATATAAACTCTTCCAGAAAACAGAAATGGAGGTAATATTTTACAACTTATTTTATAATGAGAGCATTGTCATTATCCTAAAGTCAGACAAATATATTACAAGAAAACTACAAACTAAATCTATTATAAAAATATATGCAGAAATTCTCAATAAAATATTAATAAATTAAATTCAGCAAGATAAATTATAAATTAGATAGATAGATAAATAGATAGATAGATAATACATGATGACCAAGTGGAATTTATGCAGAAGTGCAATCTGATTCAATGTTAAGATTTCAATGGTAAAGAAGAAAAAGAAGAAAATGCATATTTATCATCTTAGTAGATCCAGAAAATGCACCTGGCCAAATTCAATATCCCTTCATAAAAAAATACTCTCAAACTAAAAACATTTTAGCAAACTAAAAAAATTTCTTGGCCTGATTAAGGACATTTACAAAACTTTACAACTGACATCACACTTAAAGTTGAAAGCATGAATACTTTCTAAGACGGAAACCAGGAAAGGAAATTTGCTTTCACCACTTCTATTCAACATGGTGTTGTTGCCTTATTTTATATAAGACATAAAAAAAGAAATAAAAAGTGTGAAATTGGAAAAGAAATGAAATTAGCTCTATATTCAGATAACATGCTGATTGTCTTAGAAGAATTTGCAAATGTTACTGTACCTGATACATGGGTTTTAGCAATGTCACAGAATAAACAAATGGTTAGGGAGAGAAATTACAGTACCATTCAACATAACACCAAAAAAAAAAAAATCCTTGAAATACTAAAGTCTGAATTTTTAAAAATATTTTCAAATTTTGTAGGCTAAACATTACAAAACACGAATGAAAGAAATCAAAATAAGCCTCAATAAATTACAGTATATCCCATGTTTATGGATTGGAAGACTCAATATTGTAAAGATTTTACTTCTCCTAACTCATCTGTAGAGTCAATGCAATCCCAATAAAAAAACTAAAGCAAATTTTTTAGTAGAAATTAGCAAGAAGATTCCAAAATTCATATAAAGAAGCAAAATATCTGGAACATCAAAAGTATTTTTTAAAAAGAAAAGCAAAGTTGAAAAACCTATACTCATATTAAGTAATTATCATAAAGCAAAAATAATTGAACCAATATCATATTGACAAAATAATAGGTACAGAAATCAATGGGACAGTAGAGACCAGAAATTGTTCTACAAATATACAGTCAATTGTTTTCCTGCAAGTGCACAAAAGCAATTTAATGAAGTCTATTCAACAAATTATACTAAAGTAATTGGACTTCAACTTACCAACAAATAAATAAATCTTAACACATATATCACAACTTGTTAAAAAATTAACTGAAAATAGATTTTAGACCTGGATTTTGTATCTAAAATTTTTAAACTTTTAGAAGAATATTTAGGAAAAACAATTTTTGACCTTAGGTACATAAAAGTTCTAAGCTATAAGACATGAAATACAAATCATAAAAGACAAGCTTGATAAATTGGACTTCATAAAAAACATGTATGCCCTTCAAAAGTCATTGTTTCAAAATAAAATGACAAGTCGCATACTGGGAAAAAATAGTTGTAAAACATGTCTGACAAAGGCAAAATTATAGGGGAAGAAAACATCACTAGTTACAAGAAGTTAGTGCTAGTTTGGGGACTGGTTGACTGCAAAGGTGCATAAGGAAAGTTTTGGGGAAAATACAAATATTTTCTGTATCATGATTGTGGTGGTGATCACAACAGTATATAGTTTAAAATACTACATAACTAACCACTAAAAGGAACAAATTATACAGCATATGAATTTCCTTTTTCTTTTCTTTTCTTTTTTTTTTGAGATGGAATCTCCCTCTGTCACCCAGGCTGGAGTGCAGTGGTACAATCTCAGCTCACGGCAACCTCTGTTTCCCTAGTTCAAGTGATTCTCCTGCCTCAGCCTCCCAAGTATTTGGGATTACGGGTGTGAGCCACCACGTCCAGCTAATTTTTGTGTTTTTAGTAGAGACAGGGTTTCACCATCTTGGCCAGGCTGGTCTTGAACACCTGACCTCATGATCCACCTGCCTCGGCCTCCCAAAGTCCTGGAATTACAGGCATGAGATACTGTGCCTGGCCGTGAATTTATTTCTAAAGTTTTTTTTTTTTTTTATTGCCAGTGTATTAGGAGATTGATTTTTAAAGATTTTTACATATATGACTGTTTACTTGAATTTCAACAGACACAGAATTCTTAGTTATAAGTTATAGTGGGGGAAAAGTGTCAAACTCAATTCTAAATTTCTTGTTTTGATCCACTCAAAAAAAATGAGAAAATATTCATTAAAAATTTATTGTGTGACAGATGATCTGCTACACAATTTGACTCTATTCAATATCTTATCAAAACCTTGAAACAATTTTATTAGGTCTTATGGCCATTTTTAAAGATATCTAAAGCTCAAAAAAAGTTAAATAGGATTTTAGTGGTGATTTAATGTCTCTGTTCTCGTAAAGTGAAGTGGATAATACTTACTTCTCAGGGCTTTGCTGCGGATTATTCATTTAGAACATTCTTCAACAAATAATTATTAAGCAGTTTCTATGTGGCTGGCACAGGTCCAGAACTAGGAATGAAGAAGATGAGAGAACCAAGGTCTCCTGATCATGAGGTTAAAATGCTAGTAGAGGAGACAGACTATATTCAAACAAATGAATAATTTTAAGAAGTAGATATATCAAGTTGTGATAAATGATACGCAGAGAATTGTGACAAGAAGGGCAGGTTTCTTACTTTCTATTCAATAGTTAGGAATGTCTATCAGAAAGTGACAGTCAATAAAGATATTCAAGATGCAGCTAAGATTTTGGCTTGCACAGCCAAGTGGATATTGGTGGCATTTACCAAGATGGAGAAAACTGTGGGAAAGGCAAGTTTGGGGGGGAAATTAAAAGTTCACTCTGGGCTTGCTATGGGCTAGATAACTTGATTACTGCTTTACAGGTAATCTTACCTAATGAAAACATCTTTCTCTGAACTCAAAACTCATGACCAAATGAAACTAGGGTCTAGATTTACCACAAATCTGTATTCTATAAGTAGTGAATGTCTTATGAAGCATCAATATTATAAATTAAAAAATTATAATTCATGTTAAAAATTCATGCATCAAGTTTTCAGGAACCATGAAATATATATACCAATAAAATGGAATAGCAAGATATTCTGGGTATGAGATTAACTATTAAAAATGATCCCAGCCGGTTTAGCTTTTACAGTGTGTAAGTCAACTCAGGTTGCCATCACAAAATACTATAGACTGGGTGGCTTAAAAAAACCAGCAATTTATTTATTCATAGTTCTGGAGGCTTGAGGTTCAAAATCCTGGTTCTGGCCAATTAGGTTTCTGGTGAGACACTCTTCCTGGATTCCTGATTGCTGCCTTCCCACTATGTCTTCACACAACGTTTCCCTCCATCTGTGCACCCTTTCAGGGATGGAGCTCTCTGGTGTCTTTTCTTATAAGCCCACTATTCCTATCAGGTCAGATTCCAACCCTATGACCTCATATAACCTTACGTATTCCCTGTAAGCTTTATGTCCAAATGCAGTCATATTGGAGATTAAGGCTTCACCAGTCACATGAAAATTGGGGGAGGAGGGATACAGTTTTGTCCATAGGTCCAACTTTGTTGTTGCTTTTGTTATTCTTTTGTTTGAAAGCCCATAAAATTCTTGCACAAATAACTATAAGTTTAAATAATTCTATATCAGTTATTTTAAATCCATTGACAGCTTTACTTACATTGCCTTCAACAAATTATAATTTTCAATATACATCAGTAAGAAAACTGTTTATGACAGCTAATTAATGGAATAGTACACTGAAATTTTAAATATGTATAAAACATTTCAGTGTTCTGACTTTCATATGTTATATATGAAAAAGGAAATGTTGTTATACAGAAAAATTATTTTTTCTTACAGTACAAAAGTTGAAGAAATCCTAAGTTGTAAAAACGTATCCTAATTTCTCTTTATCTTTTTCTCTCTCTTATAATCCGCTATTCACCTAATTGTTAGTATTAATATCTAAAGTCAGAAGCTTTGTAATTAGCAAAAAACAAAACAAACAGAAAACTCTTTACACCTATATTTTAAAATAAAAATGTAAACAGATATGGCATTTCATTTGCTATAAATACATTTAAGATCGACTTCAAATTTTCTCACCCACACCGAGAAATGTTATCTTGCAAGATAAAAAGAAAGTAGCTATTAACTGACAAATAAAAATAAGGTACTAGATTTCAAATTTAAATGTGTGATAGTTGTATAGTTTGTGTGTGTGTGTGTGCATGTGTGTTGAATTATTCTTGAATCCATCCGTGGTGGTTAATTTATATGCCACTTGACAGGACCATGTGGTGCCCAGATATTTGGACATACACTTTTCTGACATTTCTGTGAGAGTGCTTTGGATGAGATGAACACTTAAATTGACAGACTGAGTAAAGCAGAATGCCCTCCATAATGTGGATGCACCTCACCCAATCAGTTGGAGGCCTAAATACAACTAAAGGCCCACCCTTCACAGCATAAAAGAAAATTATCCTTCCTGGTAGCTGTCAAACTGAGATATTGGTTTCTTCCTGGTTCTACAGCAGCTCCCAACCTTTGGACTCTAACTGGGACATGGGCTCCACAGATTTTGGACTTCCAGTCTCTATCATCATGCAAGACAATTTCTTCTAAATCTCTCTTTTTCTTTAGAGGCAGAACCAATAAAATATATGTGAGCCAATTTCTTCTAACACTCTCTTTCTAGAGAGAGTAATGTATATATCCTACTGGTTCTGTCTCTCTGGAGATCCCTAACCAATACACCACCCCCATGTCTGCTTTTTTCATCAAGGACTGCAGCTCCTATTTCCATGTAATGCATATCAGGTATCACTAGGATTTCCAATTGTCAAGTTGGAAATTTATTATATGAAAGGAATTTAAAATTGATTAGCAACTTATTAAAATGATGATTATATAGCCTCCTAGAAAAGTCAGGTTTTAGTTAGGAAGTGGAATGAATAAGTAGAAATTTATGTCACATTCAGTAATACTGGAGTCAATCAACTTTTGTTCTTGCAGCTTCTGTTTCTATTTTCATCCTTGTAATCTTGCAAATTGCTTTTATTCTTTTGCCATTTTAATGAATGCTGGCATAAAGATTTCCATTTTAATACAAGTTTAATAAGGAATCCATTTTATTTAATGGCCAATAAGGTAGCATCATTCTATAGCTAAAAAGTGGAAACTTCCAAACTGTGATTGTTGTAAGTTATGTAAATTAGTTAATAAAATATTAACATAAAATCACTACTAACTTGTATCATGTGTACTACCTCAGGGGTCTTTTAACTTGTCTCGACATATCCGGTCTTGCTGCACTCCAACTAGTTATTCAGAATACAAGCAAAGTGGATTTTTCAAAAGACTAGTATGATCATGTCAAGCCCTTGTCACTGGTTTCATACAGTTCTCAGGGTACTTCAGGCATTCTTTACACAGCCTGACAGTCTGCTTATGTCTCCAGTTGTTTTCTCTCCTCCATTTCCCTGCTCTCTCAATCTAGTCAAGGTTCTTTTTCTTGCTAGACTGTGCCATTGTCAAGCTTCCCAATTTTCTACATTTCTGCTGCTCCCACACTCTTTTCATAAAATGATTCATTCTTCAGATTATTCCTCAATTTCCCTTCCCTAGGTAGCATCTTGTCAATCTCTCCGAGTCATACCTGCACAGCATGGTGTACCACAACTTGCATAGTTTTCATTTATACTTGTCTGATTTATGTGTCTCCTTCCCACTGGATTGTAAACTCTTTGGGGGGCATCAACAGGCTTTTATTCTTTTTTTTGTCTTATTTTGCCATCAAATTATTAGTGCCCACACAATCCTTGGCGCATACTAAATGCTCAATAAACAACTATTGAGGGAATACATAAGTAAATCCCATTGGTGTACAATCTACTCAAATGATAACCTAATTTGTCTTAAAAGTTACAACAATTCTAATGAGAAAAAAACTCATATTGTGAGGGTCTGATGTGAAAAAAGCCACATTACTTTAAAGCATCAAACTTAATTAAATCTCTGTTTTAATACATATAAAATAATACAGCATTTAAATTTTAAATAGACCTAGAAGTTAGTGTGTAATTTGAGTAATTTTTAGTGATCAGTAAACTTTTCCTTCCTAGACTTTTTTCCCCTCTTTTTACTCATTCATGAATATAACTAAATAAATATAAAGACATATGATGAGTAGAAAGAACAAAATAAGTACTCAGTAGACTGTGGGGGAAAGCTTAACTTTAAAAAAACCGTATATAGGGAGAGGATATAAAAATTAATATTTTTGCTAAAAGTTTGTAAGCTATAGGTAGTAAACCCACAGACATAAAAAAATTGCTATTGGAGCAATATTTTTCAAAGCGCTATGATTTAAAGTTTGGGGAAAATTTTTTATTGTGACTGAGAGTGTATCAAATAAGATAAGGTATTTTGCAGTACTGGTAAAATAAAGTACTTGAATATAAAAACAAATGTCATATGAACATACTTCAAATGGAGAAAGAGCCTACTTTTACATATTCTTTTTTCTTACTCTTTTTTCATTTTTTGTTGAGCAAAAATTACATTTGCTAATAACAAATGCACATTCACAAGTTACTTTATGTATAATAAAACATTTTGGATAGTGAAAAGAGAAAACTATACTTTATCAGTCGGAATCTAGGGAAACCAAACTGGGATTTTTCTATCAGAAAATGTTAGAAGTCTGTGGGGGCCCACAGTGGACTAAAGCAGCAGGCTCTGTTTTAGTAGCCGCCTCCTATCTATTGCTGGAACAGGACGTTTATATGTTTGTTCAGGTGAGTCTGCTTCACTGGTGGGTTTCCATTGAATCAGAATTTTATCTGCCTCCTGAGCTAATTATAATAACTTTAATTAGGTTCAAACTGGTGTAGGCTTCTTACCAAAATGTATCACAGAAACTTCCCGCTTCTCCTCCTTGTACTAATTATGACATTTGTGCACAGCCTTGATTCTGGCCTTTCTCTTTTTTCATCAGCCTTGGTAAGTGCTGGAGATTCCTCAAATGTGACTTCACAAAAAACTGTGGTGAACAGAGATTGAGAAAAGTTTGTAGAGATTGCACTTTATAGAATCTGCTCATTCACCTTGCCTTGTTAGTTCTTAAAATTGGCTACACATTTTAACCTCCTGGCAACTTTAAAAATAATATATGGGTCTCATCAGTAGAGATTTCCATTTATTTTGAGAAGGGTGTTACCTGAAGATCAGGATAGAAGACTCTCTCTAGAGGTTTCTTATGTGCAGCCAATGTCCAGAATTATTGCCTGGAATATTTTTTTCTTTCAATTCCCTCAACTCACAGGTGCCCTTAATTTGTATGTTTTTGAGTTTGATATAAAGAAAAATTGATATTTCATTATTACAGCTAATATTGTTATTAATGTATTTCTAAAAATCTGTAACTTTTGAAAGTGCAATAAAGGAATTTGTGATGTTAATCATTTTTAGAAAATATTGTAGGTAATAGGAAATGCTTAGAAAAATATAGGACTGAGAGCTCACTGCATGTGGAATCAGCAATAAAGCAATGTCTTGATTTATAGATGGAAAACAATCTGGAGAAATTATTCCATAAGTATTGATGCTAACATATAAACAACTGTAAATATTTTATGGAAAAATGTGCAGATTGTTTCATCCCACAGTACCTACCCTTACCATTAATTACTTATGAGGGTTGTTTTATATACCTTTATTTGTTGGATTTATGCACATTCATTTTGTAAATTTATTTTACATAGGAGAAAGACAAAGGCACTGCAATTTAACCGTTCATTCCAAAAGGAAATGTTGGATTTGCACTTATATAAAGCCAAAGGGCTTTATCAGTTAAAGAATAAATGTTTGTGAAATACATTGAAAATGTATAAAATTAAAAGTAGAAATACTTTTTAACAAAGAGAACATCCTTGAATATTAATGCCTATGCATAAGCTATCAACATTAAGCATATTTTTAGTAAGGTTGGCCTGGACAGGTCAGCACTTAATGGAAGATTTTAAAAATCCATATGTAAGGAAAATAATGGATTTTTCTAAGTATAAAGATATAAGTAATCTGAGAATAAATATTAAGTTCTGATTACTATATTTAATAGTGAGTGGAAAAGTAGCCATTCATAGTTCTCAGCATAGTCTTTATGATTGCTGATATTGAGTGTCAACTTGATTGGATTGAAGGATGTAAAGCATTGTTCCTGGGTGGATCTGTGAGAGTGTTGCCAAAGGAGATTAATATTTGAATCAGTGGACTGGGAGAGGAAGACCCACCCTCAATCTGGATGGGCACCATCTAATCAGCTGCCAGCATGGCTAAAATAAAGCAGGCAGAAGAAAGTGGAATGAGCAGACTTGCTGAATCTTCCAGCCTTCATCTTTTCTCCTGTGCTGGATTCTTCCGGCCTTGGAACGTCAGACTCCAACTTCTTCAGCTTTTGGACTCTTGGATTTACACCAGTGGTTTGCTGGGGTTCTCAGGCTTTTGGCCACAGACTGAAGGCTGAACCTTCAGCTTCCTTGCTTTTGAGGTTTTGGGACCCGCACTGGCTTCCTTGCTCCTCAGCTTGCAGAGGGCCTATTGTGGGTCTTCACTTTGTGATCATGTGAGTCAGTTCTCCTAATGAAATCCCCTTCATCTATACATGTATCCTATTAGTTCTGACCCTTTAGAGAACCCTGACTAATACAGTTTTGATCCTTGATAGAAGGAATAGAAGATGCAGGCAATGCTGCTTCATGTTTTAGCAGATTCAGACACGCAGTAAATATTCTAGTTGCATCTGTCTCCTCTTGGCAAGTTCATTCTTCTTCAAATATTGTTGACCCCTCTCCAAATTTTCATTGACCTTCTAAATAGTCTTTTTTCTTCATCCATTTTGTCTTTTGTTAAATCAGTAAAAATAATCATAGAAATTAGATATGTCCTCTTAATATGGGACTTTGCCTATTTTTTGTTTGTTTGTTTGAGACGGAGTTTCACTCTTGTTGCCCAGGCTGCAGTGCAATGGCATGATCTCAGCTCACTGCAACCTCTGCCTCCTGCGTTCAAGTGATTCTCCTGCCTCAGCCTTCCAAGTAGTTGGGATTACAGGTGTGCGCCCGGATGATTTTGTGTTTTTAGTAGAGACGGGGTTTCTCCATGTTGGTCAGGTTGGTCTCGAAGTCCCGACCTCAGGTAATCCGCCTGCCTCGGCCTCCCAAAGTGCTGGGATTACAGGTGTGAGCCACCTCACCCGGCAAGGACTTTGCCTATTAGTAATAAAAGCTGCATTGAATGTCCTATTTACATTTTTATTAAAATATTATATTACTATATTCAATAAAAGAACATAGTTATTGGAAGTAGCCAAAAATGGACTTGCAGAAAGTGGAGAAACCTGGCTTGCTGGAACCACAGGGATGGGGGCAGGAAATGGAGTGCCCTACCCAGTCTGTAACTGTGCCACCAATATAGGCTCTGTGGTCCCAGTTGCACTACCTGGTTCGGTACTGGGGATGGCTTTCCCAGCCCTGATTCCATTTGTGTCCCTAGTACTGGTTGCAACAGTCCCATCTACAGCCACAGATTGAGTGATAGGATAGCTTTAAGTTTGTTTTTGTTTTGTTTTCTTGAGCTTCCTTAATATAATCTTCCAACTCTTCTAATGGACTTTGTAAATTCTGTTTTGGTATTTTAAAGTTCTGATGACTCTTATTCTTTAAAACTTCTTCAAAACAAGCATTATGTTATTGTTTTGTGGCAGCCAAATTTTTTTCTTATCTTCAAGATAATAAGGTTTATTCAACAGTTTCTTCTTCTATGTAATAGCACTAAGACTTTTGATTTCCTTTTTGCTGTTTTTTCAGATTCAGGCTTACCTCACATTTCTTGGTTCACCATTCAAATTTGCTATTGAGGAATTAAAATGTCTATGAGAAGTTCTATGCTGCATATTGCTAATGGGTTTCACTGGCAGGAATTGGGCTCACTGGCAGGAATTGGGCCCACCTCTTCTCCTTTTTCTCCTCCTCTTCCTCTTCCTTTTTTTTTCTTCTTCTTCTTGGAGGAACTACAGAATATCATGAAAGAAAAAAATTCTATGTGATACTAGTTAGCATGATTCTCAATATTTCTGAGAATATTTCGGCATCATTTTACTGAAGGGAATATAGCTGACAGAAAACCTGAAGGTGATAAGGGAAAATGCTTTTTACACTAAATATATGATGTCTTGCAAACATATTATGCAGTACTCATTTCAGAGTTAAGAGGCAAATCATCCCAGATGTAAATGTTTCTTCCAGGTATCCACTCTTGACTATATGCTAAATAGTTATTTAATGTTTTATTCAGGGTAACCATCAGAAAAGTATGCCTAGGATAGTAAGATTAGATTTTCTGTAATAAAATATTTTAACAACACCATGTTTTATTAATAAGTAAGGTGAAATAAAAGTATAGGCAACTATTTTCTGACATATAAGAAAAACAGGGGTCAATATTTAGCCCTAAATTTACTCAATATTTTGCAAGTATTATTATAGGTACTCTTCCCACTTACAAAACAATGATTCATGTATTATTTGGTATCCTTTGATTCAAGTGAGAAAAGCACACACTGAACAACGTAGGCAATAAAAATAAATGGATCACCTCTCTGAAAGGCCTGATATTCAAATATGGTCACATGGAAGATATTGATTATATTTGAATATCAAACCTTTTAGAGAGATGATTAAGGTAAAATGAAGCCATCAGGATGGACCCTAATCTAATATGACTGGTGTCCTTATAAGAAGAAGAAATTTGGACACATAGAGATATGCCAGATGTGTGCATGCACAGGAGAAGCCCATGTGAGGACAGGGTGAGAAGACAGCCACTTGCAAACTAAGAAAAAGGTTGCAGAAGACATCAGACTTACTGATATCTTGATCTTGGACCTTTAGCCTCCAGAAATGTGAGAAAATAAATTTTTGTTGTTTAAGCCACCCGTCTTTGGTATTTCATTATGGCATTCCTAGCAAACTAATTCAAGTTCAGTGATTGGCTTTGAACCCTGACTCCCCCTGTGGCCATGGGAGCAAGATGTCATAACTGTCAGTTTCCATTAGAGGCATGGGTATAGTGGTGGCAAGAATAGTTCTATAAATTAAAAAAAAAGGGGGAAAGAACATTTCTGGGAAGGAGAAAGGAATTCTCAGCAAACAAAAAAAAATATCTGTAATTTATCTAATAATATTAAACTATATGGTAAGGATTATATTTTTATATTTGAATTATGAAATATTCAAATATAAATTATATTTGAATTATGAAATATTCAAATATAAATTATATTTGAATTATGAAATATTCAAATATAAATTATATTTGAATTATGAAATATTCAAATATAAATTATATTTGAATTATGAAATATTCAAATATAAATTATATTTGAATTATGAAATATATCACATATAAGAGTAAAATCATAAAAATGGTTTGAATGACAATAATAAAATGAGACACCATGTACTCACAATCAAGATAAAGAAATTGAACATTACCAATGTTTGAAGTTTATGATGCGACTTTGATCCTATATTCTTTCCTCCCACCATTGCCTTGAGAAATAGTCATTATCTTGAATATTTTGCTTTTTATTCCCTTTCTTTTCATTATAGTTTTATCAAGTAACAGAGATAGATAGATAGATAGATAGATAGATAGATAGATAACAGATTTGGTCTTACATCTTTTCATATTTTACTTAAATGGAACAAAACTAAGTATTCTTCTGAAATATTCTTGTTTTCTTGATAGTATGAGTATTAAATACATGCATGTTATTGCATTTAACAGTAGTTTGTTTCCTTTTGTTTAATACAATAGGGAAATTGTGTAATATTCCATTGTATTAATGTGTTGTAATATACTCACAGATTTTCTAGGATTATATCTAATTTTCTGTTTTACAAACAGCACTACTCTGATTCATATGCCTGCCTCCTAACACAAATATACAAAAGTTCTTCTGCCATAAATCTCTAGGGGTAGAACTGTGGGCTGTACAGCAGTAACTTCTGACCAGGAGTGATTTTGCTCTCCAGGAGACATTTGACAATGTTTGAGGACAGTTTTGACTGCCGCAGCTGGAAAGGGAGCAGGAGGAGTGTTACTGGCATTTAGTGGCTAGAGGCCAGAAATGATGCTAAGCATCCTACAATACACAGGGCAGCCCTCTGCAGCAAAGAATTATCCAGCTCAAAATGTCAATAGTGCTGTGGTCGAGAAAGCCCAGTTCAAAAGATGTGCACCTTCAAATCTGTGGTCCTACTGTTTTACCAGAAGGCCATAGCTTATAAGAGTTCCTTTTGCTCCATATCCTGTCAATATGTTATATTGACAGACTTTAATTTTTTTATAATATTCTTCATTTTCTGAAGTCTTTGAGAGTTTGACTCAATTTTGTGTTGTTTTCTTGATGACCCTGACTCTTTGTGATTTTTTTCATTGGTTTTGTAGTTTTTTTATATCTGAACTTATGCATGGTATTTTCTTACAATACAATTTCCCATCTTTCCCAGGCCCCCAGCTTTATATTTTGCCTCATGTTTAGAACTATTAGAAACTAAAGCTCTCAACTGGCCTGGGCAACATAGCAAGACTCCATCTCTATATAAAATTTTAAAAATCAGACTGGAGTGGTGGTGTGAGCCTGTAGTCCTAGCTACTCAGGAGGCTGAGGTAGAAAGATAGCTTGAGTCCAGTAGTTTGAGGCTGCAGGGAGCTATGATCACAGCCTGGGCTACACAGTAAGTGGGACCCTGTGTCAAAGAAGGAAAGAAAAAGGAAGGGAGGAAAGAAGGAAAGAAGGAAAGAAGGAAGGAAGGAAGGAAGGAAGGAAGGAAGGAAGGAAGGAAGGGAGAAAAGAAAAGAAAGAAAGGGAGAAAAAGGGAGAAAGGCAGAGAGAAACTAAAGCTCCAGGCCAATAGGGACAGCAGCAGCTGCAATTAAGGGAACCAGCCACTGAACCAGCTGCAACACTTGTGATTTGCTCCAGATTTATGCTTTCTTTCTTTATTTTATTTATTTCTCTCTACTCCATGTAATTTATTTCCTTTTCTTGGCTGTGAATTTATAAATATTTAAAACTATATTTTATTGCATATTTTTGGTGTCTTATACTAAGCAGATTTCACCGGCTATCTAGACTGTAATAGTAGCTGAAATAAAAGTTTGGGATCATGTCTTAAGCTTAGGTCTGCATTTTGTAAAACTCAAAGTGGTATACATAAATTGCATTTTACATTAATGCTATTTTTTCTCCTAAAATCCTATGGTACTTACTAAATGTAAATGTTTTAGACCTTAATTACATGTTTGTAAGGCATAATTGAATATGCATAAATATATTATTTGCTGAATGTCCAGAAGATCTCCATTACCATCCAAACTGCCACTAAACCTTAACAAATGTACTGTTATACTCAAAAGGTATGTGAATTTTATACCAGATCTTCTCTCTATCGTCTTTCTGCAAATTCCTTCATTTGTACTTTCATCATCTCTCTCTTTGGTCGCTGAAAGAGGCTGCTTTTTTCTCTCCCCCAAAAAGGGGCCATTTTTTTTTCACTCTTTTGCATGACTTATCTATCAGTTACCTGCAAGATTGACCTTTGTTGTTGAGTCTATCTAGACTGAGAACAGATCAGAACACATTCTTTCATTCAGGTGACCCCATCTCGAAGAGGAAGCAGAGAGGCTGAGCCATGCATCCTCCTTCTCAAAACTTACGCAACTACAAATGAGAGAAGAAACTGAGAAGGCAGAGGAAAGAAAGAGCATTGTGTTACTGAAACACAAAGCAGGGAAAAGACTTCCCACTACCTATGTTTGGCTGTTGTTGTTATTTTCCCTAGTAAAATGTTTATTTCCAAGACTGCATTGTTTGAAGGAAAAACCATATTTATTCATCTCTGTAACTTGTATATCAACCCTTTATGTAGTATTCTGGCTAATATCATAGCCTTTAGAGCTAAAATAACAGATTTTAAATCCCAATTTTTTCATATGTAACATAAAGATAATATCATACAATATTTTTATAAAGTTTACATAAATTAATATAAATAATGCCCTTTTTGAATGGCATATAATAAGCCTCAGGTAATGCTAGTGAGTATGACATATATTTAATTGTTTTCTACAATTGATATATAAAAGGCTTCCTTTCCCCATCTTCCTTTGTTCCTTTCAAGAGTTTGGATTAAACAATTTCAGATATTTTGTTTTGAAGGTTGGCTTGAATCAAATGATTAGAAAGACAGAGTAGAAGTTCGGAAAAACTTGAGGAAAATGGAGAAATAGTCCAATATGAACATGAGAAGGAACAGAAAATCTTCCTTACTTTTCTGACTTTGGGAAATGAAGTGCACTAGTTAAGTAAATTTTCATCATAACTGAGGCTTAACTGATGGTCTCAAAGGCTGTTGAGGAGATTTGCAAGCCTCCAGGACACTCTCCTTTGCCACCTTCCAAAAACACTGATCTCTGAAATTCTCAGTGCAGTTGACCCAGAGCTACAAAGCAATCACTGATAGTTAACTGGAATTCAAATCTCTTAATGGTTTTCTTCCCTTTGCAATGTATTCTATTATTTTTAAAATACCACTCATATCAAAATGGGACCTTAAAAAAGACAATCATGTATTTGGGCTGTGTGTTCATTTTTAAAAATTAGAGAAAGCAAAAGGGAAGATTTATGATAGCCTGAAAGTTATGTTGTATTTTGGTGTTGCTTTGTATTCCAGTTCCATGTGTGAAGGCTGGGTGTCTTGCAGGTAAGGTATTGTAGAGAAGCAGCCAGCTGCCCCACCAGCTTCCTAAGCTCCCAGCCAACAGCACTACACATGTCTCCACAGAATGTGATGGAACAAGTGGAATCTTAGCACTAGGGAAATAAAAAAGGAAAGAAACAGGTATGCAAGGAAAGAGATAAAAGCCTGAAGAATGGATTAGATGAGATTCCTGACTATTTATCTCTCTTTATTGAGTCTATGGTGAATGTCAGACTGTTTCTTTAATTTTCCCCATGCTCCATTTGGCAAGTACAAAGAATATTCTCTGTGAACAAGGGTAGAAGCAGTTTCTGTTTACAGGTACCAAGGAAATAAAGGCAAATAGACCACACAATCATGCAGTAAAACATAGGGTTCCTTCACCAAATATGATGTGTGAGTGTATGTGTATACCTGATTGGGAAAATGTATAAGCAAAATGTTGGTGAACCTTGTAAGTGATTAAATTTCATGTTAAAATAGTTTTATTTGCATCTTAACATGCATGCCTATTAAAACAATTTGCCTCAAATCTTGACTATTTAAGGGTCAAGGATCAATCAGTTTGCCGATAAATATTGTTTAGGTTGAGCAGACCTCTGAAATGAATTCACCTTCCCGTGATGACTTAATAATTTGGAAGTAACTAATGAATATTTCACCAAAGTGGAGGTGGGAGGAAAGAGGTATAGAGAAGAGCATATCTGCACCCCTCTAAAGCTGATTCAAGGACCTGGAGCCTGAGACTCCAGTAGTTCCCGTGTTCAAAGAGACTGGATTCAGCAGGTGCCACAAGACTGAGCCTCCCTGCAGAAGTGAATGGCTCCCAAGTTTCTTCTCTGTGTAAACAAGGTCAGTGAAGTTAACCAACAAGCTGGTTAGATATTGATAAAGTAAAATTTGATGTAAATTTAATTTTAGAGCATTATAAACGAGGCTGCATTTTCTTAAGCAAATGTTTGAATTAATACCGAATGAATTGTAACTACATTTTAAGATCCATATTGCATAGTATATATAACTCCTTATATTTAAATATTAATATACTGTAGATGACTTCCAAGCCTTATGCTAAAGCCTAATAAAAAGCCCAAAAGTTTTCTCTTAAATCAAAAAGTTGCTGCAAATTATTTCAGGTTTGATGCCTTTTTCAAGTACATTTCAAAAAAAGAGCCTGTATTAGTCTACCTTTCTATAGCAGTGGGTTTTAAATGATGCAAAAGTATGGGAAAAATCCAAATGGAAATTCAGCAATCTTATGTGAAAATTAAATCTTTTTGTATAAAATATGAATTAGAAAAGCAACATTTCACAGCATTAGTTTTGAGTTTTAATTCAATTGGAGGAATCAGAAAGGGCTTATTGTCTTCAAGGGGAGATGACCTGAAGGGGTTGGGCAAAAGGGCAATGTGACTTAGAAAGAAAAAGTGATTACATTAATTTTAATGGCACAATAGCAGTTTTCAATAAGCTTTATGACAGCAGAAAAGATTGATTTTTTTTGTGCTAAAACGTGCAGTGTCCTAAACTGCATTTTGCCAGAAGTCTAATACCTATAATTTATTGTATCCCATATTCTCAATGTTAAAACAGGAAAGAAGGCAAAAATCTGAGGGCTTAAAATATAATGGACTATAGATTCATTGCTAAAACTCAGTTGGAGCTGAAAATTTCCTTTTAATTTTGAAATGCACTTAACAAGAATTAAAAGGCACAGGAATAGCTATAAAATGGTGTCAGGACAGTGTGTTTCCCACATTCCTTCTGTAAGAAATGATTTGAGTTTCCTGAATCAAAAAGTGGGAGTAAAGAGCCTTGAGCTTAAATAGAAGACATGCTGTTCTGAAAGAGAACTCCAGTCTATTTGAAACATTTTGCTAGGCTATGAGAGGGCAGGAACCACATTATTCTCAGGTAAACTTACTTTCCAGCCTAGCCATCAACATCCCCCTCTTGTTTCCTGGTCCTTGTTTATAGCCTGCAGTCAGAATTACACTCTCCAGGTTTTCTCTGCTATTCACCAATGCCTTGGACACTACAAAATGTTTCTTTTCGGAATTTTTTTTCTGCCTATCAGATATATGGTCTTGGTAACCATAGTAATGATTTTGATTGAAACTTTAAGGAAATATGGAAAAACCTAAAAATCTTATCCAGAGATGACCTAGATCTTTTGGGTTTCTTCAAGCTTAGTATAAGCCAAGCTTGTCCAACCCACGGCCCACGGGCTGCATGTGGCACAACACAAATTTGTAAACTTTCTTAAAACATTATGAGATATTTTTGCAATTTTTTTAGCTCATCAGTTATCGTTTATGTTAATGTATTTTATGTGTGGCCCAAGACAATGCTTTGTATTCCAATGTAGCGCAGGGAAGCCAAAAGATTGGACACCCCTGGTAAGCCATCACTATAAAGTAGCTGCTAAAAGTTATATAAATAAGACTGTCAATAGACATTATTGTTCAGATGAGAAGTAATATTTTATGCAGTGTAAAAGGGACAATGATAATTAGAGTACCTTCAAAGGAGCAAAGAGGATAAAAAGTTAGAAGTCATGCCATGTAAAGATTCTCTTAGAATCCCCAAAGTGCCTTCTGTTGAGAAAAGATTTGGGAGAAGGTGGTGGAAGGGATTAAAAAGCAGCTTCATATACCTGAACAGTTTTCATTCAGAGAAAGTGTTAGCGTTCTGGTTAGCTTCTGATGGCAGGTCCAAGACAAAGAGGTGGAAGTTAGGAGGAGGCAGATTGTTACTCATTATTGAGGACTATATGACAGTCAGGGTTGTTTTGTGATAGAAGGCATAGTTTCAAAACCATGTGATCGCCCATCACTGGAAGGCTTCAAGAAGAAACTAGATGTTCTAGGGGAGTAAAATGATTCTAGTAATGACATAATGACAACACAAATGGTTTTTTACTTATCCTTAGCACCTAGTCATTGTGGTTTATCTTTTAGACTTACCAAAAGAAGAAATTGTTATAAAAAAAAGAAATTGTCACAGTTTTATTTTATAAACATGTAATTATACGTCTCACACATGTATCACAGAATATCCCCAAATACATAATTTTTTAATTTAACAGATATTTATCCAACAGCCATTATGTCCAGGTATTTGGCTAGATGGTAGGGATAAAATAGGGAACAAGAACAAAAAAGGTCCTGGGCCTGTGGGGATTCTCTTCTGGTGGCGGTAGTCTCCTGTTTCATAAGCAATAAGCAAGGGAGGGTTACCTGTTATTATTGAGGCACTAGATAAGCATACTAGCTCAGGGATTTGTGTATGTAGAAGCAGGTGACCTATAAAGTACTTTTTCTGAAGATGTAAAATCCAAGTGAGTCATGCAGGCTAAATGGTAGGCTAGCTGGATGAAAGGAATTGAAGGGTTAGAGAAAGGGACTCAACAAGAATATTTCAGGCAGAGGGAACAGTATTTGTGAAACCACAAAGATGAAAAAGGAGTGAGAGACATATAAACACCACATGTGTTTTAGGAACTAACAGAAATTCAGTAGCTATATGACAAAGCTTCCTGACACCTACAACTTTCTTTTAAACATTGCATCACGTTGCTGAGCACATGAGCTGTTAAATAAAATATTTGTTGTATAAAAATGGACTCATAGGTATCTTGAGTGGGGAGATGGTGTTAATGGTAGTTAGAGTCTTACAAAGGTTAAACAAGGAAGATCACATAGGGCCTATGATATAGTTTGGATCTGCGTCTCCACTCAAATCTCGTGTTGAATTATAATCCCCAGTGTTGGAGGTGGGGTCTGGTGGGAGGTGATTGGATCACGGAAGTAGATTACAAGCGAGAGCCACTGCGCACGGCGGCTTCAGGATTATTTTTAAAAACTGAGGTTCAGTTAAGAGAAAAAAGAAAAGAGAGGCCTAATTACACATATTTAATACTATGGAGATGAATAGGCATTTAAAGAACATGGGTTATCATTTCATGCACAAAAAGACACCATTTGCTGAATTATACCCTAGTGCCCTGCCCCGGAAGAGTTAATTTACCCAACATAGGTAAACAGTTTCCTCACAGAAATAGTTTTCTCTTTTTAAACCCAGGATATCATTTGAATAAAAGAAAGGGTGAAAAAAATGGACAGAAGCTTTCTTTTTTGTATTTATTACTTTTAATATTAATCTCAGTAATTGCTGTGATAGATTTATTCCTGATAAAATGGTGGATTCTTTGTTTTCAGAGTTAACTTCTTATTTTCTTTTTACATATATATTAGTCTTTCACAGGGTAGCCAATTAATCTTCAGCATCAAATTAGCAACCCATCAAACATTTGTGTCATTAAAAACAGTCACTGGTAAATCTAGAATAAAGTGGTGCTTAACTAAATTCATTCCTAAATCGGAATCATTGTTCATGTCAACTCAAGTTAATTCAGCATCGATATAGTTGACTGATAGAATTATCATTTATACCTCACTTCTAATAAAGAATTTGATTTGTTCACAATAAATAATGTATCCGCTACTAGGACATTCCCTTTAATCTTGCATTAAAACTGTAGCTAAGGAAAGCATCTTAATGTAGTAGGATGCAGCTAGCAGAGGCAACATAGAGAAATGATATTGCAACATCGCGACAGATAACAAAACAAACTCTTCAATGCAAGCATAAGAAAATTTAAATGTCAATACTCATGAACAGTATTGACATTGTATAGTAGAATATGGATGAATTATAAAAGTGGCACAGAAATTAATATAAGCCTATCACTTAGCTGTTCAGTGTAAAATAATATAACAATTAAAATAATTGTTATTTGTTATACACATATAATATTTAGATCAATTATCTTCCAAGGTTTAAGTGATCATTGTCATAAATAGATATTACAAATCCAGCATGCTGATTTTCATTTATACAGACTCAGAATACTAAGATCCAGTTCAAGAGCCATCTCTATCCTAGGAAAACAATTTTCTTTGTGGCCCAAGTCCCATTTTTCCATCCATCAATTTCAACTATCATTCTGGAAATCTTAGTTCTCTTTAAATTTTGTTCAATTTACATTTAGAACCATTATGGGGGATCATAGGGAATTCTGGAAGAAATCTTATATCTAGAAAGAGCTCATAATCCTAAGAGTTATGGGAGCTTAGAAAAATTCCTTATTATAGGGGAAATTGTGTGCTCCAGAAAGATTTCTTTAATTTTGAAATTTTATGCTTTAATAGTAAAAAAAAAAAGGCATAAAATTCAGTGATGGCAATATCTTCAGCCCTCTAGTTGTATATACTTCATTGTACCCACTATTTTTGACACAGATTTTTACATCTAAAACTCTATTTTACATCTAAAACGTAAGATTAAGGATGCATAGATCTGAGCTGGGAGGTGATTATTATAAGCAGTCATACATTTACTTTCTCCTAACTCAACTGTATTCACTACCAATTTAGTTCATTATGAAAAACTTAGATACCCTAAAATTAGGCATAATAATTAAATAGTTAAATTAGTTAGACATGGCAAGTGGTTATTTATTAATTTCACTATTCCTTTAACAATTTAGCTGAAGTTTATCTGTAAAGAAAGTAACTTTTCTTGGCCAGATGCAGTGGCTCACACCCATAATCCCAACACTTTGGGAGGACAAGGTGGGAGGATCACTTGAGCCCAGGAGTTTGAGACCAGCCTGGGCAACATGGTGAAACCCCATCTCTACAAAAAAAAAAAAAAACAAAAAAAATTAGCTGAGCGTGATGGTGCACACCAGCTACTCAGGAGGGTGAGGCTGAACCCAGAAGTTTGAGGCTGCAATGAGCCATGATTGCATCACTGCACTCCAGCCTGGGTGACAGGGTAAGACCCTATCTTGAAGAAGAAAATAACTTGTCTTCTCAACTATAACTATTTGTTTACCCTGAAATACAGTTAGTATGAAAGGAGTGGAATAAGTTGCAGTTATTTTCAATAGTTTCCAATGAGTTATTTGCTTGCTTGTCATTTGGTTTTCTATTTATTCGAGAATCATCATGAACCTACAGAGGTTTATATATTCAATATGTTTTAGTAACTGGCATTTATTTTTATTTTTGTTTCTCAGTCACATCTTTGGTAGATATGAGCCCTTTCAAGTTGGTCCCTCTGTCCATTTGACAAAAGCTCATACAATTTCTAACCCAATCTGGAATTAGCCATTCATCAAAGGAGCTGTTGTTCCCTTTGTGGGGATAGCACTTAGAAACTATAAACTGGGCACAATAATAGGGAATGATATGTGTATTTTCTCATCATATTTTTTCAGGGTCCATGTTGATAATTTTTATTGATAATTTTTTTCCAATACATGTATTATAACTGCTATAGAAGCAAATATACTCTTTGTGCTTTTTAATTTATTGCCCTTAATTCATTATCTAGTTACATTTTTCTAAATTATTTTCATTATCATCACTTCAGGAATCAACAGAAGTACACTATATAAGTTCAGTATATAACATAGAAGTAAATTATTAAACTCATTTTACCTAAGAGTAAAAAAATCAGCTAATATCCTCATTAATGAAAGCTCTCAGATTGATAATATCACAAAAAAAGAAATGAGAAGGAAAGGTTGTAAGAGCAAATTTTAAAAGTGAAGTGGTAAACTGTATGCTCTGGAAGATGGTAATAGTTGCCTTCAATGCCTCTTTTCTTACCATTTCCCTGGGCATTGGCAGTTACGGTAGCAGCAACATATGTGATTCTGGTCCAGGATCCTTTTTTCTTTATAAAAGGTAACTTAAATAATTTTTATAATTTATTTAGGGAAAGACCCCCCTATAAAATGTTCCTTTTGCTATTCCAATTGGACCAAAATTAAAACAATGCCAGAAAAAGTCTCAGAAAATTTAAAGCTTGAGAAGACATTAAGAAATATCTAGGCAAACCCTTGAAGAGGAATCTGGCAGTCAAATCATTTGTTACTATCACAAAGCACAGGGATCCAGCAGTATCACGAATTCAGCTCATGCTTCTCAACCATTACGTGTTCCCCTCTAGTGAGAAAACAAACTTATTTGCTATGTTGTTTCAGTTTTTTATATCTCCTAAAATACTATAATGAGAGAATTGGCCTTACTATTTCAGGTATTTTTAACAACCATAATATTCTCTTCATATTTTAATATAGTTTCTAAAAGTATGTATAGAATACAAAAATTAAAAGATGAAATGCAACAAATCCTGGCCAGGTGCAGTGGCTCATGCCTGTAATACCACCACTTTGGGAGGCTGAGGTAGGCAGATCACTTGAGGGCAGGAGTTCAAGACCAGCCTGGGCAACATGGCAAAACCTCATCTCTACTAAAAACACAAAAACTAGCTGGGATTGGTGGTGCACACCTGTAATCCCAGCTATTTGGGAGGCTGAGGCAGGAGGATCACTTGAACCAGGGAGGCAGAGGTTGCAGTAAGCTGAGATCGTGCCACTGCACTCTAGCCTGGGCAACAGAGCAAGACTCTGTCTCAAAAACAAACAAACAAACAAACAAAAACACAGAAATACAACTAATCCTAAAAATAGTGTCTGTTATCTGAGAAATTTCTATAGTATGTAAATATGTAATTGTTACTTAACTAGGATGTTTTTCTTTCTTAAGACATGTTCACAATTCTGTGAATCATCATTGCTTTGTTTGCAGGAGATATGAGTAATCACATTGTGTTGTCTTATTAAACAATTTTGAAAGTGACCCAAATTCAATCACTGACATACAAAAAGAAAATTTCTTTCCAGATATCAGTCTGACTTTCATCCTTCAAAGAACACTGACATTTTATGTTGATAGTTTAGTAGAAATTCCAGAGCCCAAGGCTGTTTTACAGCAGCTGCTTTATTGATCCAGACCACATTTAGTTATTTGTCATAGTCTTTTCTAGAAACTTAACTTGCTTGTGTTCAGAGGTGGAAGAAAAGAGCAACAAATACTTGTTGTTGCCTCATAGCAAAATAAAGTGCAAGCTCTGCTATTATCCAGTGACTTGAGATTTTCACCATCTTTGATCAAATATTTCAATAAAGTACAGATTTTTAAAATTGCTTAGTGGATAAGCACTACAGAAAAAAATGCATTATAAGTTTAATGATACGGTCTCTAGATTTACATAGACAGAATACTTTATGAGCTATGTAAATCTTGGGCACATTCCTTAGTGTCTACAACCTTTAGTTTCCTCATTTGTAAAATCAGTATAACAATAGGTGCTCTGTAATAATATTATTCTGAGATGATGCATGTACCATGACTGGCTCATAAAAAATTTTCAATAAGGATTAGTTATAATTATTAAAATTAGTAATGTAGAGAGAATTATACTACTAATGTTAATAATAGCCGCTTCCCATATCAACTCAGTTCATTGGTTTACATGAAGTTTCAGAAAAATAAGTCTTAAAAAATTTATTATTATTAGTTGGTGATAAAAATTGAAAGTAAAGAAAAGGAATTAAAATGTGTTTGGTGTGATAAAGGTTGTTTTCACAAGTATCTTGGTTGTATCTAATTTAATCTTTCCAAAACCCTGTGAGATAGCATTAACTGCTCAAGGTCACATAGCAGGTTTCTTTTCATAGTTAAGCTCATGGTAGGTAAAATAAAGGCAATAATGCATTTAGAAGAGATTATACATATTCTCTACTTGGTGGCTAGCTTATGCATGCAATGATCACAAATGACAATAGATGTCCCAACTCAATACAATAATTTCTTTAATGTAAATTCTCTCTTGTTCATGACCAGCCTGAGGAACACAGTGAGACCCCATCTCTACAAAAAATACAAAAATTAGTTGGGTGTGCTGGCACACCTGTAGTTCCAGCTAGTTGCTCAGGAGGCTGAGGTGGGAGGATCGCTTGAACTTAGGAGGCAGAGGTACCAGTGAGCCAAGATGGCACCACTGCACTCCAGCCTGGGCAAAAGAGCAAGAATCTGTCTAAAAGAAAAAAAAAAATCCCTCTTAAGTAAAATAAGTGTATTTCCTTTTAAAGACAAACATTCAAAAGAACAAGACAACCAATAATTATTTAATTTTACCTGTGTAACATGAAACTTATAGCTGCACTCTAACTCCACTATTTAACTATAACTAAATACATTGTTTATATATGCATATACACATATTTGTATGTATATAGTGAAAGTGTGTTTTTCAAATTCAGATACTTCTGCAGTAAAATTTGCTGCTGAGTGCCTGCGAGAGTCCCAGAAAGTGTGTAGACAAATGTAAAAGACCTACTAACACTAGAAAAGAGGTACGGACAAGGTGGCCAGAGAAATTCTGATATATCTCAGACATTATATCCTCTAAAACTTGCAGCATAAACCTGAAGTGAAGTCATTTAGATGACATATAGTATTAAGGTCTTTAATATTTAGACATTTGAAGGTGCAAAGAATTTTCACTCTTTTAAGAAATACTGGTCATGTTGAGATCTTATGGAGAAAATATATCATTCTTTTACCATGTTACAGGCTGTGCTGCATATTTTGATACTCAAATTAAAATTTTAGGTTCCCCATATGACATACTTTAAAATTAAATAATGGTAATGCTAATGTAGTACTCTCTTACATTGAGTCAGATAGGTTCTATGTGAACACTATCTCTGTTAGTCCTAACTATACCATGAGATTATCTATTAATATCATCGTCTTGTACTTGAGAAAAACTAATATTGAAAGAGGAAAGTAACCCAAACAGGTTCACACAGATAATCAGTATTGGGTTTGTGCAAACAGAAGAATTTGTGAACATTTAAAACTAAGAAATGACAAAGCAGAGGAAAATAAAGATTAGAGTGTGAGATTTTGCACAAAACTCGAACTGAACAATATGAGTATCTAAAGCATTTGAAAATGATAGTCACTAAATAGGAAGTTTAAAATTATAAAGTATTATACAAATTAGAATAAATACAATGATACATTCAGGCTTATGCAATATATTTAATAAAGCCTTAACTTTGACTGTACTTCTTTGCTTTTGGAGATTAAAAAAGAAACACAATGTGAACCCCTCTAATGATTTCAAATATTTAGGAAGGTCATACACAAATGATGGAAGAAGGGCATAAAATTAAAATTAAAAGATAAAAAAAGAATATGTATTGACTTTTAAGAATAGTGTCATCAGAGTTCAATTTTACAGACACCATTAGAGACAGTGTAAGTACTTACCTTCCAAATCTAGTACTCTCCAAAATGAAAAGCATGAATGAAGGAAGATCAATACAGAACAGATTATAGCAAGAAAGCACTTGGCCACTTCAAATAAGTGCCAGCCTCTGAGCCCAAACTAACTAAATTCCAATACACCAAAGGAACTGAAGCCTGGTGTTCTTTATTTGCCAGATATTAAGTGAAGAGTCAATGACCAAAAGATGAGTGTTTCATAGCATTTTGAAACTCAATGTCTACTGCAAAGAATCTAGGAAAATTGGAGGCAAGTTGTAATACAGGAAACAGGCAAGAAAGGGGAAATCCTGAAATCTATTTTGTGAAGATATTCTTCAATCTCTGCCACATAATGAGGCAAAGATTTCCTCTATTGTTCTATTTTTTCATGTGTAGGTTCTTATTGTATTGCAATTATTAATTTTGTAGTTAACCTTTGATAATACACACACACACACACACACACACTTCTCTTTCACAAGGACATATAGAGTATCAGTTTATTCTTGCATATTTTGTAGGATGTGGGTCTTCAAGATTGGAAGTCTTTGTCAGAAGACAACAAATAGTGATTTAAATAAGATTGAAAATTTATTCTACTTTTACTTCAACGTCTGAATTGGTAGGGGGGATAAGCCACCAGGGGATAAGGGAGCTCTCCTCCATGAGGTTATCCAGGAACCCCAATTCCATGTGTTTTTTTCATTCCATCATCACTTAAAGTGTGGCCTCTCTCTTCATGGTCAGGACCAGCTGGCTCTCACTGTGTCCACAGTTTAGCCAGTGAATAGGAGGTGAAGCACAAGTTGCTTTCTTTTAAGCTTTTGTGACAAACGGCACATATCCCTCCACACTCAGCTTCTACTGAGCAAAAGTTAATTACATGAGCATTTCTAGCTGCATGGTATATACATTAGCAAATGTAATCTCTAGTTAAGCAGCCATGTGACTGTTAAGTGTAGGGGATACTGTGCTTAAGAAACGGGAATAGGCATTAGGAAATCAATGAGCCGTCTCTGCCATATCATAGTAAGGAAAAAAATTTCCTAAAGGCAGCATAATCTTATAAGAATTATCTGGGTCAAAACAATGATGACTTTTTAAAATTACAATGCATTACAGTTTTTGGTTCCTGATAATGAGTCCACTACTATCTGTTCCCATTCTGCAAATCCATTTACCTGTTTTGCAACTCCCTTGCCCACAAAAAGAAGTATGTGTCAAGGGATACATCAGACATAAATTCCTGCTGTTATACAACTAACAGACATCACAACTATCAAAATTTCCCAATGGATTAAGCTCCAAATCCTAAGTATGTAAGGAAATGCAGTATGGAGAAAAAGGAAATCTTATGAGAATAGTTCTTAAGAGATAAAATTAAGAATCGTATCTGTTCTTTAATATAATTCTCATTTTCTTTAAATTTGTGATTGGACTCGTTGATTTTTAAAATTTCTAACAGATCTCCTATTCCATTAAATAATAGTTTGATATCTTTAATGATTTAGTGTACTGCTAGAGAGGTTAACTGCTTAAATCTAACATTTTTTAAAACAAATTTGCTAACACTTTTAAATATTCACTTTTATTTGAGACACAGTCTCGCTCCATTACCCAGGGTGGAATGTAATGGCGTGATCTCCGCTCACTGCAACCTCCACTTCCCAGGTTTAAGCGATTCTCCTGCCTCAGCCTCTGGAGTGCTGGGATTACAGGCACCCACCACCACACCCAGCTAATTTTTTGTATTTTTTGTAGAGATGGGGGGTTTCACCATGTTGGCCAGGCTATTCTTGAACTTCTGACCTCAGTGATCCACTCTCCTTGACCTCCCAAAGTGCTGGGATTACAGGTGTAAGCCACCACGCCCGGCCTAAATATTCACATTTTAAGGCAGATTCCATGAATTAAAACAAATGCTCATGTGAAATCATTAAGTTTAGTGGTATTAAGATGATATAAACATATGTCTATTTTTTAACTGAATCTTTATACCAGATTTAATTTCTTTTTTGTTGTGTTCTATAAAGTAAAAGGTAGTACAAATAATTATATTGTCCACAAATAGTGACTCTATAATTTCCACTCGGAGCCTATTAGAATACCTGACCTCGAAGATGCTGTTAATGCAGTTTTGAAATTTAATTTTCATGTATTGATTTTCTCCTAAGGGATAAGCACTATTCCAAATGGAAAATATGATTTGTAGTTTATGCTTTAGTAGCAAAAAAGCCTAGAGCTAATTTTAATAAAATAAGATCTGATTATAAAATAAAATTAAAATCAGAATTAACTTTTATTTGTAATCATGCTGGTTGTTGGAGTAAATCAGTTAAGGTCATTTGGGCAGGTGATTAATGCTTGGGGAGGGGCTGAATAATGATCTGCTTTCATTTGAGATATTGTTTAAATTAAGACAGTTGTTTCACCTTATAAAATTAATCTCTTCATTGAGTAAATAGAGTTACTTAGCACAGTTTAAACATTGTTAGAGAAGTAAATGAGATTTCTAAATTATCTTTTATAAACCAACATAACTGGTCTTGGAGGCGGAAGCACCATTATGTTTTTTATAAATTAATGTAACTTAAATAAGTGAAATTGTAAAGAACATCTCTGAGCACTCAGACATCAAAATCATCTCTCCTTCATCTTAGCACCCAACCTTCCTGGGATCTTATTGTTGTACTCTAGTCGTGTGTGTGCTTCCTTCATTATTCATTATTCTCTTCAGTGCCAAGTACAGTCTATGAAACATGGTAGGCACTCAACAAGAATGTGTGAAATTAACCTGAACTGGATCTTAAAAGAATAGATGAAGTTTAAATTACAACTCTGCATTATATTCACTAAAATATAAAATTTTACCTATCTTGTCTTGTATATTTGTGTATCTCTTGTATATTTGTCCAGTTTCTTTATGACCTAATACTCTTTTCTCTTATAAGCTAAGGGTAAATTGCTTTGTTAAAGTGTCTTTTAGCAAATTTGGACTTTTACATTATTAGTAGTAGTAGTCATACTGGCTTTATTTATTTTTTCCATTGAAATAGTTTTCTATTGAAATCTCTGCTCTGGTATATACAAGGAGGGGGATTCTTTCCCAATGTTTTCTGATCTCTTCTGCTTTTCACTGCATATTTGGAGCTTCTTACTTAATCTGTGCCATCCCCATGTTTCTGTCCAAGGGGAATGACAGTGTCTTTCTGGAAGCCCCAACACTTTTCAATGCCTGGCATCTAGTAGGCACTTGCTGATATCTTCAAAAAATACAATAATTATAAGTTACAAAATTTTATTTGTATCATGATTTGGGCAATACTTAACATTTACAATACCTACCAATTACGAGACAGCTAAGAGAGACAATAATATAATACAGAAGAAGGGAATATATCCTGATATTGGCCACAGAAGTTGACCCTGAGATTCACCTTGGCAATGTGTTCACTGAAGATTTCAATCTATAAGTATATACAGTGTGCTTATTCTGCTGTTTTCCATCTGTGCTGCTCCCAGGAGCAAAGCACACCTGCACTGAGGCCAATGTACAATTTTGTGATGTTATTAAAGCCTTTCCCTGTGTTCAGGACATCCTTGAACCCTTCTGGCAGCCAGAAGGAGCTGCTTACAGCACTCTTTCCTTAAGGGACTGCCAACAGAATAAAGAAACTCAAAGTTTCTTATTTTTATGGCCACAGAATGAAACTTGCTAAGGTTTATTATTTATAAGATGTAAATATGGAATTTGTGTGCAAAAGGTCAGAAACAATCATCTATATATATTCCAAGCAAGTTAATCTTAAATGTAATTTTTTCAAATTCAAAAGAAGCTTATTGAATTTTGATGAAATATAAATGTTTTAATTTACTTAATTTAAGACATAAGGTCTATTTTTCCTCTCATGAAAGACCAGTATAATTTAAACCATCCTTTTAAGAGCTGATCTGGCTTCACTTTTATAAGACACCATTTTCAAATTAAACTTTTTTATATCTTATCAATATGTCTAGACTCCATCAGTGCAGTGTTTTTAATGATTCAACTGATTCTGTTTACAGGGTAGAACCCACTCTTATTTCTGAATTTCACATCTGAGGACACTTCATTACATTTCCTCAATAGTGATTTCCTGCCAACAAAATCAACCAACTGATAAAACACATTAAAGAATTATTTGTTATTCTGACAACTGGCTTGCTTGTAAAAATTGCAATTAATTCTTACTTACAGTTTTATTGCCAGTTGGTCTTCCCCTTGTGAACAATCTCTTTAATTTTATCTTTAAAATATTTCTGCAGTTATATAATAAACACAAACTATGACTTAAAAACTTCTAGTTTTTAAACGTTAATCAGAATTTGTAAATTGCATTTCAAAAATAGTTTATTTGAATTCAATGTGTTAGTTGCTGTGCAATAACATAATATTTGGTCATACAATGCAAAACAACATCACAGATGCAATAAATCTAAGAGGAACTAGGTGGATAAAGTAAGATCATAATCACTATGTACACCTAAATGTAGAACTTGCATTTTAGAAGAGTTGTTGTCTATTACACAGCTTCTCGGTTATGACTCAGAGCCTCACCCTATGCTTTCTCCCTGCTTGATTTCCCTACAAAATCCTACCTTTCAGTTGGTATTTATTTATCATTTCCCTCAAACTGTAGCTCTTCCAGAAAGTATTCCTGGCAGGCCTGTACTGTAAATGAAAGCTCCTAAAATCAAACAGTAAAATTTCAAAATGTGAGGCAAAGCAAAAGGAATAAAAGTAATCAAGCCAACATTCTCATCTCAGTGTGCAGGAACAATGGAGACAGGCAGGGATTCTGTCAAACTTAAGATGTTCTGGCCCATTCCAGAAGACTACTTGCTGCTTCCCTCTCAGTAGGACCATCTTGTTTACGTAATTTGTGGGTAGCAGAGAAAAATAAAGATGCCGAGCCCCTTGTTCGAGAAGCAGAAAAGGCTTTTTTTCCTTTTTCTCTGTGGTTTCTCTCGTGACTTGTTATGGTATATTGTTGTTTAATTCTGTACTCCTTCAGGCACAGAAATACTCACAGGCCTTGTGCAGATCCTTCCAATTGCCAAGAGTGTGGCCCAGCGACTTGGTGCCTGGAGTGTGCATGCCTGACCTTGACCCTCCCTGCACCCAGGCCCAGGCCTCTAAAGAGGATGGTTGGTGACTAGGGTCTCTGGACAGGGTCAAGGAAGTGGGCATGGCAGCGAGCCGTGTGGCTTAAGCAGCCACACTTAAGCCGAAACTCCAAGCCTCTAGTGCATGCTCAGTTGCCCCACTTGGCTTCACTTACAAAACAAAATTTCAAAGATAAAGTTACAGGCCAGGCACGGTGGCTCATGCCTGTAATCCCAGCACTTTGGGAGGCTGAGGCGGGCAGATCATGAGGTCAGGAGATCGAGACCATCCTGGCTAGCACGGTGAAACCCCGTCTCTACTAAAAATACAAAAAAAATTAGCCGGGCATAGTAGCGGGTGCCTGTAGTCCCAGCTAGCTACTCGGGAGGCTGAGGCAGGAGAACGGCGTGAACCCAAGAGGCAGAGGTTGCGGCGAGCCGAGATGGCGCCACTGCACTCCAGTCTGGGCGACAGAACAAGACTCTGTCTCAAAAAAAAACAAAACAAAAACAAAACAAAACAAAACCAAAAACAAAGATAGTTATTATCAATTCCAAGGCAGCATCAAACCCCAAGCATGGGACATACTTCCGGGCATGGATCCCTGTGGGACTGTGTGGTTCATAAGCCCACGAAACAGGCCGTGACTCTAGATGATTGTTGTAGGAAGATTTGTGAGGAAGAGGTGAGTAGGAGAAGGGATGAGTGAGTAGAAGTAGGGATGGAGGATGACATCATTGACATTCAGTCTTTTCCAGATTTGAGCTGGGTCTTAAGGCTAGAATGATGTCACTATTACATCCTATCTCATAACAACACCAGTAAGCTGTGATCTTTCTTCTCAATCACTGACACACTACAGATTAAGGAATGAAATCAAAGGATATACTGAATGGCTAGTTGGGCCAAGTGAGGCCATCTGTTTCAGCATGATCACCAGTAGCTACTGGGAGCTGCAGAGCTCCAAGTTGCCAGCTGTGAGCAGAGATTATTATTTTCTCACCATTATCTTCATCAGGGGCCCTGCTGGTCTCAATGCTGCTTAAACCTCCTTGTGCTTAGGATCGGCTTTTAAAATATGTTTTAAATAAAGTATATGTTAACACTGCACATACTGGGAAGAGTTGTCTCTTGGGTTGGTAGCGTTTTCTGCTTCCAATCAATATCTTTTTCTTTTTTTCAAAACAAAAAATCTTTCCCTCCTATGTTTTCAGGCTGTAATTGTTTCCCATTGTTTTTAGATTAAAGTCTAATTGTTCTTTGCAGACATCTTTATTTAGCTTTCCCGTATTCCTCCTATATGTCATCTATATTCACAATCTCTCTTAGGAACCACCGTTTGCCAATATCATAACCCTTAATGACGGCACATGGCCTTTTTCCTTATATATTATTTTCCCTATTAGTTTTAAGCTCTTGAAAGGAAAAATGTTCTCTTATTTATTATTGAATCCCTAGGGCCTCATGGTGACTGCCACATCAGAAGCTCAATAAATATTAGTCGAGTGAATGAATATTGATTTAAGAATTTTGCCTATGGAGGAACATGTACTATAATCTCATGAGATTTCGGAGAAAGAAAACACTAAGAATATTCATTACAGAATGAAATGCATCATAACCCCAATAGTAGCAGCTGGCACAACTGCTTCTCTCTCTATTCTCCCTATTTGGCACAACAGTGGAGTGGGTATGGTGATTGAATGTCCATCAGCCCAGCTTCATGATCTTTTGGAGCCATTTAGACTCCTCAACAGGCTCCATCAATGGAAGGTCTGCTGCAGCCACAGCTGCTACTCTTTCCACTTTGAAGGCTGCTTTCCATCGCATTGGCTGGATCACATCAAAGGCACTTTAAAACATGGGAGCAGCTGCTGTAACATCTGCCACAACCTGACAGTGGACCTTTCCCAAGAAGGCTCATCAATTTTAAAGCACTTTCACAGCAAAATGCAGAACAAAACGAAGAATCTGAGAGCAGAGGTGGCTGTACTAGATATCCAATACCTTAAAAATCTGTGCCTGCTTGTTCAGCTTTCGTGTACTCACTAGTAAAAAGTGCTTTCAAAGAACAGTGATCATAGTTACAGCTACCATGTACCTGGCTTTGACTCTGTTAGTTGATATTTATGGGGGGATAGTATGACACCACACTGAAATATAGATCACTGTTGTCCTTTAGACCAAAATTGTCAACATTTTAGTTTTCCAGGTCCAGACCTCACAATTTTTCTGTGCCTATATACAGACTGTAACAGAATTAATATAATAAAATCCACAAATTAACTGCTTCTTTTATTTTAAAGAAAGGGGCTGGGCCTTGTGGCTCACATCTGTAATCCCAGCACTTTGGGAGGCCGAAGCGGGAGGATTGCTTCAGCACAGGAGTTCGAGACCAGCCTGAATAACATAGTGACACGTCGTCTTTATTTTTTTTCAAAAAAGGAAATTTTATATCACTAGAACAAATGGAAAAAATGAACAAAATTTTCATAAATAGAAACTATAAAAATAAACAATGGAACTCGATGTAATCAACTAAAAATGAACATGAAAAACAAAATTTAAAATAAAGAAAATAATAAGATAATCTGTGGCAATGTCCCTTTTATCTTAAGACAAATGAGAAGATCTTTATTAAGAATAAAACTATTTATGTGCATGTATATGTTAATGACATCTGAGAATTGCATCTCACATGTGTATTCTTTTGGAAAAAAATATTTAACCATCTCCATGGATAGAGTTGTCGTAGTGGAGGACATTACTGCCCCACTCCTCTGGGGGAGTTTTTAATAAATGGACATTTTCCATAAACATGCCCCAGCCTCTCTTAGCCTCACAATTTTCTTTGCCATAGGAAAGGTAGAGAAATGTATCCAGGTGGGGAGTTGTCTTAAAAACAATATATGTGTAAATGAATGTAGAGAGCCACTTCTGTCTTTTTCTTAGGAGCAGGTATGGCCTCAGAGATCTCTGCTCCTCTTGGGAAGTATATCTCTTCTGTGGCATCTGTTCTTCAGAGATGCCGGTGGTATCAGAGGAATAAAGATTTGGCTCTGCTAATTTGGGGGCTGGTTTTCTCCATCAAGAACCTGGTCCTCCTTCAGAGTGAAGTATTATTTAGTTTCAGCAAGAAGTTAGTTAAATATGACTAATATTGAGATATAATATGGGGCTCAACCAATTAGCTAATATTGTTTTAAATTATGTCCTCCAGTCTGAAGTACTAAAAATAATGTACTGATTTTCTATCTATTGTTTTTTATTTCTCAAAATTGTTCAAAACTGAATGAGAAAGAGGGCCACTATTTTGGGAAGTGGTCCTTTGTGACTCTCAACTTACTGAACAGTAAGAACTTATTTCTGCTATGTCCCCTCCAAAACTCATGTTGAAATTTAATTGCCATTGGGAAGGTATTAGGAGATGGAACTAAGAGGTGATCAGTCCATGAGGGCTCCACTTTCATGTTTGGATTAATATTATTATTGCAGGAGTGAGTTAATTATCATGAGAGCAGGTTGTTATAAAAGTGAGTTTAGGCCTCTCTCTCTCACCTGTGCTCTCTTGCCTTTCCAATTTCTGCCATGGGATAACACTGCACAAGGTCCCTCAGCAGATGCCAGTGCCATGTTCTTGGACTTCCTAGCTGCCAGAACTATAAGCCAAATAAATTTCTGTTCATTATAAGTTACTCAATCTGTGTTATCCTGTTATAAGCAACACAAAATAGACTAAGACAATTTCTAACAAGAATAATATGATTTTATTGAACTTCCTTACTCCCATAAACCAGGTGAAATGATTTCTAGAATTATTTTTTCTTCTGAATATGTTCATTTATTTGGTTATATCTGAAAGTTGATGGTAGAGATATTTCTTATCTGCTCCTATCTAATTTAGGTAAATATTTAAGGGTAATTTATCAAGGTTTTACAGTGCTTCTCTATAATGTTAAAATATTCTCAGGGAATTTTGCAGATAAGTTAATAATGAAGTAATTCAAAGAGCAAAAATGTATAAAACACTTTTGGTTTATCGTTCCTGTAAACAGTTCAAAATAATTTCCTTGACTCTGAAAAACAAAACAAGTATCAGCAATATTCCAAGCAAAAGTCAAAAAGTTTGCTTCAGCTTTCTGAGTTCAGTCCATTTAGTTAACTCTTGTTTTGCTTGATATTCTTGAGCATTTCAGCTCTTTATGTGTCCTGTACATTTTCTTCTATTCCAATGTTACCATCTCCAAAGTTACCAGAAGCCTATATTTGAGAGTGCCTGTTAAAGTCATATAGCTTATTATAAACCATCTTTTGAAAAGGATTAAAACAAGACAATTTTCTGTGAATAGAAAAATGTCCAAGGTACTTACAGTTAGAAACACGATGGAAAAAGAAGTTTGGTTGTCTCCGTGGTTTACAATAACTTAACATAACAACCTTAATTACGATTGGTAGCAAATACTTAGACATTAGAATTTTAGAAGTCCCATACAATTTTGGAACATATATTAGCATTATTTACCAAGATATAACCTAAAGAAGATTGAACATCATTTTGGCAATCCATGTACCTAAACATGTCAAATAACCCTGTTTACCTCTCTTTTCTGGACACTTCAGGGGCCCTCTGAAGTATTCCAAAAGCCAAGTGCCAGGGAAGACAGTTTTGAAACCAAAGTTTGATTTTGGGAAGGCTGTCAAACATGTTTGAGGTTTAAAACACTTGATATTATGAAACAGAGTTCCAAATTGCCATTAAGTTATTTATTTTGCCAAAAGGATGACTCAGAAATTTCAAAGAAGCAAAAACCTTTTATAACCTTATAACCCTTTTGAATTTAGTTAATATGTTGAACCTCTTCTGCAAGATTAATTTCCACAATTCTCCACCACTTGTTTGAACCTTCAGCTTTTTCCTAATTTAAACAATCCTTTAACCCTAAGCAAAAGTATACATTTCCATGCCTTCTTATAATATTTTACAAAAAAACACCACATTTTACTGTTCTTACACATCTTGCATATAAATCTATTTCCTGTAGTCTCAATTACATCTCGGAATAGTAACTCCTAGCAATTTTTAACTTTTAAGGTAAAAACTTGGTAAGTTGTTTAATTGTGTGCTAGGTGCAGCCAAGGTTTGACTCCCAGCATAATTAAGAGCGTGGTTATTTCCATATGTCCCCAGGCCTTACCAATTGTGAAGCCTTCAAGTCAAATAGTTCTCAAAACCCAAAAAGCAGTTTTTAACCTCAAAACACTTAGAAAACCTTGCATCTCACCTGCATTTTACCAATAGTCTTTAGGGCTGTTTTTATTTCTCAGAGATTAAAGTCATGTGAACTGAAAGGTACCACAGCTTTTAACTTCCCTTAAAAAAAATTTGATCCAAGTTCTTGTCTTTCTTTAGGCCAAATTAATTAGCGCACTTTTTACAGATATCACACACAGTACCCACACAGAGAGGCAGAAGAAAATCCAGTCGCTGGGTGGGGCCCTTTAAGAGACAGGAGTAGGAAAACATGCAGATATTGGCCAGAGAGGGCTGATCCCCTAAGGCAGGACTGCTAAACAAAGTCCTGTCAAGCAGTTGTGGGCCATGTCCCCAGGATGTGTAAAACAAGATGGAGGCTTACAGCACAAACCATACAGACACAGGAAGCATACCAGATTGGCCACAGCCCAAGACTAGCCCTACAAATCCTTTTTCACAATTAAAGCTTAATAGAGAATATACACAGGGATTCTTATCATTCCTTGCCTAGTAAAATGTCTTCTAGAAATAAAAAAACTTGCTTAAACTTAAATGCTGATATTGTGGAGAAGAGGAAAGAAAAAAGGTTTTAAAATGCCTGTGGAAGAACCTCTTATTCTTATGCAAGTGTTTCCTTCACCAGGGGGAGAAGTGTAATTGCTGTGGGTTGGAGCTGGGCTCCCTGACTGTGGGAGGAGATTCCATGGGCACATGGTAGAAAACGCCAGCCAGCCTTCTGCAGCGCCTTGAGCCATGTGTCCCAGCCCTGGCAGGGAGGGGACAGTGGCAGGGAGCTGCTGATCCGTCCTGAAACAAAAGGAAAAGGCCATGGAAACGCCCGGCAGCTATAGGGGTGGGGGCATGGTTTCCTCCACCCTCTGAAGTCCAAAGATAAAAGGTTTAGAAGCAACAGTGAGAGGTTTTGAGTCCCCATTTCACTCACCGCTTCTCCGCTTGAGCCCCCAAGTTGCACGTCAAAAATGTTGCAGAACTTTTCCTTAATTCAGCTAAAGACGGGGTTCTTTGTCCCATGGCCATGAAAATTCAGGCTGCCAAACAATTTGAACCGTGAGTAAAACAGGGTTTTAGTGGGTGAAGAGGAAGAAAAGGGGGAAACAGGGACAAAGCCAGAGTCCCTACTACAGGGCTTCCCACCTGGCTTTTTGAATCGCAGTTTACACCCAGGAAGAGGAGGAACCACGCTCTTTGCTGCAAAGGGCACACATTTCCTGAGGCTCCACCCCAGTGCACTGGCCGGTTGGAGTTTTTCCAGGGACTCCCCTCCCATCTGGCTTGTCTCACCAGGGCCCAGGGTATAAAATATCTGGTACAGTAATGATAATTACAGCACTTTCCATATATTGGTAGCTGTCTAAGTTCTAGAGAGTCTCCTTTAATTTTGACAACAACCCATGAAATAGGTATTATTTTTTTCTTTTTACAAGATTAAACCAAGGCTCAGAAATGTGGGATGGAAATGGACAGAGGACTTCCCATGTACTGAAGGCAGACTGAGCAAAGGCTTAAGAAAGCACATGGCATACACTGAGGACCAGGCAAGAAATTCTGTTGAATTCACTAAGTGAATATATTAATTGAGATGCTGAAGTAACTGAAAATCCAGACACATGGGCTTAACCTGTTATGGTAGACAAGGGGAAGGAAAGGAAAGTAAGTGACTTTAAATAAATTTATTCTATAAGCCAGGCAGAGAATTAGGCACATTAAAATGTTGATTCTTTTCATTCTCATGATACTCTGCCAAAGAGATATTTTAATTTCTATTTTATAAAAGGAACAATAGAATGTGAGAGAGTTTAGCAACTTACTCTCAATCACACAATTAGTAACTGATAGATTTTAGATTTAAAATATACCCCAGAGTGACCCTATAGCAAAGTGGAGCAGTTTTAAAGAGGAATAAGTAAGAGAGAATAATTTCAGTTTGAGTAAAGCTGCATTTAAGGTGGCCATATGTTATCATGTGGCAAAATCCTGTTTATTAGTGGATTGTAGTACTGTAGCACTGGTCAAGGCTTAACAAGATTACTTGACAATCATATCCTAGTAGTAGTAGAAGATACCATATCCTCATCCTCTTCTCCTACCCCATGTGCACCTCAAGAATTCATTCTCCTCTTCCCCATTTTGTAGCAACCAAGAGGTTTACATGGATTAAGTTTACCCTTCACTCCAGAGAGTCCCTTAGCTTCATGAAAATTCTGTCTTCATTACTGCAGTTACTGGGTCAGAAATGAACCAGTGTTTGGAGAGCACCGTTGCCATATTCTAATTCAAGGGTGGTCCAATCAATGTAAAGCTCAAAACGTTTCTTTGAAATTTTAAAAACCTCCCGCCCACCACACCCTCTTCTCTGTCAGAATGATCACATAAGCTTGTTGCTTTTAGAACACTCTTCCTACCGTGGGAGAAGTCAGGCAGAGAATGGAGCAAATACAAAGACAGCAGATCCACTAAGCCTGAAAATTAGCCTATCTTTGGAAGTTTTCATTGTCCAAGTCTTTAAATCCACCAATTAATTCATTACTAAACCAATTTAGATTGAGTTGTCTTAACTGTAAAAAAAAAAAAAAAATTCTAAAACCAAATTTGATCTATTGTATTTTTATAAGAAACAGACCCTAAAATGTGAGCCAAGTTGGGAAGTAGGGCAGAGGAAGTGAATAGCTACTTAACCAGGAACTAAGATAGCCTTAATATTCTAATCAGATCAACTAATGTTTAAAGAGGCCTCTTTCCGACTCTAGGCCACTGGACTCCCTATTTCCTAAAGCATTAACTTTACAACACTTATAAATTCTTTCCCTTCGAGATGTGAATCATTTAGAAAGTCTCCTGCCAATGTTACAACCCAGAAATGTCTTTCTCAAGGACATGAGAGATATCCCTTTTATTTCTAATTTAAAAAAAAAGATTGATTGATTGATTGATTCATTCATTCATTCATTCATTTTTGGATACAAGGTCTTGGGATGTCACCCAGGCTGGAGTACAGTGGAGCAATCACAGCTCACTGCAGCTTCCAGCTCCTGGGCTGAAGTGATCCTCTGGCCCCAGCCTCCAGAGCAATTGGGACTACAGTCACAGACTCCAGGCTCATTGTTGGAAATAAGAGTTTGGAGTCACAAAGAAAACAAGTACTTAGACAGAGAACATATCAGCAAGGCAAATTTACCTCTGCAGAAGGGTGTGTCTTGCATATGGAGCAATGGTGAGAGCATACAGAACAAAGAAAGCAGGGGTTTTTATTATCTCTAACACATCTTCTGCTTCTGTATCTTTCCCCTTTTTGCTAGGGTTGGACTGCACAGTCTAAACTAGTTCCGATTGGCTTAACATTTAAAGTTTCTTAGATAAGGTAGGCACATAAGGGAGGTGAGAAGAGAGAGAAAGGGGGTCATTTACGGGGGACTAGGAAGGTGACCTATTCCCTAATAAGGAAAGGAATGTGGACTGGGGTTGTAGCAAGTTCAGGCATGCCTAGGCATATTCAGACAAGTTGGGGCACAGCAAAGGGAAAGGGGTATTTGGAATTATAGGATAAAGAATGGGGAAACTGGATAAGCTGTTTGAAGAGGAAACCTAACTGTATCTAACAATTTCCCCCTTTTTGATATTTATAATTTTTTCTCTTCAAACCTTTTTTAACATATCTTGACTTTGTTGTTCTGCCTGATCTTCTAAAAGAAAGAGCTTATCTGAATAAGGCAAGGGAGAATTGAGGAAAGTTTTGGAGAGAGTTGTCTCAGTAAGTCTTTGTATTAACCCTGGAGCACAGGGTATGAGGCAACATCCAACAAGAATTAATACACTTATAACAATTGTCAGGGAGGTGACTATTGAAGTTACTAGCTTTTTCTACCCACCGAACCACTTTTTCATGAGGCTTGTAAAGAGGTCATCTATTCTGGAGTTTTTAGACAATTCATCTCATAGAGAGGTAAGGCCCTGCAAAGCCTTTGTAATTGGCCCAATGGGGACTGTGTTGTTAGGGATGAAAATACAACACTGGGTTCTGATCATGACCCAAACTCTACCTTTCTCTGCTACTATCATGTCTAATGCCATTCTATTTTCCCAGGCCATTTGACTGGTGGGTCCCAATTGTTCAGCTATTCCTTTAATGGCATCTCTGGTATAGTTAACAAATCGTTGCTGGTTATAGTAAATGTAATTTATCCAATCTACATTTTTATTAATACTACCCACCAGAACAATGTAGATTGAAACCCTGCAGCTATTTGGTTTCAAGCATTAAATTCATTTGGCAGTCCTCGTGGAATCCTGATGGCATCTATATAAACTTGAGGATCAAAGGACTCATGAGGGGTCTCTCTCAGTTTACAGCACTTTGCTTTTACTTTCCCTGGTTGATGAAATGCCAGGGTGAAAGGGATAGCCAATGGAATTAGATCACAAATTCTGCTCCAGTTACTTGGCAGAGTGTCCAGCAGGGTCCACCACAATATCACCATACATCCACTTGGGGATGGCTAAGGGCTGACTGATGGGTAAGCTCTTGAAAGGGCCTAAGCTCTTTGCATACCTTTAACTCTCCGAGGAACGCTGTTTTCCCCCTGTCGTGAGAGACACGAGGTAAACTTGGCATTGGAAGGTGGAGGCTGGATGGCCTTTGGGGCCTGACCTGCAGGGTGTTGAACTTCTGGGAACAGCAGAGAAAGAGCTTGGCACAATTTGTCTTCCCAGGCTGTGGGATCTTGAAAAAGAGCTACCATACAGCTCCCGCCCAGTCAGTGGGGAGACTGTCCAAGTGGAAAGGGGACGATCTGGGCCTCTGGTCTAACATGCGCACAAGTGTAACAGTCGCTTAGGATTTGGACGGAATATTTAATCCATTCTAGCAAGGCATTTATATCTTGGTATCCTGTCTTAATTGCTGGGTTTGTTTTAGATCTTTTACTTCTATAACGAACACCTTGGTTTTATCTTTAGGTACAGGAATAACAGGTGTTTTGTTCAAAGCTGAAGCTATTGGGGATGGAGAAGGAGGAGGGGGGGAAACAAAGTGTATCTCAAAAATGCCTATAGGGTCTCTCCGTTAACATCGGCCCTATACCATAGAGGTGGCTGAGGGCGGGCCTAGGGTCAGCAGAGGTAGGGATAGTAATGCAAATGAGGATGGGGTTGCTTTGGTGAGATTGGCAATCAGGGGAAGTAGTTCCTTTAGTAAAATGAAGGTAAGGTTTTAGGGAGGTACAGCCTTCTGAGGAAGCCTAGCCCTAGGACTGAGTGGTCCAGAGAATATTGTACCAGGAATAGCACCGTAGCCATTTATAAGGAATTTTACAAGGATTAGGTTGAGAATGAGGTGAGCACTAAGGGCAAAGATATTTTTCTGAAGAGGCTAGTTGCCTTTGACTTTGTAGGTCTCCACAGGGTATGGCTAAGTAAGTATCACACGCAATAGCTTGGGAGGGAGGCTGACCTGGTTTACATTGATAGTAAGGTGGCTGACAGTGGAGTGAAGGAAGAAGAAGAGACAATAGAAGAGATATAAGACGATTAGTCTTTTCTTAGCTTTAGTTTGGTGGGACTTGATCCCAGAACAATGGCCTATGACTCTAAAGATGGTGGCGCTTTCTTGACTTGGGTATGGTGAGTCCACCCTCTTTCTGCTGTTCAGACTGTGGTCTCAGTAGTTAGAAGCACTAGGTAGGGACCTTCCTAAGCCGGTTCGAGTTTTTCTTCTCTCCAGCTCTTAATGAGAACGTGATCTCCAGGTTGATGCAGGTGTGCTGGGAACTCCAGGGGTGGTGCCTGTGCTAAAAGGCCTTTAGTTCAGAGGGACGAGAAAGTGCAAGATAGACCAAGTATATAGTTTTGAGAAATTTATCTTTCATTTTAAATGTAGGAATGTCAGCAGTGGAGTGTAAATAAGGCAACTTACATAGCATTTCATAAGAGGATAAGCTGACATTTTTCCGAGGGGCGGCCCTGAGCCTTAACAAGGCAATGGGGAGGAGTCTCTAAAACTAATTTGGTTAAGTGGCTCCTTAGAGTTTGGTTCATTCTATATACTCTTCCTGATGAAGGTACCAGGGAGTATGGTATTCCTATGTTATGTTTAGTACTAGGGCTAATTTCTTAATGACATGTGCAGTGAAATGAGTCTTATTATCTGAATCAGTATTTTCTATTTATCTAAACCTGGATATAATATTCTCAGTTAATGCTTTAACTACATTACTGGTGGTTGCACTAGAAAAGGGAATAGCCTCTACCCAGTGAGTCAGGTGATCTACTATCACTAGTAGGTACTTTAGGTGACCTATTTGGGGGCATTTTGGTGCAATCAATTTGGACACTTTGGAATGGTTTTAATCCTGGGTCCCTTCCTCCAAAGGGTGACCTTCTTAAGAGTTTGCTTATTCATTTTTTTCTTTGTTTTTTTTGTTTGTTTGTTTGCTTGTTTTTTGAGATGGAGTCTTGCTTTGTCACCCAGGCTGGAATGCAGTGGCGCAATCTCGGCTCACCTCCCAGGTGCCCCAGCCTCCCGAGTAGCTGGGACTACAGGCGCCCACCAACATGCCTAGCTAATTTTTTGTATTTTTTAATAGAGACAGGGTTTCTCCATGTTAGCCAGGATGGTCTTGATCTCCTGACCTCGTGATCTGCCCTCCTTGGCCTCCCAAAATGCTAGGATCACAGGCGTGAGCCACCATGCCTGGCCTTGTTTTGTTTTGTTTTGTTTACATATTAGGCAACTATCTCTAACTTGTTTTGCCAGAATATAAATTTTTATACATCCATAGACTCTGAGAACTGCATTACACGTAGCTTGGGACTTAGGCTGCGGAGTGGGGAGATGGTGGAGGCGCTGCTGGCCAGGCTCAGGCTGCTGCGAGGTTGGCTCTCCTCCATCAAGGGTCAGCTCTGGGGTCCCAGTGACAGGGAGAAAGAGGATGGTGTGGGTGCTGCAGCACTCAGGCAGCCCCCCGCCTCCTTTGTGTCCTAGCTGCTGTCTCCAATAGTTCTCAATCTCTCTCCTCACCTGCTCACTCGGACTTTTCATCTCTTTGTCTCCTGTCTCTTCCTCTCTCTTCCTTCTACACTCTCTCCAGTCTCACTTTCTGTGTCCCTCTCTGATCTCTTGTCTCTTCCAGTCTCTCTTTCATTCATTTTCTCCCTCTAATCTTTCTGTTTCTGTCCAAATCTTTCATTTCCAGACTCACAGCGTTTCTTCCTTGAGTCTCTATCTCATTTGCACTCTCTCTCTCTCTCTGTCTGTTAAACCCTGTTTCCTCTCTCCCTCACACTCAGCCTCTTCCTCTTTCTCTCTGTAATTTCCCTTTTCACTTTCTCCCTTCTTCCCTCTCCCAGTTTCTCTTTTCTCTCTTCTTACATATACTTTTTGAGTTTCTCCTATTTCCTTTTACACTTGTGAAATGTCTGGCACAACCAGACATTTTACTTGAAGACAAAACTACTCTCTTTTCCTCTCTTCTTCTTTTAACTTACTACCATTCATTTTTCTTCTTGCTTTTCAGACAACACTAAAACTTTTAACAAAATCTTTGAGGTGGCTTTCTTTCAGTAGTCTAGAATCCACTAAGTCATTTCATGGGTCTTTACCCTGAAATGCTACATTTAAAAAAAAATGGCAATTTTCTTAATTGGCTCAAAAAGAGTATGGCTTGGTTTTACTTGGTAAAGTTAATGTGTTTTTAAAATATATATATATACACACACACACACTTTTTTATATTATTTATTACTTTATTGCATAAAAGAGCTAATTATCAAACAAAATACAAAAAGTTTAGCAATCATCCAGGCTTCATTTTATGAATGTTCAGAGAAGAAATGATTTGTACAAAGTTACAGTAAGTTTGTGACAGGTCAAGGTCTACAAGCCAAGTCTCTTGACACCCAACTTTGTTTCTTTCTGCACAGAAATTTATATTCTTTCTGAGTTCTTTCTGAATTAGAATTGACTGAGTTCTTGACCCTTTTCTCTCTGTCTCCTTGGACCCCTTTTCTCTGCCTAAGTATGTGTATATAAGCAAATATATGAGAAATGCCATCTAACTCCTTTCATTCTCTTTCTTTCTTTCTTTCTTTCTTTCTTTCTTTCTTTCTCTTTCTTTCTTTCTCTTTCTCTCTCTGTCTCTCTTTCTCTCTTTTCTCTCTCTCTGTCTTTCTCTCTCTCTTTCTTTTTATTTCTTTCTTTCTCTCTCTCTTTTTTTAATTTTATTATTATTATACTTTAAGTTTTAGGGTACATGTGCACAATGTGCAGGTTAGTTACATATGTATACATGTGCCATGCTGGTGTGCTACACCCATTAACTCGTCATTTAGCATTAGGTATATCTCCTAAAGCTATCCCTCCCCCCTCCCCCCAACCCACGACAGTCCCCAGAGTGTGATGTTCCCCTTCCTGTGTCCATGTGTTCTCATTGTTCAATTCCCACCTATGAGTGAGAATATGTGGTGTTTGGTTTTTTGTTCTTGCGATAGTTTACTGAGAATGATGATTTCCCATTTCATCCATGTCCCTACAAAGGACATGCACTCATCATTTTTTATGGCTGCATAGTATTCCATGGTGTATATGTGCCACATTTTCTTAATCCAGTCTATCATTGTTGGACATTTGGGTTGGTTCCAAGTCTTTGCTATTGTGAATAATGCCACAATAAACATACACGTGCATGTGTCTTTATAGCAGCATGATTTATAGTCCTTTGGGTATATACCCAGTAATGGGACGGCTGGGTCAAATGGTATTTCTAGTTCTAGATCCCTGAGGAATTGCCACACTGACTTCCACAAGGGTTGAACTAGTTTACAATCCCACCAACAGTGTAAAAATGTTCCTGTTTCTCCACATCCTCTCCAGCACCTGTTGTTTCCTGACTTTTTAATGATTGTCATTCTAACTGGTGTGAGATGGTATCTCATTGTGGTTTTGATTTGCATTTCTCTGATGGCCAGTGATGGTGAGCATTTTTTCATGTGTTTTTTGGCTGCCTAAATGTCTTCTTTTGAGAAGTGTCTGTTCATGTCCTTTGCCCACTTTTTGATGGGGTTGTTTGTTTTTTTCTTGTAAATTTGTTTGAGTTCATTGTAGATTCTGGATATTAGCCCTTTGTCAGATGAGTAGGTTGCAAAAATTTTCTCCCATTTTGTAGGTTGCCTGTTCACTCTGATGGTAGTTTCTTTTGCTGTGCAGAAGCTCTTTCGTTTAATTAGATCCCATTTGTCAATTTTGGCTTTTGTTGCCATTGCTTTTGGACACATACACATTTTTATTCAGGAAGAAAAATTATTTAAACACCTGCCAATTTGAAAAAGCATTAAAGTAAAAAACAAAAAGCAAATGCTAAAAAGTACTTTACAATTAAAAAATTAATCAGCCGGTTAAATGAATGTAAAATAGGAATGTACAGTGAAAAACAAACTAATATAAAGCATTCCAGCTGATAAAATTAAAAACCTACTCCGGCTTATAGTTTGTTTTCTAAGGAAGTTATGATTCAATGTAAATTTTGAAATACTCTAAACATACATTCCATGTAGATTTTGAGTGCCAATGCTAAAATTTCAAATTTTGCCTGCAAGGCTTATCAAAGAAACACTGGTAGAATTCCAGTATTTGCAAAATTTTAAGTTTTGGGGAATATTGTAAATATTACAATTGGTATTAGAAAGCCATCATGAATAGAAATAAGAGAAAACTTATTTCATAAATATTTTGCTTGACTAAAAATACCAGGCTTGCATGTTCTAAATAATTCAAGAAAATATCTTTTTAAAAAAGAACTGCAATTTAACAGATATCTGTACATCTTTAGCTGCTATTAAAAAAAAAAGACAACTTAAAACAATGAAAATGTTACAGCTGGTATAAAGTAACCTTATGATGCTTTCATTATAAGGAAATAAAAGTGCACATTTATAAACAAACAGTCTCTCCACCAGTAAACACACAGAGCCTTTTCTACACTAAAGTTTCTTTCCATTTGCCACTAGACTGGGCTTTGTCCCTCGCTCTCTGGATGACAGGCTGTGTCTGTTGTGTCTTTATGATCTTGCTGTCTTCTGCCATCTGCATGCCAGACCCACCTTTGTTAAGCGTTTTCATCAACTTCTACGTGAGTAACACTGGAAACTGTGGATGCCGTCCTTTGGGGTGGGAGTTTCCTAGCAGAGTGGCAGTTCCCTTCACACTCTTTGGACAGCTCTGGCAGGCCCTGCAGCTTGGGCAGACTGCCTTGGCCTAAGGGGGAGGGAGGTTAGGGTCAGGAGTGTTAGGTGGCTTAAAGGAGTTGGCTTTTGTCTTACTTCCTGTAGTCTTTAGGGGGTAAAGGAGGACCAGCCCCTCCCGTCAACAGAGGGCATAGCCTACCTCCTCTTGGGAGACTGGAATTTTACTATTCACAAATCGAACTACAAGCTGACAAATCCAAGCCTCATTTGACCTCAACTTTGGCCAGAAGACTTAGGGTTTGAGGATTAGTTCTTGAGTCCAAATGAAACAACAATATTTTATTATTTGTTGTTTTTTTCTTGTGTCTAGTCCTTTCATTATCTTTCCAGTATTTTAACATAAGACCTAGGGGGCTAACAGGTATCATTGTTATTATTTCTATCCTTTTTACTCCTTGTTTTACTTGGGACATTTCCCATGTTGGGTCCTGGTTAGGCTCAATACCTTGCACTAGGAATTTCTTGCCTATCTTCCTCTGGAGGCTCTCTAAGACTCAATCCCTCATACTAGGAATTTCTTGCCTATCCTTCTCTGGAGGCTTACTGAGGCTCAATCCCTCATACTAGGAATTTTCTGCCTTTCACACATTTTCAACCTCCAAGAAATCCCAACCACCAAGGAGTACTTCACCACCCGCACAGCTTTTCTTGCCTTGGTATGTCCCGACCAAAGAATACTTCACCACTCCTGCGTTTTTTTTTTTTTTTACCTTCATCCCGACCACAAAGGAAATACTTTGCTGGCTCCTGCGGTGTTTCCTACCTTGGTCTGTGCACAGAGATACCTGGTCGTCGCGGTATTTGTAGGCCTTTTCCTCCTGCATTCCTGAGAGTCCAGGTTTATTCTTCACACTGGGTGAGTCTTGAAACTTTACCCCTGAGGCCACCACAATGAGGCAATGGGACGCGTCTCCTCACGAGTGAGGACTGAAGACCCCCTCCCCTGAGAAGAGTGGCTTCCCTGTATGGGCCACGAAATTGTTGGGAATAAGAGCTCAGAGTCACAAAGAAAACAAGCACTTAGATAAAGAACATCTCAGCAAGGCAAATTTACTTCTGCAGAAGGGTGCATCTTGCGTATGTAGCAATGGTGAGAGCACACAGAACAAAGGAAAGCAGGGGTTTTTATTATCTCTAATGCAGCTTCTGCTTCTGTGTCTTTCACGTGTTGGCTAGGGTTGGACCGCACAGTCTAAACTAGTCCCAATTGGCTTAATTCTTAGATAAGGTAGACACGTAAGGGAGATGAGAAGAGAGAGAAAGGGGGTCATTTACGGAGGTACTAGGAAGGTAACCTATTCCCTAATAAGGAAAGGAGTGTGCACTGGGGTTGTAGCAAGTTCAGGCATGCCTAGGCATATTCAGACAGGCTGAGGCATAGCAAAGGCAAAGAGGTATTTGGAATTATAGGATAGAGAACAAGGACACCGGATAAGCTGTTTCAAGAGGGAACCTAACTGTATCTAACACTGATCCCTTTGAAATGTAAGCACAAGGAGGAGAGAACTTGTATCTCCCAGTCTCTGTGGAAGGGCAGGTGTCTTTCTTTGGTGGGCTTCTTATTCCAAGATGTAAACTATCTCCTGTTATAAAGGTACAAGAAAATTTACTTTTCCTTTGAGTAAAGCAAATTAGCAAACAGATGGCCTATGACTCTTCCCTTTCCCTTCTATGCTCAACTACCATCTCTTAAAAACTCTCCTGCTCTTTGTTTTACCCAAATTGAGCTCCAGCTTAGTTCTAATCTTTCTTTTCTGTTGCAATAGCATTGAATAGTCTTTCCTGCCTGCTTCACTTTGTCTGGTGTAATTTTTACTTTGATGCCAGCCACTGAAGTCAGCAAGACTTATTAATGATCACAAAAACGTTAATGAAATTGTAGCATATATTTCTTTGGGATTCAGTAAAGTGGCACTGGTAGATTTTATAGTAACAATTTTAGGATAACTGTGTGTGCAAGCTATTTTGTACATGTTTTAGTAAGGTTCTACTAGAAAGCAAGATATCTTGAAACTAAAAACAAAAATAATGAAATCAAATTTGAAATTGCTAAGAGAGATCCTTTCTGCCTGCAGGCTACAATTCAAGATTATTTGTGGTCCATTAATTTGGAGACCCTGAGAAGGAAAAGCAAACTTCTCCAACTAAAACTCAGATTAGTATGAGGTAGGTTGATGAGAGAAATACTAGGAAATAGGATTGGAACATAAGACAAAGCTGACCCCTTAGGCCTTCCCAAGCTTTTAAAGTATTATTTGGCTCACAGAAGGAATAATCACTCCAGCTTCAGTGAGGCCGGAGGGCAAATGACTGCTTAGCTGTATCTCCCCACCCCAAAGCCTTATTTCCAAGGCAGACTCTATGAATTTGTTAGATTCTAGAAATAGATACTAAAATGTTGTTCTACAGAAATTTTAAGTTAAATTTCCAGTATTTTGAACTTCAAATGTCTTTGTATTTAAGGTCTCATCATCATGTCAAAACATTATCTAGTTTGTATACTCAAAGCAGTAGTCCTATTTTTAACCCACATAATTGTGGCTAGGTTGTACCATATAAATTATATGTTACAAAACCTCATCCATCCCCATTCTTCAGTAAAGGATATGAATATTAAAATCTTAAGTGTTCTGCATATTTAATTATAAAATACCCTAGTTATTTATTCAGTTATAATATATTATGGGCGGAAAGTATATAATCTGCCTGATGATTTCCTTGATAAATGTATTTGTCTTTTTAATGAGCTTCTTTGTTAAGGTGGTTAGAATGATTAATGTGCTAGAGCACATCATCAGTAACCTTGAAAACCAAAAATCAATATTTGGGAAAAATCCTTATGCAGTGAAATACAGTGCTTAAAACTGCAGAAATCTCCATGGGGTTGCCAGCCAGTTGATTAGCAGACATGTTTGACATGTTGCTATTTAAATAGGATTAAGTGTATTGGGTAAGTGATGTGGGGGAAAAGACAGGCATGGGGAGGGGCTTTGAAAAGCAATTATAACACAAGAATTGATAAGCTCCATTATCTCCAAATGGATTTGATAGTTCAGATTACTAATTGCCCTGTCAGTATGCCTTGAAAGTATAGCAAAAGAGCCATAATTTGCTCAAAAAAAAAATACTTAAAAGGAAATATGCTTTCCATAGCATATTCATAACTGTCTTTCATTTTAATCAATTGCTTGACCCTAAGGGTTGCACACGACTTTTTTTTGTTTTGTTTTCTATGGATGAGAAATATTTATTCTAGGATATAATCATTTTATATCTTGGGGAGTTACAGAAAATAAAATTCATAAAATATAAAGCAATAAAGCAGAACAAGAAATTAATATTAAAAATGAAGATTAAACATTTCTTGTCAGTTGTTTTGCAGATTTCTTCTGAGCCTGCCATTACTAAATGTAGCCAAATAAAATGTACCTGACACCACACAGATTCACTTTTGCCAAACTTTTTCTTTTTCTACTTTTTCTGCTCTCTTATTTGGTATGTTTGTATATAAATTCTTCCATACAGAACATATTCATATAAAGACAAAAGAGGACAGGACTGCAAAGATATAACATATTTGTATTTTTGTAAAACTGATTTTCTTTACATTTACAATTTTGTTAAGACCTCAGGTGATAGAATGAGTTGTAATTTCATGAAAAAGATATAATCATAAATGGTTAGATAAATTGCTAAAGCCTTTTGAACTAATGTACACGGGAACTACTGGATTATCTATTTTGCACAGCTCTTTGAGTTAAATATGTCAAACTATTTGGCTTCATGTTTTCAGTAGTGGCAGCTTGAATAGAACTGAGTTGACATAATTTCTGCTTATATTCCATCATTTGAAGACAACATAAATTTAAGAGCATGGAGTCTTGGGCCAAACACTCTGTGTTTGAATTTTGTTTTTACCCCTAGCTGGTTGTGTAACCTAGGAATTGTGACATAGCCTCTCTACATCAGTTTCCAGAATTAGAATAGTACCTTGCCAATTTCAAAGCCAAAGACTACTAGAAAGTACACCTGTGATTAAAAAAAAAGAGTTAAGTTTATTAAGTCTACTGTGGCAAAAGAGGCAGCCATATCACAAGGTGAAACATTGAGGCACCTTGATTAAAGGGAGTTAGAAAAGGCTTGTTATTACAGAATTTAATTTAGCAGAATGTTGAAGGACGATGGGGTCCCTTCTGGACTGGGTGCTACCAAAAAATTGGTGTATGGGATCTTGTCTGTAAGGGTCAAGAAAAGCAGATGAGGCTAGAGTTATCATGAAAGAAGTAGCAGTCACTTGTATAAATTGGAAACTGGAGATTTTGGTAATATTTAGTAGTTAAATAGAGTTTGTTTTTATCTTTGTTCAGTCATGACCATGAAATTGTCTTCATGGTTGCAGAGAGTTCTCATCAGATGCTAATATTGTATGCAGTCAACTGTGCTCATCAGGGGAATACCACGGCCTGACTGGTAGTTACCGGGTCAGCTGTTAGCTGACAGCTGTCAGGGATATTTCTTTTTTTCTTTATCTTTCTTTCCTTTATTTTCTTTTTTTGTTTTTCCTGTCCTGGTAAGTCTTTGGGCCAAGGGCTGAGAAAGCTAGGCTGTAAGGGATTGTTGAGAATTTGCTAATCAAAAAGCTGTGCAGGTAATATTTTCTCTAATTGAACTAAAGTTAGTCTTTCCTGTTTCAGGATAAGTTATCAAACTAATTTGATAATGGCTACACAGTAACTTTTAGGACTCTGGGAAGAACTCATCAGCTAACTGCCGTACAGGCCTTTACCAGAAACAAAATGAGTATTAGTTTTCATAATAGAAGCCGGAGACCTAGATGACCAAACTCTGACTACAAACCATATTCCACGGTTCAGATGGGTTTTTTTCAGAGTCAAGTTGTTGCTGCTGTTGTTGTTTGAGACAAGGTCTCACTCTGTAGCCCAGGCTGGAGTACAGTGGCACAATCTTAGCTCACTGCAACTTCTGCCTCTGGGCTCAAGCAATTCTCCAGCCTCAGCCTCCTGAGTAGCTGGGACTATAGGCACGAACCACCAATGCCCATCTAATTTTTGTAATTTTTGTAGAGATGGAGTTTTGCCATGTTGCCCAGGCTGGTCTCGAACTCCTGAGCTCAAAGCAATCTGCCCGCCTCTGCCTGCCAAAATGCTGGGATTACAGGCGTGAGCCACTGCACACAGCCAAGTGTTTTTGTTTGCTTATTTTTGTTTTAACTGGCCTGTTCATGGACCGTTCCATATGGGGCACCAAGAAGTTTTTGCTATATCATGCTTTCTCATCTAGCCAAAAGAAAATCAAGGGCTAATGTAATGGTACCTGGTAACACTTGAGAATTAGAGACTGGTTTGTTGGGTTTTCAGGGAAAAGTTGGTGTTTGTAGAATAAGTAGTACTGTAGGATACAGAATGTATCAGGAATATAAAAACCATTTATGGCAACAGGGGAAACAACCTTGTGTACCTTAATGAGAACAGGTTTTCTGAGTGAAGTTAAATAGAACTTACAAAGTAACAAGCTGAGTGTGACATAAAAGGATAGTCCTGCTATTGATAGGGGAATTAAGAAGAAATTACTTAGGCAGATAGTGAGAGTACAGAAGTCCTCAGTAAGGTTTTCCTTTACCTTTTGTCAAACAAAAAGCAGCCCCAAATTATTTTCCTTTCTAACAAAGAGCAGCCTGTAAAATCAAGCTGCAGACGTAGATGCTGGTAGTTGTGCCAATCATGTTCAAGATCGCAGTTCCATCTTCCCTTCTCTTTGTCAGCTGTGTGTACAGTAAAGAGCAGACAAGACGGTCCCGGCCAATGGGGAAAGTTCATTTACATAATAAGATTAGGGTGGGGCAGCCAGCCTTCCCCAAGCACTATGTAAACATCATAACTGATGGAACGAATCTGTGAGCCCTATGTAAATCAGACACCACCTCCTGAAACCTGACTATAAAATCTGGCTCATCCACCACTGGCTGGCCTTTTCCTCTGGGAAGTCCCCTCTCTCTCACTGGAGAGAGAGCTATTTTCCTTTTTCTTTCTCTTCTTGCCTATTACACCTCCACTTCTAAACCTCTCCTGTGTGTCTGTGTTCTAAATTTTCCTGGCATGAGACAATGATCCCCTGGTATCTACCCCAGACAGTGTAGCCACTTCACTATTAGTTTCCACTCTTACAAAACTGAGTTTTGATGAAAGGACTGTACTGATCTCGTTAGAAGCATTTTGTTGGCAAGGGATCAAAATCTACTTATAATGAAATTAAAAGTTGGATTAATAATGAAAGAAAAATGTAAGTACTTGAATGAACATGAAGAAGAAAATCAACCTTCTGAAGAATTTAAAGAACATTAGTTGAATTTTGAGCAGCAGGATCAGGTGAAGACTGACACATCAGCAATCATTAGGTTCAGATCAGTAGTTATGATAGGAAAACAAAACCAATAAAAGTTTTGTCTTTTTTTAAGTGGCAGTTAAAATACTATGGGGGTGGAAGTACAGGAGAGCATATTGAAAACTCTTTAATTGATTACCAGAGAGCATAGAAGTGTAACAGACAAGAATAGTATTATAGAAAAGAGAAAAAAGCATAAACGTATTGGAAAATTCATATTAACTCAACTTCTTGGTTGAAAATTACCTACTTTGTGTTGTCATCTAAACTGATATTTTGAATCAGCTATCTATTGGAAAAGAAAAATCACACTGAACAAGATTAGTAAGCAGAAATTGATTTTATTCTGATACTGTTGCAGCAATAGGGGAGAAAGCACATACCAAGACTGGTTACACAATTCTGTGGTGGTGATGACATAAAGAGTTTTTAAGAGCTAGGGTAGGGAGAATCTTAGGCCAGCCTTGGGTGTTTACTAATTTGCTTTACTCAAACAGAAATTAAATTTTATTTTATCTTCATGACAAGAGACAAGTTGACAAGTTGGATCAAGGGGCCTACCAAAGTTAGGCTCTTACGCTCCCACAGAGACTGGGAGGTCTATCTCCTTCAATAATTGCATTTGAAAGAAATTGCTTCCAAGTTCTTCAGAAAGACATTCCTGGATTGTAAAACTAGCAGCAGGCTTTAAAAAGATTTACATTTTAAAGGGACAGACAAGGGATTTTTGAATGAAAGTTTTATAATGTATATGACTAGGAAACTGAAGGTTGGGGGCTTAGTGTCCGGAAAAAAGCTATCTAATAAGTTTAGTAAAACTAAAGGGAATGTTAAGGGAGTCTTGGTCATAACTCCCAGGCTACTTGGCTTCTGGAGGTTCTGAAGGCTACTCAGCTGGAAGTCTCCCAATAGTGTTCAAGCCCAATGAAGCAGAAAAGATGGCTATGTCTTTTTAATTGGAAAAAATAAATCCAAAGATCGATTTCTTGGAGTTTTAGTGCTGTATAAATTATCATGAATTGTTAACAATACTAATAACGTTTTTCTTAGCGATCATTATTAATAGTATGACAAAGTACTTTCCATAGAGGCTGAAGGATGGATCTGTCTCTCTCTCTCTCTCTCTCCTTTCCCCACACCTCAGGTTGTACAGGAGCTGTTTATGCGGCTATCTTTAAAAAAGCTCTATTTTTCTGGCTTAAATTATTAGACTTTGTTTGTATAAGATAAGAGTTGTTTGTATCTATATTGGCTTGCTGTAGGATAGCATCTCTGATCAAACATGAGATTATAACAGGGTATGAGGTAGTCTTTTCTTAGCTCATAAAGAGAAATCTCATAGCATCAAGGCTAATAGAAAGCAATGAAAGTTCTAGATAGTATTCTCTAATATAACATTTCATACTGAGAAAATATTCTTACTTATGCTAATTAATATTGCAGCTATTAGCCTCATGTAACTATTGAGCACTTGAAATACAGCAGGTGCAATTGTAGAACTGGATTTTTATTTTAAGTTTAATTCAAATTTGAGTTTAAATAGCCACATATGGTGGGTAGTGGCCACCATATTGACAAATGCAGTTTTAGACTTCTTATAGCTTTGCCAATTTTGGTTTTGGAAGTCCATTTAGTCTCTACTTTGGTTTTAAAAGTCCATTTACTCTAATGTTGAAAAGGTGTTCAACATTTTTGAATAAAAGTTCCAGTAAAATACAATTTACCAGCAAAGAAAATTCTCAATCCATACTGAAAATAAAAGGAAAAATAAAAAGACCAAAGCATTCTAGAGCATATTTAACATTTGTATAAATAACAGTTCTTTTTTGTTTTGCTACCTGGTAGGCTCAGTAGAAGGCATTTACCCTAGCCATTGGCATTGATTTAATTCCTGGGAGCTAATATTTAAAAAATAAACTTGAATCTGTGATAATAGTGTCTGCTGAACAATTCCCAGTTTGGGTTTTTCAATATGATCCATTAAGTAACAAAATTGAATCAGGATTATTCCATGGAGTCTACAGAAGTTTTGAATAGGGTGTAGATAATTTTCTAAGAGGTTAACCAATAGAGAGATTTTTGTTCCTTAAGTGGAGGAAGGAGATTGCTGGTTTCAGATTGTTACAGTGATAGTGATTTGGGGATGGGAAAGGAATCATGAGGATATTAACATAACTCCAGGGCCTTTAATTTATCCCATAGATAGTTTCTGATTGACAATAATGTTTAAAACTGGATATATGGAAATAATTATTTTATAGACAGTTATACTAGGTTTTATTCTTAAATATGAGAATTTTTTTAAAACCAGTAAAGTATTTTATTACCTTATAAATAGTATAGAAAAGAGTTCTCCCAATAGTTTTAAAGTCATTAAAATTTAGAGAATATTAAAATATTACTTTTGTTTTCCCTACCCTTTCTCTTACCCTTAAAAAAAGAAAAAAAAATGGGAGGTTCAGATGGGAGGATCACAGAAGGTTGAGGCTGCAGTGAGCCATGATTGTGCCACTTCAGTCTGGGTGACAGAGCAAGACCCTGTCTCAAATAATAATAATAATATTTTATTGCTCAGCAGTCCAGGAAGCAAAAAAATAATTTAGGCATAAAAAGAAGTCTTAATAATTTTACTATTCTGAATTTGTATCCAAATTCAGCATTTTTCAGAACAGAAACAATATGAACATAAGGCATTAGTAAATGATCACAAACAATATTTTGAAAACATACTACATCAAGAAATAATGATTAATAAGAGCTTTTTTATTGCCTGACAAAATCAAGAAGTTAAAACAACATTTATTGAAATAAATCTGCTATGTAGATAGAGTATAACAAATTTTTACAAAAAAATACATATTTTAATTTTGTGGGGAGCACAACCAATGAAACAATATGCAAGTAACAAACATATTAATATCCTATTATGTGCATATATAGAGATATGCTGTATGTATGAATATGCAAATCCCTTTTTTTACTCTACCATTTTCTGAGACATTGTCTTTCACCACTCCAGGTGGAAAAAGTTCTTGCCTTTACCACAATTATATTTCAGAATATAATAGGAAAGAGAAAGTGAAAGACAAATAGCTTTCTTCATAAAGAAGAAACTTGAAAGTTGCATATATTAATTCTTTTTGCCTCTCATTGCCCAGAATTTAGTCAGCTAGCCAATTTTTGATATAAGTATGGTTAGAAAATATACCCCGTAGCCAGGTTTCATGTGCCTTTCTAAAAGCAGCAGGAAACTTGAGAATGGGAGTTGATGATGATGATGGAATTCTACTGAAAGACAATTCTTTGTTGCATGCTATTAAAGAAGCATTGCTAAATAGCTAGATAATATCTATATATCTTTATATGTAGTTGTACATACATTCTTTTTACCTCTTGGTGAGTGAAGTTTCCCTTTTAAGTGAATTTACTTTTTTCCCCCTCATCTACCATGTCTTTACCTACTTCCCTTGCTCATAAAAAAGACTAAAATGTAGGTCCAGCCACAAAATGATTCATACCTCATAGCTTCTTTGCACACAGTAAATGCTCAGCCATATGCACAACTGAAGTAATTAAGGAAGTTGTGGCAAACATCCTGCATTGCTGGGTAGCAGCTTGGCTCTCAGTGGTATCATAACATCTCGTGCTGGGCTAAATAGACTCTGAGAAAACAAATGTGTTGCTGGGCAGCGTGAGAATTCAAAGCCAGCTTGACTATTTAGTGTTCCAGTACCGAAGCCAGCAGTCTGTCTATGTACCTCTTTGGGAAAGTAGAATTCTACCTTGGGAGAAAAGTTACATATTTGCAAGTGAGTTTCCAAATGTAAAAACTGTGAAAATATTGCCTTAGAATTTATATTACTTTTCACTGTTACTGGCAAAGAATTTCTTCCAGGAGGGAATAATTTTACAAAAAAAATGATAGTTTTCTTGAGAAAACAAATCTCTCCTAAATATTTTTTCTGTTTTAGGGTTCTTAACTTCATCATACAAGCCATTTCTATATGTTTATTCTAAACCTAGCCCAATGAGAGAGCTGGCAGTAAGGCCATTCATTGCTTCTTCTTCTTGTCATTTTTTTCTTTACAAGATGTGCTATCAAAAAACCATTTAGTGATCAAGTTCTGTATGAACTGAAAATTACATAAATAGCAGGTAAAAATACGCTTTAAATTATAAATTCCAGACCAGGCATGGTGGCTCACACCTGTAATCCCTGCACTTTGGGAGGCCGAGGCAGGCGGATCATGAGGTCAAGAGATTGAGACCATCCTGGCCAACATGGTGAAACCCCGTCTCTACTAAAAATACAAAAATTAGCTGGGCATGGTGGTGCACGTCTGTAGTCCCAGCTACTCGGGAGGCTGAGGCAGGAGAATTGCTTAAACCTGGGAGGTGGAGGTTGCAATGAGCCGAGATCATGCCACTGACTCCAGCCTGGCGACAGAGCGAGTCTCCATCTCAAAACAAACCAACAAAATATAAATTCCATAAGGATAGAGGGTTTTTTTTTCCCTATCTTGTTTAATGCATATCCAAGAATATTGTCTGCTTCTTAGTAATCACCCAAATATTGTTTAATGAATCTCAGAGATTGTTCATACAAAATTCATCTCCTAAGTGAGTGGAAGTATTCTGTCTTAGGCTAAATCATGTTTGTTTCTTATGGAGTATACTTTTTAAGAAAGGTGGAAGTTCTAGGAATGGAGGTTTAGAAGTGGAATAAGGAAGGCTGGATGCAGTGGCTCATGCTTGTAATCTCAGGACTTTGGGAAGCTGAGGCGGGCAGATCACTTGAGGTCAGGAGTTCGAGACCATCTTGGCCAACATGGTTAAACCTCGTCTCTACTAAAAATACAAAAATATTAGCTGGGCGTGGTGTTGCATGTCTGTAATCCCAGCTATTTGGGAGTCTGTCCAGCCAGGGCGACAGAGTGAAAATCTCTCTTAAAAAAAAAAAAAGGAAAGTGGAATAAGAGGAGCGGGTAGAAAGGGGTGGTATCAGGTGCATTCATGACAACCAGTGAATATACATAGGAAAGGGAACTGCTCCACAATGAACAACTAGAAACTTCCTCTGGCCTGTGAGATAAGTGAAAGCAATGTTGGCATTAATTATGTTCACATCTATTTCTATAAGATGAATAACATTCCCAAAGGAGGAAAAAAAGGGCTGGGTGCAGTGGCTCATGCCTGTAATCCCAGCACTTTGGGATGCTGATGGGGGAGGACTGCTTGAGTCCTGGAGGTCCAGACCAACCTTGGCTACATAGGGAGACCCCATCTCTACAAAAAATATTAAAAATTAGCTGGGCATGGTGGCACATGCCTGTAATCACAGCTACTTATGAATTAGATGGTAGGATCACTGGAGTGCAGGAGGTGGAGGCTGCAGTGAGGTGTGAGACCCTGTCTCAAATAAATAAATAAATAAATAGCCCAGGACTTTTCAGGAGTTTTAAGAGTCTGGGTTTCTTCCATTTTTGGAGACAACTACTACTACATTAGAAAGGTCAAAAGCTATCAAGAGGGTTTAAAATGTGGTGTATTTAAAACGCTTATATTGAACAGAATGACATGCTTGGCAAATACACACATACCAACATACATGAAGTTTCTATACATATGCTTCATTTGAAGACAAAGACAAAGTTCACATCCTGAGCCTGCTGTGAATGTGAGGCACAGGCCAAATAGTTCTTTGGCACCTTCTCAAATAGACCCTGCCCCTGGCAAACCGCTCACTCCAACTCTCCCTTCCGAAGTCTTCCCTGATACTCTGGGTAGACTTGGGTGCACTTTCAAATCTGTTTTTTTTTTTTTTCTTTTTAAAATTTTTGCATAATAACATACAAATCATTTTAAGTTTTTGCTTCCGTGTCTATTCCTCCTTATTAAAAAGCCTGTGAACACAAAAACAATGAGCAACATAAAATATTCTTCTCCCCTGTCCAAAGAATGAATGAATGAATGTATCTTGTCCCCAAGTTCTTTCTCCTTCTTCTGAATTTTCAGTTCTATTTAACTCTCCCAAACAAGGATGATGCCTATGGCTTAGTTTGTCAGAATAGACTTTACTATCTAACTGCCTGCCTTTATCTAAACACTCATTAATATTATCAGAAACATTTTAGTATCATTCTTCCAAGTTAAAATTTTAAGAAAATATTTTTGTCACATTCACTTGATTGTCCAGAATGGCCCTTTAGCAAAATTAAATGATCCAAGAAATAATTTCATTCAATATAGAGGAACAGATCAAAGTTTGAAATAGAATATTTAAAACTGAAATGCAATTTTTATGAGTAGTATTTACTTACACATGATATGTATGCAGAAATTCAAGAAGTGATATATTATGTTTCTCCCTGGGGCTCCACAATAATGATATGGAAGCTATGCTCCACTGTGTGGGAATGCTTTACTGTGACTTATTCTGAGCCTCTGTATATTCCCACACTTACAAACTGCATAATAAAAACACTAATTTTTGTTCTCATCAATCCATCCCTGACTTAACTATGGTTTGATTACTTAGGATATTTGTATTCTTCTGTCTCTTCTTTATTCTCTGAATTTTGTTATAGACATTCTCTTTTCCGTTTATAATAAAATGAAAATATTACACAGTACAAAAGAAAATTTATGTGGGTTTTATATGAAACCTATTTTTCTCAATATACTAGAAACTAGTGTACACTAAGCTGGCATACCTTTTTTTTTTTTTGTATTCTTTATTGAAGCTGAGAATGGCTTTTCTTCATCTATGAAAGGAACAGAAATCTGAAAAGGCTCAAGTTCAATTTAAAGCCTAGGATGTAAGCATTTTGAATGGGTATTAAATGGAACAAAAAAGCTTTTCCTCATTTCTCTTGAATTTGTTATTATTTTTATTCTACTAAAAAGGTGTGATCGATCTCTTCTCTGTACCAAAATAATCACATATTGCTTCAGTCAGCAGGTGAAAAAGGGGGCAGTTTTCACAAAATGGCTTTATGACCAGTTCTATAAATACCTACAGTTTGTCTTCCTTGAGACTGTGCAGTGTCAGATGACCTGGCAAATGCCTGCTAAGGGCAATATCTGGATCTATGCTTATGTACCTACATTAACTACTTGCAGGGGTTCATCCCCACAATATTCACAAATTAAACTGAATTACACATTTGTTCCTTTACTATGCCCTTGACTTTATGAGCTAATGAGAAAAAGTTAGGTATAAGCAAATATGACTTTAGAATTCATTGTAACTCTTAGATAAATTGACTTTTCTAGTTACTATTAGACTAATATTTTGCTTGGACATTTACATACTAATTGATCAGGAGCATGGGGAGGAAGGGAAGAATTTTAAAGCATATTTTCTGGCAAGAGAATGACAATTTAATATTTAACTTTGCATTGAATCAATCTTAATCTTGTGCTGCAAGATGGATTCCCCAGGAAACCAGTCTCTGAGATGAAGATTAGTGAAAATGAGATTTACATTGGAGGGTGTTGGAATAAACACTTGTGGAAGGGAAGAAATAAATTCCACAGAAGGAGGAAGTCAAGCTGTGGTGTAATCTCAATAAAGACTCAGTTGACCTTACATGGAGTTCTATTTGCATTGAGGAGAAGGAGCTGGGCCTGTTGATCATACTGATAGTTGTTATTGGATAAGGACGGACTAAAGGTGTAGCCTTCGGCACAGTAGCTCTCTAAAGTTAAGGCAGACCCTGAAGGATTGACAGCTGAGGGCTCCCAAAGCTGGGGGAACAAGTCCTTCATTTTTGAAAGAGGATCTGGGTAGCACAGTGTCCACCGCAGATGGGCATGCCATATGCTGTGAATTAGTCATGTCAATTGTCTCCATTTAGATTCAAAAAGAAAAATGTTACAGGAAATTATGTTAGTAGTTTAAAGTTCATTAAGCAGCATAAGCAAAATTATTCTGGTCAACAGTATGCCTATTATACTAATTGCATTTTCTGTGGTATTTTGAATAAGAAATAATTTGTGGGTTTTTTTTGTTTTATTTATTTATTTATTTATTTTTTATTTTAGTATTTATTGATCATTCTTGGGTGTTTCTTGGAGAGGGGGATGTGGCAGGGTCACAGGATAATAGTGGAGAGAAGGTCAGCAGATAAACATGTGAACAAAGGTCTCTGGTTTTCCTAGGCAGAGGTCCCTGCAGCCTTCCGCAGTGTTTGTGTCCCTGGGTACTTGAGATTAGGGAGTGGTGATGACTCTTAATGAGCATGCTGCCTTCAAGCCTCTGTTTAACAAAGCACATCTTGCACCACCCTTAATCCATTTAACCCTGAGTGGACACAGCACATGTTTCAGAGAGCACAGGGTTGGGGGTAAGATTATAGATTAACAGCATCCCAAGGCAGAAGAATTTTTCTTAGTACAGAACAAAATGGAGTCTCCTATGTCTACTTCTTTCTACACAGACACAGTAACAATCTGATCTCTCTTTCTTTTCCCCACATTTCCCCCTTTTCTTTTCGACAAAACTGCCATCATCATCGTGGCCCATTCTCGATGGTCGCTGTCTCTTCAGAGCTGTTCGGTACACCTCCTAGATGGGGTGGCCAGGCAGAGGCACTCCTCACTTCCCAGACGGGGCAGCCAGGCAGAGGCGCTCCTCACATCCCAGACAATGGGTGGCTGGGCAGAGGCGCTCCTCACTTCCCAGACGATGGGCGGGCGGGCAGAGATGCTCCCCACTTTCCAGACAGGGTGGCCGGGCAGAGGCGTTCCCCACTTCCCAGACAGGGTGGCCGGGCAGAGGTGCTCCCCACTTCCCAGATGGGGCGGCCGGGCAGAGGTGCTCCTCACTTCCCAGATGGGGCGGCCGGGCAGAGGCGCTCCCCACTTCCCAGACGGGGCGGCCGGGCAGAGGTGCTCCTCACATCCCAGATGGGGCGGCCGGGCAGAGGCGCTCCTCACTTCCCAGACGATGGGTGGCCGGGCAGAGGTGCGCCACACATCCCAGATGGGGCGGCCAGGCAGAGGCGCTCCCCGCTTCCCAGACAGGGAGGCTGGGCAGAGGTGCTCCCCACTTCCCAGACAGGGCTGCCGGGCAGAGGCGCTCCTCACTTCCCAGACGGGGCGGCCGGGCAGAGGCGCTCCTCACTTCCCAGACGATGGGCGGCCGGGCAGAGGTGCTCCACACATCCCAGACGGGGCAGCCGGGCAGAGGTGCTCCCCACTTCCCAGACAGGGCGGCCGGGCAGAGGTGCTCCCCACTTCCCAGATGGGGCGGCCGGGCAGAGGCACTCCTCACATCCCAGACGGGGTGGCGGCTGGGCAGAGGTGCTCCTCAGTTCCCAGACGGGGCTGCCAGTCAGAGGCGCTCCTTGCCTCCCAGATGGGGTGGCAGCTGGGCAGAGGCGCTCCTCACATCCCAGATAGGGCGGCCGGGCAGAGGCGCTCCCCACTTCCCAGACGGGGTGGCAGCCGGGCAGAGGCGCTCCTCACATCCCAGATGGGACAGCCGGGCAGAGGCGCTGCTCACTTCCCAGATGATGGGCGGCCGGGCAGAGGCGCTCCTCACCTCCCAGACGGGGCGGCCAGGCAGAGACGCTCCTCACCTCCCAGACGGGGTGGCTGGGCAGAGGCGCCCCCCACTTCCCAGACGGGGTGGCCGGACAGAGGCGTTCCCCACTTCCCAGATGGGGCGGCCGGGCAGAGGCGCTCCCCACTTCCCAGATGGGGCGGCGGCTGGGCAGAGGCACTCCTCACATCCCAGACGGGGCGGCCGGGCAGCAGCGCTCCTCACTTCCCAGACGGGGCGGCCGGGCAGAGGCGCTCCTCACTTCCCAGATGGGGTGGCTGGGCAGAGGCGCTCCTCACATCTCAGACAATGGGCGGTCAGGCAGAGATGCTCCTCACTTCCTAGACAGGATGGCGGCCAGGCAGAGGCGCTCCTCACTTCCCATTCAGGGCAGCCGGGCAGAGGCGCTCCTCACTTCCTCCCAGATGGGGCGGCCGGGCAGAGGCGCTCCTCACATCCCAGACAGGGCGGCCGGGCAGAGGTGCTCCTCACATCCCAGACGATGGGCGGTCAGGCAGAGACGCTCCTCACTTCCTAGACAGGGTGGCGGAATTTGTGTTATTTTTGCAATAAGCATGTTAGAGATTAAGGAAATAAAGATGAATGAGATAATAACATAACTCTTTCTAACAGAAAGAGTTTACCCCAATCTAACAGAGTTTAGAGGAGACAGGATGGTAACATGAGTAAGTATTGTGTAATGATGGATGTTTATACGTAGGAGCAGAGAAAATGTTAGGACTTTAGAAGAGTTCAGAGTTCACTGTAAAATAAATGCTTCATACCTAAAGGGCATTTGGACTAGGCTTTGATGAAAGAAGAGTGATATGGTTTGGGTGTGTCCCCATCCAAATCTCATCTTGAATTATAATTCTCATAGTCCCCACATGTTGTGGGAGGGACTCCATGGGAGGCAATTGAGTCATGGGAGTAGCTACCTCCATGCTGTTCTTATGATAGTGAGGGAGGTTTCATGAGATCTTATGGTTTTAGAAAGGGATTGTCCTCTCTTCTCTCTGCACTTCTCCTTCCTGACACCATGTGAAGAAGGATGTGTTTGCTTCCTTTTATGCCATGATTGTAGGTTTCATGAGGCCTCTCCAGCCATGCTGAACTGTGAGTCAATTAAACCTCTTTCCTTTATAAATTACCCAGTCTCGGGTGTGTCTTTATTAGCACCATGAGAACAGACTAATACAAAGAGGGTTTGGTTATTAATAATAGATACTGCCTAGATGTGGCAAGGTATTATAATTTAAGTAAAATAAACAAATACATGAGTTTAGAAAGAACTGGCTGTAGAAGATAAATCAGTATGGTCAGAGCAAAAGGTGTGTGATGGTGAGAAGATGATGATAGAGTGGGTCAAGTTAGGCTGAGGACAAAGAAAGATAAGCCCTAGCTTTTAGGTGTAGAAATTTTAGGTTTTTCAGTTGTAATGAGTGAAAAGAAAAAAATAGTGTCAAAATTGTCAACTGAGACTTCTATACTCTGTGAAAATATAATCCAAATATTAAGACAAAATAAAGATACATAAAAAACAAATCAAGATAATTCCTTGCTAGAAGCCTTTCATTACGAGGAGTACTAAAGGAAATTCTATAGGCTAAGGGGAATTAATTCCAGAGAGCAGGATGGATCAACCAGACAGAATAAAATGCATTAGCTACTACAGTGGTAAATATAAAGACCTTTTTTGCTTATATTTCTTTAAGATTATTGGTAATAAAAAGCAAAAACAATATGTTGTGAGTTTTACTATATACATATATAAATAAAACAAATGACATCACAGATAATTGACAGGATAATGGAATTACTATTGTAAAGTTAGTACATTGTAAATGAAATGGTATAATGCTAATTCCAAATAGAATGTTTTCCGTTAAGAGTGCATTTTCAAATCCATAGCAGCGTTTCAAAAGGTATTTTCAGATCCCTAGCAAGTGTTTCAATAGTGGGGTGTCTTGACTTGCAACATCAGCATTACATGGGAACTTGCCAAAAATGCAAATTCCCAGAGTTTTTTAATACCTACAAAATTAGAAACTTTGGAAAGAAGTAGTGCCCAATCACTCATATTTTAATAAGTCATCTACTTTTTTCTGATGCATGCTAAGATTTGAGCATCAGTGTGGGTATGAGCCCAGGCATTGCCACAAACCGATGAGGGTGTTTTTTATTGATTTAAATAGTCGGGAAGGCCATCTGGTAATGTATATGTTCATGTCACATTACCAGTTTCCCTGATAATTTTTTATCCATAAATTTACTTGAAATTTAAATTTGCAAAATGTGCATTAATAAATGCACAAAGATATTCATTGCACATGATTTACAATGTCAAATACATGGAAACTATTCTCAGCAGAAAGGAAAATGTTAGATCAAGTATAATACAGTCAAATTATTCTGCTATTAAAATGGATGTTAGGCCTATTTTTGTGGACAGGAAAAGCTGTCCAAAATATGTTATTCAATTAAAATATGGATTGCAAAACAGTATGTGTAGTGAAATTCTATTAATGCAAATATGCATCTGTTTATAGCTTGGATAATTATATTTCTGGATTTTAAAATTATGGTTGTAAAAGATGAGTTTAAAACATGGTTAAAAGAAAAAAAGCAAAGAATTCAAAAGAGCCCAAAATGAAAATTTTTAAACAAATCATCTAACCTTGAATTTTCCTTCCCTGAAGCTAATTATTTATATTATTTTATTTTATATATATTTTTTGAGGTGGAGTCCCACTCTGTTGCCCAGACTGAAGTGCAGTGGCGCAGTCTCAGTTCACTGCAATCTCCCTCCTGAGTTCACACAATTCTCCTGCATCAGCCTCCCAAATAGCTGGGATTATAGGCATGCACCACCATACTCATACTCAGCTAATTTTTTTTTTTTTTTTTTTTTTTTTTTTAGTAGAGACAGGGTTTCACTTTTTTGGCCAGGCTGATCTCGAAATCCTGACCTCAAATGATCCACCTGCTTCCGTCTCCCAAACTGCTGGGATGACAGGTGTCAGCCACCAGACCCGGCCTTAAACAAATTATTTTAAATGCTTATCTTAGATCTATAGTCACTTGAAAATTCTAATATGCTTATATCTCTATGTCTTGATTAATCAAGTGTAGACAGTAAACATTGAATCTCTACTTCAAAAAAGAAAATATTAGTTCATTTGTGTTTTCCTTAAACTACATTCTTCCCTTCTCTACATTTATTCAATTTGTAATTGTTTCTTGGATCAATTACCTTAAAATTTTTAATTATGCACTTCAGCTTCTGATTCTTGACCAGTCAATTTTAGGCAGCTAATTCCACAATGTATAAAATAAAAAGTAGCAACTTAGATTTCCTTCTTTCTATTTTCTTCCTTTCATTTTCAACTTCTGCCAACTCTACCGTTATTTTTATATTGACAAGGTTTAGAACATGTACTTAGAATTTTAGAATAGAAATTTTGATCAAACCTTTGTTGATTGTTCTACTTGCTGCGCAGAAGGTTTTTAAGTTGAAGGTCTTAGATTTATGTATTTAATTGAGTTTTATGTTCATAATTTATATGAACATATGTTTAATTAAATTTTATGTTCATAGTTTGATTTAAAATTTGGAGATTAATCAATGAATGGCATTCAACATATTGATTATAAAGTTCAATTTTCTTTTCTTTTCTTTTTGAGACAAAGTCTCACTCTCTTACCCAGGATGGGGTGCAGTGGCAAGATCTTGGCTCACTGCAACCTCTGCCTCCCGGTTCAAGCGATTCTCCTGCCTCAGCCTCCCGAGTACCTTGGACTACAGGTGTGCACCAGCATGCCCTGCTAATTTTTGTGTGTGTTATTTTCAGTAGAGGTGGGGTTTCACCATGTTGGCCAGGCTGGTCTCGAACTCCTGGACTTATGTGATCTGCCCCCCTCGGCCTCCCAAAGTGCTGGGATTAGTCATGAGACACCGTGCCCAGCCTAATGTTCAATTTTCCATCAAGTAATCTGGTAGGATGGATCTGTAGAGAAGGAAATATCACCCTATCACCCTGTGACACTAACCTAGTGCAACTTCTTTATATTTATTTTTATATTTTCAGTTTTTGTGGGTACACAGTAGGTATACCATATTTATGAGGTATATAGGATATATTGATACAGGTACATGAAGTGTAATAATTATATCATGGCAAATGTGGTATCTATCACCTCAAGCATTTATCATTCCTTTGTAACACAAAGATAAACCAATCATATTTTTACTTATCTTAAAATGTACAATAAATTATTGTTGACTGTAGTTACCCTCTTACGCCATCAAATGCTATGTCTTATTCATTCTCTGTGATTATGGTTTTGTACCCATTAACTGTCTCCATGCCCTCCCATCCCCCACTACCTTTCCCAGCTTCTGGTAACCACCATTCTGTACTTTATCTCTGTAAGGTCAGTTGTTTTAGCTTTTAGCTCCCACTAGTAAGTGCCTGGCTTATTTCACTTAATGTAATGACCTGTGCGTGGCTTTCTATGCCCGGCTTATTTCACTTAATGTAATGACCTCCAGTTTTATCCATGTTTTTGCTAATGACAGGCTCTCATTCTTTTTTTTATGGCTGAATAGTACTCTACATAAAATAGTTGTGTATGTATACCACATTTTCTTTAACCATTCATTTATTAATGAGCACTTGAGTTACTTCCAAACGTTGTGTACTGTGACTAGTATAGCAATAAACAGGGGAGTGCAGATAGCTCTTTGATATACTGATTTCCATTCTTTTGAGTATATACCTAGCAGTGGGATTAGTGGATCATATGATAGTTCTATTTTTAAGTCTTTGAGGAACCTCCAAACTGTTCTCCACAGTAGTTGTACTAATTTACATTCCTTCCAGCAGTGTAGGAAGACTCCCTTTTCTACATATCTTAACCAGCATTTGTTATTGCCTGTCTTTTTAGTAAAAGCCATTTTAACTGGGGTGAGATGATATCTCACTGTAGTTTTGATTTGCATTTCTCTGATGATCAATGATGTTCACCTTTTCACATACTCGTTTGCCATTTGTATGTCTTCTTTTGAAAAAGTCTAAGATCTTTTGCCCAGTTTTAAATGGATTGTTAGATTTTTTTTCCTATTGGATTGTTAGATTCTTTTCCTAATGAGTGCCTCCTATATTCTTGATGTTAATCCCTTGTCAGATGGATAGAAATAAATATTTTCTCCCATTCTGTGGATTGTCTCTTCGCTTTGTTGATTGTTTCCTTTGGTGTGTAGAAGCTTTTTAACTTGATGTGATTCCATTTATCCAATTTCCAATTTTGTTTTGGTTGACTGTGCTCGTCGGGTATGACTCAACAAATCTTTGCCCAGTCCAATGTCCTGAAGAGTTTCTCCAAAATTTCCTACTAGTAGTTTCATAGTTTGAGATCTTACATTTATGTCTTTAATCCATTTTGTTTTGATTTTTGTTTATGTGGCAACAGATAGTGGTCTAGTTTCATTCTTCTGCATATACATATTCAGTTTTCCCAGCACCATTTATTGAAGAGACTGTCTTTTCCCCAATGTATGCACTTAGCACCTTTGTAGAAAATGAGTTCACTGTAAATATATGGATTTATTTCCGGGTTCTCTTTTCTATTACATTGATCTCTGTTTCTGTTTTTATGCCAGTGCCATGCTGTTTTGATTACTATAACTCTCTTGTATAATTTGAAATCAGGTAATGTGATTTCTCCAGTTTTCCTTTTACTTGGGATAGCTTTGACTATTCTCAGTCTTTTGTGGTTCCACATAAATTTTAGAATTTTTTTTTCTATTTCTGTGAAGAATGTCATTAATATTTTGACAGGGATTGCAATCTGTGAGTTGCTTTGGGTAGAATGAATATTGTAACAATATTGATTTTTTTGAATTCATGAACATGGAATCGTTTTCCATTTTTTGTGTCTTCTCTTCAGCTTATTTCATCAGTGTTTTATGGTTTTCATAGTAAAGCTCTTTCACTTCTCTGGTGAGGTTTATTCCTAGGCACTTTATTTGTAGCTATTTTCAATGGGATTACTTTCTTGATTTCTTTTTCAGATTGTTTGCTGTTGGTATAAAGAAATGTTAATGACCTTTGTATGTTGATTTTGTATCCTGCAACTTTATTGAATTTGTTGATTAGTTCTAATAGTTTTTTGGTGGAGTTTTCCAGTTTTTCCAAATATAAGATTATATCATCTGCAAACAAGGATACTTTCACTTCTTCTTTTCCAGTTTGGATGCTATTTCTTTCCCTTGTCTGATTGTCCTAGCTAGGACTTCCAGTACTGTGTTGATTAGCAATGGTGAAAATGGTCATCCTTGTCATTTTCCAAATCTTAGAAGAAAGGTGTTCAGTTTTTCCCATTTAGTATGATACTAGTTGTTGGTCTGTCACATATGGCTTTTATTTTGCTGAGATATTTTTCTTCTATAGTCAGCTTTTTGAGGTTTTTTATCATGAAGGGATGTTGAATTTTATCAAATGCTTTTTCAGCATCAATTAAAATGATCATTTGTTTTTATTCTTTATTCTGTTGATATGATATATCACATTGATCAGTTAGCATATGTTGAACTATGGTTGTATCTGTTGGATAAATCCCACTTGGTCATGATGAATGATTTTGTAATGCATTGTTGAATTCAGTTTGCTAATATTTTCTTGAAGATTTTTGCATCAATGTTCATCTGGGAAATTGGCCTAAAGTTTTCTTTTTTTGATATAACTTTATCTTGTTTGGGTATCAGGGTAATACTAGCCTTGTAGAATGAGTTTGGAAGTATTTACTTCTCTTCTATTTTTTGGAGTCGTTTGAGTAGGATTAGGATTGGTACTAGTTCTCTTTTAAATGCATAGTAAAGTTCAGGAGTGAAGCCATCAGATCCTGGGCTTTTCTTTGCTAAGATTTTTTTTTTTTTTTTGGCTTCAATCTCTTTACTTCTTATTGGTCTAAATCCAAAATTCAGGTTTCGGATTTCCTCATGGTTCAATCTTGGTAGGTTGTATGTATCTAGGAATTTATGCATTTTTCTAGGTTTTTCAATTTATTAGCCTATAGTTGCTCACAGTAGCCTCTAACAATCCTTTGAATTTCTGCAGTATTGGTTATAATGTCTCCTTTTCCATCTCTAATTTTATTATTTGGATCTTTTCTCGTTTTTTGGTTAATTTTGTTCAAAATTTATTGATTTTATTTACTTTTCAAAAAAACAGTTTTTTTGGCCTGGCACAGTGGCTCATGCCTGTAATCCCAGAACTTTGGGAGGCCAAGGGGTGGTGGGTCACCTGAGGCTAGGAGTTCAAGACCAGCCTGCCCAATATGGTAAAAACCTGTCTCTTCTAAAAATACAAAAATTAGCAGGGTGTGGTGGTGGATGCCTGTAATCCCAGCTACTTGGCAGGCTGAGGCAGGGAGAATTGCTCAAACCTGGGAAGCAGACATTGCAGTGAGCCAAGACTGCACCACTGCACTCCAGCCTGGGTGACAGAGCAAGACTCTATCTCAAAAAAATAAAATTTTTTTTCATCTCAATTATCTTTTGTGTTTTTGTTTCAATTTCATTTATTTCTGATCTGATACATATTTCCTTTCTTCAACAATTTTGGGTTTGGTTTGCTCTCGTTTTCCTAGTTTTTAAAGATGCATTGCATTGTTAGGTTGTTTATGTGAATTTTTTTTTCTTTGATGTAGATGCTTATGACTATACACTTTCCTCTTAGTAATGCTTTGGTTGTATATTATAGATTTTGTTATGTTGTGTTTCCATTTTCATTTGTTTTAAGAAACTTTTAAATTTTCTTCTTAATTTCTTTTCTTCTTTTGTTTTGTTTTGTTTTGTTTTTAGATGGAGTCTCACTCTGTCGCCCAGGCTGGAGTGCAATGGAGCCATCTCGGCTCTCTGCAACCTCCACCTCCTGGGTTCAAGAGATTCTCCTACCTCAGCCTCCTGAGTAGCTGGAATAACAGGCACATGCCATGACACCTGGCTAATTTTTCTATTTTTAGTAGAGAAGGGGTTCACCATGTTGGTCAGGCTGGCATCAACTCCTGATGTCATGATCTGCCTGCTCGGCCTCCCAAAGTGCTGGGATTATAGGCGTGAGCCACTGCACCCAGCCTTCTTCTTAATGTCTTCATTGACCCACTGGTCATTCGGGAACATATTGTTTAATTTACATGTGTTTGTATAGTTTCCAAAATTCCTCATGTTATTGATTTCTAGTTTTATTACATTGTTGTCAGAGAAGATACTTGATATAATTTCATTTGAAAATATTTAAGATTTATTTTATGGCCTAATGTATGGTCTATCCTTGAGAATAATCCATGTTCTGAGGAGAAGAATGTGTACTCTGCAGCCATTGCGTGAAATGTTCTATAAATATCTCTTAGGTCCAGTTGGTCTACAGTACAGATTAAGTATGATATTTCTTTGTTGATTTTCTGTCTAGATAATTTGTCCAATGCTAAAAGTAGAGTGTTGAAACCTCCAGCTATGATTTTATTGAGGTTTATCTTTCTCTCTATGCCAATTCTAAGGGTAACTGGAAAAATCAAAGTTATGCCACATTTCTAAGTAATACATATTTTGAGCACAAATTTTTTTAGAAGCTTTTAAAATTTTTCCTGGGGTTTCTGATTACCTTACCTTTTCCCTAAGCGGCTACTTTTATTATATTTGTAACATGGACATTAAAAATTTAAGCTATTTATCATATGGAATCCATATTCTTTGAAAGGGCATCATTGTTAGAGGCTTATACCTTTCTGCTAAAGCAAGAAATATTTGCTCCGGGGATTGGTTGCATAGTTAACTATTAATATAGGATTCTTTTCCCTTTATTTACTGCTTCTTTTACGTCTCATACTTTCCTTTTTTGGGTTCTTTGTTTTTAATTATTATTCAAAATTTTTTTCTAGTAAAAGTTTATGAAAGGTAAGCTTTCTGAGATTATATAGATATAAAAATTGATTTTATCCTTATTTGATCGTTATGCTGACTGCTTATAAAATTGTGGGTTTATAATCATTTTCCCTAAGTATATGGAAACATATTTCTACTGTTTTCTAATATCTGATATTGCCAATGAGAATTCAGATATCAATCTTAATTTTGTTCCTTTATAGGGACAGTTTCCAAAAGTCACATTGTGTCTGGGATAGTCTTGTGTCATTCTTACTGTTCTACAGTATTTTAGAAGCATCACTTTAGCTATAAAATTATCCAGGATTGGATTATAAATTACATAGTCATTCCTTTTAGAAATTGTCCTTATATTTGAAGTCATTCTTTTTAGAAATTGTCCTTATATTCTGAAGGTTTATGAGGTCCATGTGGGCCAATTTTTGTTTATTGTATTTGGCACTCAAAAGTATCTATCATTTGAAGATTTATCTTTAACTATTGAAAATGTTATTCTATTTATTTATTAATATTATTGTTTTATTATTCTACTTCATGTTCTCTATTGTCTCTGTAATTCAAATTTATTGACTATTGGACCTCTTACATTTATTAGGTTTGTTATCTTCTCTTTTTCTATTCTATTCCTCTTTCACATCTTATGACTTACTGCTTTTAGGCTATATGTTCTAAAATTTAAAAATTTTTATCTATATTCTTTCAATTGCTTTTTATTTTCAAGAGTCATATTTTAATTTTAAAGACTTCCTTTCTATGTTACTTTTATTGTGATAGACTTCTAGGTTTTCATGTATTATATATGAATATCTGAAGGAATATTAATTAAATTTTTTGGAAATTGTTCTTTTACTTTGGATTACTGTTTTCTCTCAGCTTAGTCATGTTCTTTATTTATTTGAATTCCTCCTTTTTTTCTAGTTTTCTGAAATATCTGTTGTACCTTGGATGTCAATTCTTACTTCAAAATAAAGACTAAAATGACTCATATTAGCTGTTAGCTTCCATTTTCTCTGTTGCCACATAGATAAGTTTTTTTCTTCCTATACCTGTCTTACCCCTTCACCTATAAAGAATTTATTATTAATAGAAGCTCTGCTTACACAGACAAGCACTTCAACTAATAGCTTTGCTTTATGGTGTATGGCTACACAGCAGGCAGGCAAGCACAGTCTTCCCCAATTCTAGAATGTACTGGGTTTGCTCAGGAACATTGATAACTGAAAAGCCCACTGTCTCCCAAAGGTAATAAAATATATACATTGTTCTGGCTTTTGCCTGGGAATAAAGACTTGGCTGTGAGTCACTCAGCTTATATAGACAGCAAACACTGCTAGCCAACAAGACTCTTCCATAGACCCTTAACTTGATTAATCAGCCTTTTCTAGTCAGCCAAGTACTTCTGCAATTCCTTTGTGATACTGATGAGTGTTTTTACTCTTCAGGATCCTGAAAAGAAAACAAAGCCACTTCCATTTTGTCTTTCTTAGGAAACTTAGGAACATTTTCTGTACTTTTGCCTCCTCACTTCTGATGATATACCAACACCCTCCCATCTTCTTTCCATTTTCCACAAATCCAGCTACAGCTTTGGTAAACCAGTAACATCCCACTTCCTTTTTGTCTCTGTTGTGCATTTAAACACTTGTGCACTTTTCATTATTTCAACAGGATTTTAGCAGAGAAGAAAGGAAACATTCCATCTTAAACTATTCCTTTTTTTAATAAAGAACAATATTAATATTTTAGGAAAAAAGCTCTTATGAAAGAATAAAGATTTATGCCAAAAAGTATGTGAAACTCTTGTTAAATAAATTTAAGAGACTGCTCTACTGCAGGACTTTTTGGAGCATTTAATAGGGCATTTTTCAAGGACAATTTTTATATACAAGATTTGCTAGGGTAATTCAAAAGCTCTTTTAATATCATGCAATGTTGATAAGACAAACAAAAAGCCAAAGCAATTACATTAACAAACTGAAACGCAGCAAAATTTTTAAAGAATAAAAAAATTAAACTTAATATAAAACTAAATAATACTAGTAAAGAAAATGAACTATGAGAATCTTGACATTTTACACTAAATTCCAATTTAAGTTTTATTAATACCTTTTCTAGTTCTACCAAAATATATGATTTTATAAGTTAGTACTTGAGTAACTACATGCAGTTAGGAAAATGTTTTATATCCAGTCCTTTTTGCTTTCTAAAAGAGGGCTAAATGACAATATAGATAACCTCAAGTGAATCGCGAGTTGTTTTAAATAATAATCCAAAGTTTTGGATTCTGTTTAAGCTCTCTGCATTTTTTCAGATTCTGTGAAAGTAGTTTCCTTATGAGATTTCTGTTTAGATTGGAAATTCAATGGGAAAAACTGGTTGACCGTATTTCAACATTTCTAGTGCTGGCTTCACTTATTATCTGAAAGCACTGAGGGATCAACAATAAAAAGTAGTGAAAATGGAATTTTGATTTAACTTTTTTGAAGTTCTAAAAGGTTTTGACTCAAGGCAAAATTTGGAGAAATGGTGGAAGCCTACCTTAGCATATGTATTTATCCCCTGTTGATCCACTAAAAACAAAGTCACAACAAATCAATAAAGTTGCCTAAGTATTATTTCTAAATTATAGTTAACATTTTAAATAGAATGCTTAAAATGAAATTTAAGTCTGATAATAGAATCTTAAAACATATATGACAAATCTTTTAAATACATTATATTTGATATGTATTTGTTTAAAATCATATCACTACTGTGTTTAATTTATTCTGATCTCCAAATGACAAACTTCTTTGTACATAAAGTTACTGGCAGCATCATTATTTTTTATGTTGTAAGTTTCTCTATGTCAGAATATTACGAGAAAAGTAACACTACTTTTTAACAGCATATTAAAATATTTGGTGGAAGACGCTATTTTGAGTACTTTCATCACTTACCCCCACACAATATACACAAAAATACTCTAAAGAAAATTTTTAAATTATCTTCTATCTTAGATATGGAAAGTTTACAAGACTGACCTAGAAGAATTCAGAAACAAGATAAACAGCGACATCATGAACAACCACCACCACCAAAATGAAAGCATACCAGTCAGTATAACTTTGTTCACAGCTGATCAACATCACGCCCAAATATAAGTATTGCATATATAACCCTAGCCCACCTAGCCTTTAAACCATTGAATGGTGTTGCTTGTGTTGCTGTTGTTGCTAATAGTTGATTTCCTTTTTTCACATTTCCTGGTTTATTATAAGGGATATTACAAGGGATACATATGAAAAGATGCATAGGGTGAGGTATGGGGAAAGGGGCATGAAGCTCCCTGAAGCCTGACCTCTTGGGTTTTTATAGAAGCTTTATGAGGTCAGCATTCCTTCCCCCGGGTTATAGGGTAGGACCCTTTTTGGGAAAGGTCTCATGACTCACAACCAGAAAGGTGGAGGAAGATTAAAGTCCTGCATTGGAGTGGGTAAAAGGAGGGCAGGAGAAGATCTGAGCATTCTGTTTTCTTTTTTTTTTTTTTTTTTTCTATTTTATTTTTTTTTATTTTTTATTTTTATTTTTTTTTAAATTTTTTTTTTTTTTATTATACTTTAAGTTTTAGGGTACATGTGCACATTGTGCAGGTTAGTTACATATGTATACATGTGCCATGCTGGTGCGCTGCACCCACTAACGTGTCATCAATCATTAGGTATATCTCCCACTGCTATCCCTCCCCCCTCCCCCGACCCCACCACAGTCCCCAGAGTGTGATATTCCCCTTCCTGTGTCCCTGTGATCTCATTGTTCAATTCCCACCTATGAGTGAGAATATGCAGTGTTTGGTTTTTTGTTCTTGCGATAGTTTACTGAGAATGATGGTTTCCAATTTCATCCATGTCCCTACAAAGGACATGAACTCATCATTTTTTATGGCTGCATAGTATTCCATGGTGTATATGTGCCACATTTTCTTAATCCAGTCTATCATTGTTGGACATTTGGGTTGGTTCCAAGTCTTTGCTATTGTGAATAGTGCCGCAATAAACATACGTGTGCATGTGTCTTTATAGCAGCATGATTTATAGTCATTTGGGTATATACCCAGTAATGGGATGGCTGGGTCAAATGGTATTTCTAGTTCTAGATCCCTGAGGAATCGCCACACTGACTTCCACAATGGTTGAACTAGTTTACAGTCCCACCAACAGTGTAAAAGTGTTCCTATTTCTCCACATCCTCTCCAGCACCTGTTGTTTCCTGACTTTTTAATGATTGCCATTCTAACTGGTGTGAGATGATATCTCATAGTGGTTTTGATTTGCATTTCTCTGATGGCCAGTGAGGATGAGCATTTCTTCATGTGTTTTTTGGCTGCATAAATGTCTTCTTTTGAGAAGTGTCTGTTCATGTCCTTCGCCCACTTTTTGATGGGGTTGTTTGTTTTTTTCTTGTAAATTTGTTTGAGTTCATTGTAGATTCTGGATATTAGCCCTTTGTCAGATGAGTAGGTTGCGAAAATTTTCTCCCATGTTGTAGGTTGCCTGTTCACTCTGATGGTAGTTTCTTTTGCTGTGCAGAAGCTCTTTAGTTTAGTTAGATCCCATTTGTCAATTTTGGCTTTTGTTGCCATTGCTTTTGGTGTTTTGGACATGAAGTCCTTGCCCACGCCTATGTCCTGAATGGTAATGCCTAGGTTTTCTTCTAGGGTTTTTATGGTTTTAGGTCTAACGTTTAAATCTTTAATCCATCTTGAATTGATTTTTGTATAAGGTGTAAGGAAGGGATCCAGTTTCAGCTTTCTACATATGGCTAGCCAGTTTTCCCAGCACCATTTATTAAATAGGGAATCCTTTCCCCATTGCTTGTTTTTCTCAGGTTTGTCAAAGATCAGATAGTTGTAGATATGCGGCATTATTTCTGAGGGCTCTGTTCTGTTCCATTGATCTATATCTCTGTTTTGGTACCAGTACCATGCTGTTTTGGTTACTGTAGCCTTGTAGTATAGTTTGAAGTCAGGTAGTGTGATGCCTCCAGCTTTGTTCTTTTGGCTTAGGATTGACTTGGCGATGCGGGCTCTTTTTTGGTTCCATATGAACTTTAAAGTAGTTTTTTCCAATTCTGTGAAGAAAGTCATTGGTAGCTTGATGGGGATGGCATTGAATCTGTAAATTACCTTGGGCAGTATGGCCATTTTCACGATATTGATTCTTCCTACCCATGAGCATGGAATGTTCTTCCATTTGTTTGTATCCTCTTTTATTTCCTTGAGCAGTGGTTTGTAGTTCTCCTTGAAGAGGTCCTTCACATCCCTTGTAAGTTGGATTCCTAGGTATTTTATTCTCTTTGAAGCAATTGTGAATGGGAGTTCACCCATGATTTGGCTCTCTGTTTGTCTGTTGTTGGTGTATAAGAATGCTTGTGATTTTTGTACATTGATTTTGTATCCTGAGACTTTGCTGAAGTTGCTTATCAGCTTAAGGAGATTTTGGGCTGAGACAATGGGGTTTTCTAGATAAACAATCATGTCGTCTGCAAACAGGGACAATTTGACTTCCTCTTTTCCTAATTGAATACCCTTTATTTCCTTCTCCTGCCTGATTGCCCTGGCCAGAACTTCCAACACTATGTTGAATAGGAGTGGTGAGAGAGGGCATCCCTGTCTTGTGCCAGTTTTCAAAGGGAATGCTTCCAGTTTTTGCCCATTCAGTATGATATTGGCTGTGGGTTTGTCATAGATAGCTCTTATTATTTTGAAATACGTCCCATCAATACCTAATTTATTGAGAGTTTTTAGCATGAAGGGTTGTTGAATTTTGTCAAAGGCTTTTTCTGCATCTATTGAGATAATCATGTGGTTTTTGTCTTTGGCTCTGTTTATATGCTGGATTACATTTATTGATTTGCGTATATTGAACCAGCCTTGCATCCCAGGGATGAAGCCCACTTGATCATGGTGGATAAGCTTTTTGATGTGCTGCTGGATTCGGTTTGCCAGTATTTTATTGAGGATTTTTGCATCAATGTTCATCAAGGATATTGGTCTAAAATTCTCTTTTTTGGTTGTGTCTCTGCCCAGCTTTGGTATCAGAATGATGCTGGCCTCATAAAATGAGTTAGGGAGGATTCCCTCTTTTTCTATTGATTGGAATAGTTTCAGAAGGAATGGTACCAGTTCCTCCTTGTACCTCTGGTAGAATTCGGCTGTGAATCCATGTGGTCCTGGACTCTTTTTGGTTGGTAAACTATTGATTATTGCCACAATTTCAGAGCCTGTTATTGGTCTATTCAGAGATTCAACTTCTTCCTGGTTTAGTCTTGGGAGAGTGTATGTGTCGAGGAATGTATCCATTTCTTCTAGATTTTCTAGTTTATTTGCGTAGAGGTGTTTGTAGTATTCTCTGATGGTAGTTTGTATTTCTGTGGGATCAGTGGTGATATCCCCTTTATCATTTTTTATTGTGTCTATTTGATTCTTCTCTCTTTTTTTCTTTATTAGTCTTGCTAGCGGTCTATCAATTTTGTTGATCCTTTCAAAAAACCAGCTCCTGGATTCATTGATTTTTTGAAGGGTTTTTTGTGTCTCTATTTCCTTCAGTTCTGCTCTGATTTTAGTTATTTCTTGCCTTCTGCTAGCTTTTGAATGTGTTTGCTCTTGCTTTTCTAGTTCTTTTAATTGTGATGTTAGGGTGTCAATTTTGGATCTTTCCTGCTTTTTCTTGTGGGCATTTAGTGCTATAAATTTCCCTCTACACACTGCTTTGAATGCGTCCCAGAGATTCTGGTATGTGGTGTCTTTGTTCTCGTTGGTTTCAAAGAACATCTTTATTTCTGCCTTCATTTCGTTATGTACCCAGTAGTCATTCAGGAGCAGGTTGTTCAGTTTCCATGTAGTTGAGCGGCTTTGAGTGAGATTCTTAATCCTGAGTTCTAGTTTGATTGCACTGTGGTCTGAGAGATAGTTTGTTATAATTTCTGTTCTTTTACATTTGCTGAGGAGAGCTTTACTTCCAACTATGTGGTCAATTTTGGAATAGGTGTGGTGTGGTGCTGAAAAAAATGTATATTCTGTTGATTTGGGGTGGAGAGTTCTGTAGATGTCTATTAGGTCCGCTTGGTGCAGAGCTGAGTTCAATTCCTGGGTATCCTTGTTGACTTTCTGTCTCGTTGATCTGTCTAATGTTGACAGTGGGGTGTTAAAGTCTCCCATTATTAATGTGTGGGAGTCTAAGTCTCTTTGTAGGTCACTCAGGACTTGCTTTATGAATCTGGGTGCTCCTGTATTGGGTGCATAAATATTTAGGATAGTTAGCTCCTCTTGTTGAATTGATCCCTTTACCATTATGTAATGGCCTTCTTTGTCTCTTTTGATCTTTGTTGGTTTAAAGTCTGTTTTATCAGAGACTAGAATTGCAACCCCTGCCTTTTTTTGTTTTCCATTGGCTTGGTAGATCTTCCTCCATCCTTTTATTTTGAGCCTATGTGTGTCTCTGCACGTGAGATGGGTTTCCTGAATACAGCACACTGATGGGTCTTGACTCTTTATCCACCTTGCCAGTCTGTGTCTTTTAATTGCAGAATTTAGTCCATTTATATTTAAAGTTAATATTGTTATGTGTGAATTTGATCCTGTCATTATGATGTTAGCTGGTGATTTTGCTCGTTAGTTGATGCAGTTTCTTCCTAGTCTCGATGGTCTTTACATTTTGGCATGATTTTGCAGCGGCTGGTACCAGTTGTTCCTTTCCATGTTTAGCGCTTCCTTCAGGAGCTCTTTTAGGGCAGGCCTGGTGTTGACAAAATCTCTCAGCATTTGCTTGTCTATAAAGTATTTTATTTCTCCTTCACTTATGAAGCTTAGTTTGGCTGGATATGAAATTATGGGTTGAAAATTCTTTTTTTTAAGAATGTTGAATATTGGCCCCCACTCTCTTCTGGCTTGTAGGGTTTCTGCTGAGAGATCCGCTGTTAGTCTGATGGGCTTTCCTTTGAGGGTAACCCGACCTTTCTCTCTGGCTGCCCTTAACATTTTTTCCTTCATTTCAACTTTGGTGAATCTGACAATTATGTGTCTTGGAGTTGCTCTTCTCGAGGAGTATCTTTGTGGCGTTCTCTGTATTTCCTGAATCTGAACGTTGGCCTGCCTTGCTAGATTGGGGAAGTTCTCCTGGGTAATATCCTGCAGAGTGTTTTCCAACTTGGTTCCATTCTCCACATCACTTTCAGGTACACCAATCAGACGTAGATTTGGTCTTTTCACATAGTCCCATATTTCTTGGAGGCTTTGCTCATTTCTTTTTATTCTTTTTTCTCTAAACTTCCCTTCTCGCTTCATTTCATTCATTTCATCTTCCATTGCTGATACCCTTTCTTCCAGTTGATCGCATCGGCTCCTGAGGCTTCTGCATTCTTCACGTAGTTCTCGAGCCTTGGTTTTCAGCTCCATCAGCTCCTTTAAGCACTTCTCTGTATTGGTTATTCTAGTTATACATTCTTCTAAATTTTTTTCAAAGTTTTCAACTTCTTTGCCTTTGGTTTGAATGTCCTCCCGTAGCTCAGAGTAATTTGATCGTCTGAAGCCTTCTTCTCTCAGCTCGTCAAAATCATTCTCCATCCAGCTTTGTTCCGTTGCTGGTGAGGAACTGCTTTCCTTTGGAGGAGGAGAGGTGCTCTGCGTTTTAGAGTTTCCAGTTTTTCTGTTCTGTTTTTTCCCCATCTTTGTGGTTTTATCTACTTTTGGTCTTTGATGATGGTGATGTACAGATGGGTTTTCGGTGTAGATGTCCTTTCTGGTTGTTAGTTTTCCTTCTAACAGACAGGACCCTCAGCTGCAGGTCTGTTGGAATACCCTGCCGTGTGAGGTGTCAGTGTGCCCCTGCTGGGGGGTGCCTCCCAGTTAGGCTGCTCAGGGGTCAGGGGTCAGGGACCCAATTGAGGAGGCAGTCTGCCTGTTCTCAGATCTCCAGCTGCATGCTGGGAGAACCACTGCTCTCTTCAAAGCTGTCAGACAGGGACACTTAAGTCTGCAGAGGTTACTGCTGTCTTTTTGTTTGTCTGTGCCCTGCCCCCAGAGGTGGAGCCTACAGAGGCAGGCAGGCCTCCTTGAGCTGTGGTGGGCTCCACCCAGTTCGAGCTTCCCGGCTGCTTTGTTTACCTAAGCAAGCCTGGGCAATGGCGGGCGCCCCTCCCCCAGCCTCGTTGCCGCCTTGCAGTTTGATCTCAGACTGCTGTGCTAGCAATCAGTGAGATTCCGTGGGCGTAGGACCCTCTGAGCCAGGTGTGGGATATAGTCTCCTGGTGCGCCGTTTTTTAAGCCGGTCTGAAAAGCGCAATATTCGGGTGGGAGTGACCCGATTTTCCAGGTGCGTCCGTCACCCCTTTCTTTGACTCGGAAAGGGAACTCCCTGACCCTTGCGCTTCCCAGGTGAGGCAATGCCTCGCCCTGCTTCGGCTCGTGCACGGTGCGCGCACACACTGGCCTGCGCCCACTGTCTGGCACTCCCTAGTGAGATGAACCCGGTACCTCAGATGGAAATGCAGAAATCACCCGTCTTCTGCGTCGCTCACGCTGGGAGCTGTAGACCGGAGCTGTTCCTATTCGGCCATCTTGGCTCCTCCTGAGCATTCTGTTTTCTAAGGCCTAAAGCACCCAATGTTGTAACAAAAGACTATGATAAGGGCTCTGGGAGTTATAAGCCAGTTCCTGGCATATGTGTTTTATATGTTATATATTATATATACACATATATTACGTTGTATATACATATAAATATATATTTGTGTGTGTGTGTGTATCAAATAACACCACAGGCCAACCTCTAGTTTTTGAACATGGATCCTTTCTATGAAAAGAATATACACCATCATTAATAATTAGTCCAGTCCATTACATTGTATGAATGTCTTCCAGGGTGAGGGCTCTCAGGTTTGTAGCTTTCTTTTGATCTCGTAAGTTTCCAAAAACTGCAAACACTCAACACCAGCCTGTGAAAGCAGCCAGAATGGAGGGCTGTACCCTGCAAAGCCACAGGGGCAGTGCTGCTCAAGGCCATATTCACAAAGATACAGCCCAAGAGGTGGGACCCCATCCAGAGTCCATGGAGTCAAAGGAGATGATTTTGGAGCTTTAAGGTTTAATGACTACCCTATTGGATTCTGGACTTGCATGGGGCCTACAGCCCCCTTGTTCTGGCCAATTTCTACCATTTGAAAAGTGTGTATTTGCCCAATGCCTGCAATCCCATTGTATCTAGGAAGTAACTAGCTTGCTTTTGATTTTACAGTCTCATAGGCAGAAAGGACTTGCCTTGTCTCAGATGAGACTTTGGATTTGGACTTTTGGTTTAATGCTGGAATGAGTTAAGACTTTGGGGGACTGTTGGAATGGCATGCTTGTGTTTTGAAATGTTAGAACATGAGTTTTGAGAGGGCCCAGGGGAGGGATTATATGGTTTGGCTGGGTCCCCACCCAAATCTCATCTTGAATTGTAGGTCCCATAATCTCCACATGGCGTGGGATAAACCCAGTGGTAATTGAATCATGGGGGCAGTTTCCCCCATGCTATTCCTGTGATAATGAGTAAGTTTTTACAAAATCTGATGTTTTTATAAGGGGATTCTTCCTTCACTTGGCTCTCATTTTCTTCTCCTTAATCCCATGTGAAAGAGAATGTGTTTGCTTCCCCTTCTCCCATGACTGGAAGTTTTCTGTTGCCTCCCCAGCCATGTTGAACTGTGAGTCATTTAAACCTCTTTCCATTATAAATTAACCAGTCTCAAGTATGTCTTTCTTAGCAGCATGAGAACAGACTAATACAGCAGGCAAACATTTTTCTTGCATTTTCCTCATTTTTGCAAGCTTCTGCCTCTCTGGTGGAAATAATTTCCAGAAGATTTAAATGGCCGAGCTCACACCCCACCCCTCCCCACCCACTTCATTTTTCTCTTGTTTTCTTTTGGAAAGCCAGACATTAAACACCAGGGCATTCAAAAGCAACTACATACATAGGAAAAATTAAAAGTGACCATGTATACATAGGGAGACGTGCAAGCTCAGAAAAGACCTGAGAAGACCTCAAGTTTGCACCTTTGGTCATTAGCACATAGACAACCAAAACAATTTAAAAACTTAAAACAATGAACAACAATAACAAGAAAAGAGCAAACCCTGGACAAAGGGGTAGACTCTGATTTTCAGAATTGCCATATGAATAGATTCCAATGTTTATTTTTCAACAAGGCATACAAAGAAACAGAAATGTATGATCCACTCAAAGGAAAAGAATAAATCAACAGAAACTCTCTGAAAAAAGGCCTGAGGGCCAATTTACTAGACAATGATTTCAAAACTACTGTCTTAAAGATGCACAAAAAACTAAACAAAGAAAGATGAGGAGAAAGTCAAGAATATGATGCATGAATAAAATGGAAATCTCAATATAGAGGTAGAAAACCATAAACAGAAACCAAAAAGAAATTATGAAACTGGAAAGTACAATAACTAAACTGAAAAATTCACTAGCAAAATTCAAAGGCAGATTTATGCAGGCAAAAAAGTGGATCAACAAACCTGAAGACAGAACAAGGAATTACTGGTCTGAAGAATAGACAGAAAAACTTTGAAGAAAAGTAAACAGAGCCTAAGGAACCTAAATCACCAAGCAGACCACCATACACATGAGAGAGTTCTCCAGAAAAGAGAGAGAGAAATAGGCAGAGAAAATATTTGAAGATATAATGGCTGAAAACTTCCCAAATTTTAGGAGATATGATATAAACATTCAAGAAGTTGAACTAACTCTAGTAAAAAGAACTCAGAAAAACTCATATAGAGACAGAGCATGACCAAACTTTCGAAATACAAAGAAAGAATCTTGAAAGCAAGAAAAGAGAAGTTATTTGTTATATGCAAAGAATTTGCAATAATAAGATTAGCAGCAGATTTATTATCAGAAGCTATGGAGGACAATAGGCATAGAACTGATATATTCAAAGTACTAAAAGAAAAAACTGTCAATAGAATCTGATATCCAGCAAAATGTATTTTCAAATGTAAGGGGCAAATTAAGCTATACCTAGAAAATAAAACCTGAAACAGTTTGTTATCATTAAATCTGGCCTGCAAGAAATGCTTAAGGAAGTTTATAAGGGCAAAAGGACGCTAGACAGTAATTCAAAGCTGTATGAAGAAATAAAGATCTCAATAAAGGTAAATACATAGAAAATTATAAAAACTAGTATTATTGTAACAACTGTTTGTAACTCTGCTTTTTGTTTCCTACAAAATTTAAGAAACTAATACATTTTAACTGGGTCAATAGCTTCATGACATTGGATTTGGGAATGTCTTAGACATAATACCAAAAGCACAGACAGAAGTAAAAAGAGACAAACTGGATTTCATGAAAATGAAAAAGCTGTATATATTAAAAGACAATATAAACTGAGTAAAAGGCAGCCTAACCCACAGAATGGGAGGAAATATTTGCAAATCACATACAGATATACCGCGTTTTATTGTGTTTCACTTTGTTGAGTTTCACAATATTGTATTTTTTTACAGAAATTTTGTGTCACCCCTGCATCAAGCAAGTCTATTGGTGGGATTTTTCCAACAGTATGTGCTCAGTTTATGTCTCTCTGTCATATTTTGAAAATTATCATAATATTTCAAACTCTTTAGTATTGTTATATCTGTTATGGTCATCTGTGATCAGAGATCTTTGATGTTACTATTGTAATTATTTTGGAGCATCATGAACTGTGCCCACACAAAATGACAAACTTATTCACTAAATATTGTGTGTTCTAACTGCTCCAGTGAACAGCTGTTTTCCCATCTCTCTCCCTCTCATCTCTCCTCTTCCCGGAGATAAAACAACACTGGAATTAGGCTAATTAATAACCCTGCAATGGACTATAAGTTTTCAAGTGGAAGGAAAAGCCACATTGATCTCACTTAAAACATAAGCTAGAAATGATTATAATGAGGAAGACATGTCAAAAGCTGAGATAGATCAAAAATGAAGAGACTTGGGGGCCAAAGAGCCAAGTTGTGAGTACAAAGGAAAAGTTATTAAAGAAAACTAAAAGTGCTACTCCAGTGAACACATGAATGATAACAAAGTGAAAAAACCTTATTGCTGATAAGGAGAAAGCTTGAGTGATCCAGGTAGAAGATCAAACCAGCAACAACATTCCCTTAAGTCAAAATCTAATCTAGAACAAGTCTTCTAATTTCTTTCAAATCTCTGAAGGCTGAGAGAGGTGAGAAAGGTGGAGAAGAAAAGTTGGAAGCTAGCAGATGTTGGTTCCTGAGATTTCAAAAAAGAAGTAATTGTCATAATAAAGATGTAAAGTGAAGTAACAAGTGCTGATGTAGAAGCTGCAGCAAGTTATCCCGTGATTTAATTAAGAAAATTGATGAAGGTGGCTACTCTAAACAACATATGTTTAATGTAGACAATTCAGCCTTACATTGATACCAACTAGGACTTTCACAGCCATAGAGGAGAAGTCAATCCCTGGCTTCAAAGATTCAAAGGAAAAGCTACATCTGATATTAGGGGCTAATGTAACTGGTGACTTTTAGTTGAAGCCAATGCTCATTTGCCATTCTAAAATGCCTATGGCCCTTAAGAATTATAGTAATTCTATTCTGCTTATGCTCTATAAATGGAATAATAAACCCTTTATGACAGCAAATCTACTTGCGATTTACTATGACTTACTGAATAGGTTAAGCCCACTATTGAGACCTCCCTTTCAAGAAAAAAAGATTTCTTTCAAAATATTACTACTTATTGACAACGCACTTAGTCACCCAAGGGTTCTGATGGAGATGTAAAAGCAGATTAATGCTGTTTGTATGGCTGCTAACACAACATCCCTTCTGCAGCCCATGGATCAAGGAGTAATTTTGACTTTCAAGTCTTATTATTTAAGAAATATATTTCAGAAGGCTATAGCTGACATACATATTGATTACTGGGATAGATCTTGGCAAAGTAAATTGGAAACCTTCTGGAAAAGGTTCACCATTCTAGATAACATTTAGAACATTTGTGATTCATGAGAAGGGGTCAAAATATCAATCTTAAGAGGAGTTTGGAAGAAGCTGAGTCTAACCCCCATGGATGACTTTGAAGGGTTCAAGTCACTGCAGATGTCGTGGAAATGGTAAGAGAAGAAGAATTAGAAGTGGATCCTGAAGATGTGACTTAACTGTTGCAATCTCATGATAAAACTCTAACAGATGAGTTGTTTCTTATGGATGAGCAGATAAAACAGTTTTTTTGGAATGTAATTTAATTTTGGTGAACATGCTGTGAACATTTCTGAGATGGCAACAAAGGATTTAGAATATTACATAAATTTTGTTGATAAAGCAGCAGCAGTGTTGAAGAGGACTGACTTCAATTTTGAAGCTTTGGGTAATATGCTACCAAACAGCATGGCATGCTACAGAGAAAGTTTTTTGTGAAAGAAGGAGCCAATGGATGCAGGAAAACTTTATTGTCTTATTTTACAAAATGTTTACAGCCACCCCAACCTTCAGCAACTACCACTGTGATTACTCAGCAGACAACAACTTGGAAACAAGACCCTCCACTGGCAAAAAAATTATGCCTTGCTGAAGGCTTAGATGATAGTTAGCACTTTCTAGCAATAAAGTATTTTTTGGCATATTTAAGGTATCTACACTTTTTTGACATAGTGCTATTGCACATTTATGGTATAGTGTAAACATAACTTTTATGTACACTGGAAAATTAAAATTTCATGTGATTCACTTTATTGCAATATTTGCTTTATTTCAGTAATCTGAAATAATACCTACAATATCTCCCAGGTATGCCTATATCTGAAAAAGAATAAATATCCAGAATATACAAAGAACTCCCAAAGTTCATCAACAACAAAACAAAGAGCCCAATTCAAAAATGGACAAAAGATTTGAAGAGGCATTTCTCCAAAGATGATATACAAATATTCAATAAGCACATTAAAAGATGTTCAACATCACTAATCATCAGAAAAATCAAATAAAAACTATAATGAGATACCACCTTTAGGTGCCAACCAAAATTTTTCCTTGCACCTCTGAAGTTTCACTGATAAATCAATTTAAAAAACACAGATTAATGGGAGAAAAAGCACACAGAACTTATTAATGTGTACACTGGGGCCTTTAGCATGAGAACCCCAAAGACTCAGGGAAAATTGGCCTCTCTGAGCATGCATTCCTTCCTTCTGGATGTGGGGCAGGGCCCTCTTTGGAATGGAAGTCCTATGACCTACAGTCAAATAAGGTAGGTCAGATCTTTTTTATAGCCAGTTTTTACACAGAAAGGCAGAAGGCAAGTTGTTGGTTTTATGATTGCCATGGGGTAAAAGACTGTCTGGTTCTGTGACCCATCTTGGGGAAGAGAGGTCCTAGTTCCTATGACTAGCCTTAGGTGAAAGTAGGACTGAGAGACAGGAGAGTGAGAGAAGGCTAGAAAAAATCTTTTGCTTCTGAAGCCTTCATTTTGCAGTATTATTTTCTGAGTCTCAACACGTCTCTCTCATTAGGATGCTACTATCAAGAAACACCCCCAGAAAATAAATGCTGGAGAGAATGTTTAAAAGTTGGAAGCCTTGCACACTGTTTGGGGGAATGTAGAATGGTACAGCTACTGTGGAAAACAATATGGTAGTTTCTAAAAATAATTAAAAGGAGAATTATCATGTTATTCAGTTTTTCCACTTTCTGGATATATATCCAAAATAGTCAACAGCAGGATCTTGAGGAGATATTTGTATACCCATGTTCATAGCAGCATTATTCATGAGAGCTATAAAATGTAAGCAACCTTAGTATTAATTGATAAATAGATAAAAGAGATGTGATATATACATAAAATATTATTCAGTCTTTCAAAGGAGGTCAATTATTACAAATGCTATAATGTGTATGAACCTTGAAGAAATGTACTAAGTGAAGTAAGCCCATTGCAAAAAGACAAATACTGTATGATTAACTTATATTAAGTACTTAGAGTAGTCAAAATCATAGAGACAGAAAGTAGAATGGTAGTTGGTAGGGGCTGCAGGGAAGTAATAATTGTAAATATAAGTGATAGATAAATATTTACAATTATTTTTAGGACACTAGGACCATAGGTGAGCCCTATGCAAATAAAGGGGAAAGTCTTTTACTTAAGTCTATTCATACTGGAGGATTTCAGTCTGACTTTCAATTTTAAATGTTGGCTCTGTTTAACAAAATTTATATTGAATTTATAAAATGTCAAGCAAGAGGCATAGTGCTGAGAACATAAAGGTAAATGTAACAGTCCCTGTCCTCATAGACTTGTGTAGAGAAAAGACACAAGAACTTATACTTGTTTACTGAAAATGCTATAGGAATTTTAATCGCAGAGACAGATGCAAGGTAGTTTGGGGAAGGAGAGGAAGGATACCTGGCCAAACTGAGTGGGAGAGAAAATCAACAAGTGGGCTCCTAGAAGACATAAGGAGATTTTAGCTGAGCTAAAAATAATACTTTGTCCTTGAAAAATTAGATCATAGAAATGAGTGTCAAAGGGCTCTGTTGAAGTGTCTATAAATAAGATTTTTTTTATAACATTGATTTTTTTTGTTTTGGCCCACACATTTCTATCCTATTCTAAGGGTATATTTAAAGTGTTGACTCCATTCCAAAAAACCTAATTGCAATTTTGGCTTTAGCTATGTGTTTTTGGCATTGTTTCTTCTTTTTAATCTTCATAGTCCAAATTCCTACAATACACAAAATATATGAATATTTATAAACAGATTAATGGCTTTCTTGATAAGGATTATGAACATAGTTCCCATTATGAGCTTAGTCATTCATTCATTCAAAAATATTTATTAAGCCCTATTATGTGTCAGACATTACCTCAAAATATAATGACTTCTAATCCACAAGATATTTTCTCTTTCCTAGGTAAGATTATTAAATAAATATATAATACTCTGTTTAATAATATGGGCTTAAAAATATCAAATACATTTATGAAATTACCTGTAAAATATTGTACATACAGAAATTTAAAATCTAGTGCCCTGAATTTCTTGCTTTTTGCGCAAGAGACTTGGGTTAGACAGAGAGTAGTAAGAAGAGCCTAGAAATGGGAAAGATAAAAATGTGTTATCACAAAATAATAAAGTTATTTTTAAGAGATGCAGAGACTGCAGCTAGATGTTTGATATTATAGGGAAGCAAGGGAGAAGTTCATTCCCAGAACACCTTTTTCATCCTGTGATTCTCTCTGAAATGTTAAGTGAGGAATTGAGTCAACTGAAATGTTGAATTAGCTTGAAAAGATTCATGACCCTACAATGCTGAAAATAGGGACTATATTTCTATTACTCAAGGTTCTCTAGGGAAACAGAACCCACAGGATAGGTATAGATATGTAGAAAGACATTTATTATGAGCCATTGGCTCATGCAGTTATGGAGGCTGAGAAGTCCCATAATCTATTGTATGTAAGCCAGCGGCCCAGGAAAGCTGGTGGTGTGGTTCCATTCCAAGCCCGTAGGCCTTAGAATCAGGGGTGCAAATGGTATAAGCCCAACCCAAAGCCAGAGAAGTACGAGCTCCAATGTCAGAGGGCAGGAGAAAAAGGATGTCCCAACTCCAGAACCCTTTCTGGAGAGAGACAAATTTGCCCCTTTTCTGCCTGTTTTGTTCTATCGGAGCCCTCAATGGATTAGATGAGCAGTCCCTAAACTTTTTGGCACCAGGGACTGGTTTTCGTGGAACACAGTTTTTCCATGGATGGGGGATGGGAGGGATTGGGGATGGTTTGGGGTTGAAACTGTTCTACCTCAGATCATCAGGCATTAGAGTCTCATAGGAGTGTGGAACCTAGACTTTACATGTTCAGTTCAGAATAGGGTTGGTGCTCCTATGAGAATCTAATGCTGCAGCTGATCTGACAGGAGGCAGAGCTCAGAAGGTAATGCTCGCTCACCTCCTGCTGTGTGGCCTGGTTCCTAACAGGTCACAGACAGGTACCAGTACGAGGCCAGTTGAGGACCCCTGGATTAGATAACACCCACCTACATTGGTGATGGTGAACTTCTTTACTCAGCCTACTACTGATTCAAATGCTAATTTCTTCTGGACACGCCCTCATGACACACTCAGAAATAATGCATTACTGGCTATTAGGGCATCCTTTAGCCCAGTCAAGTTGACACAAAAATCAACAATTACAATACTTAACAAGAAAAAGCACTTTCAGGAATAAGATAAAACAGTAGCTTCATGTATGTTTCCCATGGACACAGTAACTTTCTGCAAATGCATCAAAACATACTCATAGAAAGAAAATCAGCACCAAGGACAAGCCAAAATCTCAGACATAGATTAAGATTATGGTTAGACCAACCAATATTAGCTAACCGAATAAAATATACATGGGCCAATAAAAGTCTGATTCTTACCTGAAAGCTTACATGAGAATTAATTAGAGGAGGATTAAATATTTTAAAATGAAGTATTAAACCATAAAAATGCTAGGAAATAACACAGATGAATTTTTAAAATATAATCTTTATTTGGGAAAATTTTCTAATTATGCTTTAAAAGCTAAAAATCATAAATAAATGCACATAACTATATAATACATTTTAAATGTACTTGTTTTTTCAATGGCTAAATATATGAAAAATCATTCCAACTCAAAATACATGAAAAATCATTCCAACTCATTATTAAGCATAAAAAATTAAACTAAAAATGAGGTATTACTACATATCTACCAGAATAGCCCACGTGAAAAAGCCTGATGATCCTTGTTATAGATATAGATCCATTAGAACCCAATGAGAGTTTAAATCTGTACAGTTACTTTGGAAAACTCTGATATTATCCTATATATTTGATTGAGCACATATCCTCAGACCTAACAATTCCATTTAAAGTATATACCCAACAGTGATGTGTGGAAGAGTTTAGCTTCAAACTGAATATAACTCAAAATTTCATTAATAGTATATGTATGAATTTTCTAATATTCAAATTACATATCACATAGAATAGATATAAATGCAGTACAACTTCATGCATGGATGAATTTTATAAACACAATAGTGAACAAAAGAAGCCAGATGCAAATGACTGCATAATATATAATTCATTTCCTTAAAGTTCAGAACAGAGGAGGAGGAAGGCGTTGTGTTTAGGAGAAGAATAAGAAGGTGACAGACTTCTGTGGTATTGGTCAAATTCTGTTTCATGATCTGGGTTTTGGTTATACAGATACATTAACCTTTTTATTATTTTTCAAACTGCACACTTATTATGACTTGTGAATCCTTCTTTATACGTGTTACACTTACATTGAAATGCCTGAAAAAATTCCTAAAGTGACAGACATTATAGGGTACCATGTATTTAGCCAAATGACTAAATTTGTGTCTAAAATTTATATCTTGGAGCATTAAACCTCAATGAAACTATATTTGGAGACAGAGATTTTAAAGAGGAAATGAAGGTTAAATGAGGTTACAACTGTGAAGCCCCTAATTTAATCTGACTAGTGTCCTTATAAGAAAATGAGGACACACTAGAGATACTCATGCATAGAGGAAAGGCCACATGAAGACACAGTGAGAAGGTGGCTCTCAGCAAGCCAAGGAGAAAGGCTCAGGAAAACTTCACTTGCCAGCACCTTGATTTTGGACTTCCAGGTTTCAGGACCATGAGGAAATAGGTTTCTGTTGCTTAATCCACCCATTCTGTGATATTTTGTTATAGCAGTGCTAGCAGACTAATATAATGACCAAAGGAAAAAAGTATTAGTATGACATAATGAGCATGTATATTCCTATTACAGTATATATATTATGGTATATTTATTACACACACACACACACACACACACACACACATATATATATAATAAACTGAAATATACAACATAGTCTAAGGATATTTTTCCAAGAGAAGAAAATATATTTAAAATATTTTAGTAATAATATATATTGGCAATAATAAAATAAACACAATAAAAACAACTTGAAAAAAGCACTTGACTGTGTCATGCACTGTTCCAAGCTGTTAACACACATCACTTGGCTGAATTACGTAAGATCCCTGTATAGTACATACTATTGTCATCCCTATTTTATGGGCTAAAAATGCCAAGATTCAGAGGAATTAACGAACTTGCCCAAGTCCCCATATCTATTGAATGGTGAGGCAGGGATTCAGCCTCAGCAGCCCAATTCCAAAGTCCCTGCCGTTGAGCACTTGTGTTTTGCTGCATGTATAAGTATAAACAATGAAATGCCATTTTTCACCAGCTATATAGATTGATCAAAAGATACAAAGCCTCAGTTATGCAGGAGGAGTAAGTTTTAGTGATCTGTTGCACTGCATGGTGACCACAGTTTATAAATAGTATATATGCTACAAAATGCTAAAAATAGGTTTTTAATGCTCTCATCACACACAGAAAAAAATGATGGTGAGGTGATGAATATTAGCTTAACTGAATATTTCTACATTTATATATAGATCAAGACATCACATTGTATTCCATAAATATACACAATTATTGTCAATTTAAAATAAATTGATTAATTTTGAAAACACATAATGTTCAATGTAATGCCTTTTTGGGCAATAATATTAATTGCTAGGAGATTTTTAAGGACTATGACATAACAGTTTATATCAAGTCATTATTATTATTTTATTATTATTATTTCTTAAGACAGAGTCTCACTCTGTTGCCCAGGCTGCAGTGCAGTGGCACAATCACAGCTCACTGCCATCTCAATTTCTTGGGCTCAAGCGATCCTCCCCACCTCAGCCTGCCAAGTAGCTGGGACCACAGGTGCAAGCCACCATGCCTGGTTAATTTTTTTCTATGTTTTGTACAGATGGGGTCTCACTATGTTGCCTAGGCTGTACTTGAATTTCCAGGCTCAAGCAAGATCCTCCTGCGTCAGCCTCCCAAAGTGCTGGGATTATAGGTGTGAGCCACCATGCCTGGACATTAAGTCCTTTTTAAATCACACAGACAAAGATAATTACCACAGTGTTATTAATAACAAAAATGTGATATAAATATTCATCAAATGATAATTGGTAAGTTAAATTATTATATATCCATTAAAACAAATGCCTTGCATCTACTAAGTATGATGTGACTGATTTATATTTATTGACAAGAAAGCATATCCACGGCTGATTGTTCCAAGCAGTATTTTGTTCATTGTATTTTTTTCTACAGTAGGTATTGTATCTTTTTAATTCTTTTTTATGACATCACTAAAGAGATGGTTAAAAAGTACAAAAATTGGGTTTGCCTCAGAGGATAATGAATTCTCCATTCATTCATTTAAGAAATATTTACTGAATCCCACGACATTGCAAACCTTCTGGGTTTTGAGGCCACAACACAGAAAAAAAAATCCCCTCATTGAAACTTTCATTACCAGAGATATTCAAATAGCATCTGAATGACAACTTGGAATAGGTGGTTCTTTATGTGGAATAATTTTATTTTTGGTAATTAACCAAAAAGATTTTGAGATGTCTTCTATCCCAAGGAGTTTCTGAATTTATATTTTAAGGAAAGACATAATTTCAAGCTTTAAATGATCTTTTCCTGCTCTTTGAACTTCCTAGGGCAATTTATTTGTCAGGAAAAGACATTGAGCTATGGTTTTACTACAGAGTTTCAGCTTTAAAATGTGTTTCTAAGATGATCCAAGCTTCATAACGAATTTAATCACTAAAATGATAGATATGTAACTGTGAGTATATAAATACATATGTGCATAGGATATTCATATTTTCCCAAATGAGCCACAAGGTGGAAATTGCTAGGTAATAAGAGAAATAAGTCCTGGAACTTGTTATAGATAATTTTGCAATTACTCATCTTCTAGAAAAGCTAAGTAAATCTTAGTTTAGAATTATTATAAATAATAGTGTAGTTGGAATGTCAGGAAGTTAATCACTGTTCACAAGGTTCTTTGGCATTAATTTATCACTTTAACCTTAGTTCCTATTTCTTTTCTTTTTTTTCCTTTTTAAAGCTTTGATTTGTTAATTGAGGAATAAGTCTGACTTTCTCTTAATAGGTTAAACAATAATGGTGATAATCTTCTGAGTTCCTTAAAGTATTTTAATATTGCTTTTAAGAGATGCATTTCAATTAAAATATTGAAACCCTCAATATAGCAATCTTATAATGGTCATTATTCAGTGTTGCTTTGGCTAAGATATAAATATAAAGATGGATTTTTTTCCTACCTCATTTTTACTTATTCACTCATCTGTTCAAAAACATTTCGTGAGTGCTTACACATGCCAAGTATTTCTCTGGGCATACAGACATAAAAAAAGCAAATGGTTGCATCATGGAGCTTTTGTTCTAATGGGGGAAACACCTAGTGAAAAAATAGAATTATTTTTGATATCTTTAGAAATAAACTACATATAACTTCTGTTGCTTTATTAGCTAGTATGATGTGTGCACATTAAATTCATTATTTCACAATTTCTCACAAACTTTGAGATAGCTATTACAGGGATAAGGCAATATTCAGATGTTGGCTATGAGGGGTTAACTGATCCACAGTGTAAGGGCAAAACTGGTACTAAATCCTGGTTTGTTACACACCAAATCTCATACACCTTTCCACTATGCCTTTTGTTATAAAAATTAACTGAATAGGTTTATCTGAAATGTTCTTTTAAAACATGCTATTGTTTGACATGTGTGTAATAAAAAAGAAAAACTACCACTCTTTCTTTTTTTTTTTTTTTAGATGGAGTCTCACTCTGTTGCCAGGCTGGAGTGCAGTGGCACGATCTTGGCTCACTGCAACCTCCAACTCCCTGGTTCAAGAGATTCTTCTGCCTCAATCTCCCGAGTAGCTGGGATTACAGGCACGTGCCACCAAACCCAGCTATGTTTTGTATTTTTAGTAGAGACGAGGTTTCACCATGTTGGCCAGGATGGTCTCCATCTCCTGACCTCATGATCCACCTGCCTCGGCCTCCCAAAGTGCTGGGATTACAGGCGTGACACTCTTTTTTTTTAATTATTATTAAAAACATATATTTATTTTAGAAAGACACAGAGGTTAAAATTTAAAATAAAACTTACATGCAATTCCATATCCCAGAGTTAGTTACTAATAATAGTTTGGTATACATCCTTCTAGTTACATAGTTATATTAATATATTATATAATTATTAGATGTTAATAAAGTTTTATAACCTGATTTTTTTTTACTTACAAATATAGACTGTTTTCATTTTAATAAATATATGCTCATTCTATCATTTTTGGTAGCAGCATATTATTTCATTTCATTAGAGTCTGTTATTTTCCTATGAAAATACCAAAACATTTACCTAAAATCAATAGCTATTTACTTATTTAGGAAAACTATCCTTGAAGTAGAATTTATCAATTAGATGATATGAATCTTTTTTATATTATTGAACAAATTGTGGTTCTGAAAGTCTGCACCTATTTACATACTTATCTGTAGAGTATAAAACTGCCTGCTATAGTTCAGTAATTATAGTTTTTTTTCATTTTGATGTAACTGCAATGGTATCTAATTATTAAAATCTTGCATTTATTTATTTCACTCAGCAAATGGCAATTTTGGGCGTCCTTCACTCTAGGTACTGCTGGGTGCTGAATATACACTGGCAAACAGGACCAGCTGCATCTCTACTCTCACAAAGTTTCAGTGCTAGTGGAAATAAACCAAGATATCACAGTTACTATTGCAATGAGATCAGGGTTCAGAGAGGGTAGTACAATGAGCTATGGGAATGCAGAATGAGGCCACCTAATTCAGTTATGGGTTGAGGGTATCAGGGAATGATTCTCATAGAAAGTGGAGATAAAAAGGTTAAATAGAAGTCACTCACACAAAGTCAATTTGGGAATGTTGGCTGTAGGCTTTACCAGGAGGAGGGAAATGCATGCATGAAATGCCTGGTAAATGAACGAAAGAAGTTGGTCTGATTGGGTCCCAGAACTCTTCTCATAGCATAGAGTCCTACATAATGTGTCACAGATCTCTTATCATAGCACATTTAGTGTTACATAAATGGATTATAGAGTTCTCACCATAGCATATACAATGCTACATAAGGGGTCATGAGCTCTGACCATCGCATATAAAGTGCTACACTATGGACCTTCTGAGATTGAATTTTGCACTGCTCTCTTCCTTCCTCACTGCACTGGCCTTCTTGACCAGGCTGTGTGACCTCCTGCATTAAGACCTTTGTCTTTGCTCCTCCCTGGACATAGGATCTTTTTCTCCTAGTTTTTCTCCATTCATGACTTTGTGCAAATTTTACTTTATCTTTAGTATTCCTAAATGACTCAATCCGCTGCTGTGCTCTATCCACATATCTGGATTTATTTCACATTGCATATTTATTTGCTTATTTATATTTGATTATCTCCCTCCTACCCAATCCAGAATTCATCTTATCAGAGATTCTGTCTTTGTTTTTATTTCTGTTTTCCCAGGGCAAAGGGCAGTGCTGGGCACATAGCAGAACCCCATTACATTTTTGTTGAATGAATGATTAGAGCACAAAGAGTAGGATTGCAGAATGGCTATAAACTTAAAAATAATAGAGGAGGCCAGTAAAAAACTCTTTAAATAAAAACAGGATAAAATTCTAGTTTGAACAGCAGTGAAGTGAAGGAAGGTTATGGAGAAAAATAACTCATTGTAAAGAATTGGTGACAGAAAGATGTGGTGGGAACGTCAAAGCACAAAGTCATGGGTGAGGGCAGGATTTCTAACCCATTGATAGGAACATTAAGAAATGATGTAATTATAAGGGAAAATTATTTAATATTTGAAATAATTTCAGACATACATTAGTTACACAGAACTTTCACACAAATTCTCCAAATGTTGACATTCACTACATTTGCTTTTTTCTCCTCTCTCTTTCTACACACACACACACACACACACACACACATAAATCCCTCTTATTTTCTAAGTATTCGAGATTCAGTTTTTTTTTGTTTTTTGTTTTTTGTTTTGAGATGGAGTCTTGCTCTGTTGCCCAGGCTGGAGTGCAGTGGCGTGATCTCGGCTCACTGCAAGCTGTGCCTTCTGGGTTCACGCCATTCTCCTGCCTCAGCCTCCCGAGTAGCTGGGACTACAGGCGCCTGCCACCACGCGTGGCTAATTTTTTGTATTTTTAGTAGAGACGGGGTTTCACCGTGTTAGCCAGAAGGGTCTCGATCTCCTGACCTTGTGATCTGCCCGCCTCGGCCTCCCAAAGTGCTAGGATTACAGGCGTGAGCCACCACGCCGGGCCTGAGATTCAGTTTTCTACATGATACCCATGACTTCAAATATTCCAATGTCAAGACGAAGAATACACTGTAATACAGCCATATTTGATGTATCAAATTTGTAAAGTAACATTGATACTATTTGATTATATAGTCCACAATCCTTATCCATATTTCCCAATTGTCCAGACAATAACCGTTATCACCACCATCACAGCAAAACCTAGTACAGGAACTAATACTGAATTATACATTGCATTTATTTTGCACATTTTTAAGTCTCCTTTTGTTTGGAATAGTTGCTTTCCTTTGCCTTTCATAATGTTGAATTTTTTGTAGATACCAAGCCAGCTAGTTTGTAGAGTGTCTGATGTTACTTCAGGATTAGACTGAGGTTTTAAATTTTGGGCAGAAATAAGAACGATAAAATAAAAAGATAAAAAAGATATTAGTTTGAACATACTATTGGTGAAGTTAACAGTGGCAGTTTTATCTACTGTGAAATTTCTATGTTTATCTTTATATCATTAACAAGTATTTCAGAAGGTAAGTTATCAATGAAATAAACAAAAAAGAAAAAGAGTGTGGGCAACTGCATTAGAGTTCTCCAGAGAAACAGAATCTATCTATCTATCTATCTATCTATCTATCTATCTATCTATCTATCTATCTACATATCTATCTATCTATCATCTTCTATCCATCCACAAATATATGTATATATAATTTTATAACAAGGAATTGACTCACACAATAACGGCACCGAGAAGTCCCAAGATCTGCACTTGGGCACTTGGCAAGCTAGAGACCCAGGAGTGCTGAGTATGTGGTTTCAGTCTGAGTTCAAAGGTCTGAGAACAAGGAGAACCAACAGTGTAAGTTCCAGTCCAAAGGCCAGACAAAATAAGTATTCCGACTCAATTTAGTCAGACAGGAGGAGTCTCCTCTTACCTGACAGAAGGTCAAGTTTTTAATTCTAAATAGGCCTTCAATGGATTTTGTGAGGGCCACCACATTAGGGAAGGCAATCTGCTTTATCAGTCTACCCATTAATTTCATACAGAAACACCCTCACAGACACATCCAGAGTAGTGATTGACCAAATCTGGGCACCCTGTGACCCAGTCAAGCTGAAACGCAAAATTAATTAACCATTGCAGTAAATAGTGTTAGTTTATTACCTGAGTTTAAAAAGATGAGAGATCAAGACTATCCTTTGCTTTTATCAAAAAGATGTTGTGGATTGTGGCACTGTGAGCACAGAAGCTAGATTCCAAGGATTGAGGGGAGACCAAGAAAATGAAGACAGTAGGTGTTTACAAACCAATAAAATTTTTGTTTTTGTTAGTTTTGTTTTTGAGACAGGATCTTGCTCTGTCACCCAGGCTGGAGTGCAGTGGCGCAATCTTGGCTCACTGCAACCTCCGCCTCCCAGGCTCAAGCCATTCTCCTGCCTCAGCCTCCCGTGTAGTTAGGAATGAAGGTACATGCCACCACGTCATGCTAAGTTTTGTGTTTGTTTGTGAAGACAGGGTTTTTCTATGTTGCCCAGGCTGGTCTCGAACTCCTGAGCTGAAGTGATCTGCCTGCCTCAGCCTCCCAAAGTGCTGGGATTCCAGGCCTGAGCCACCATGCCCAGCTCCCAAGAAAGTTTGTAGTGAGAGATAGAAGAGAAACAAGCCATTGCCAGAGGAGAGGATGAGATGTGGGATCAAGAGAATATGAGGTTTTTTTATGTTTATCTATTGTTGTTTTTTTCTTCAATGGAAGAAGGTTTATACATGCCTAAATACTGACAGCTGTGGCACGTAAAAATGAAAAGAGGTTGAATATTTCAGATAAATAGTATAATAGATGTAATGAAGATTCTGACAAATGTAAAAGGGGATGTGATTCACATCAATGGGGGAGGAATTTGCGTTACGCAGAAGAGTAAACACACATTTTACATTACCAGGATTGAAAGAGTAAATGTAATACACAAGCAGATTCATTGGTCTACTTGGCTCTAGGAAACAGAAAATTTCTTTTCAGTGGCTCTGGCTTTGTGAACTGAGATTTAAGATCATATTCCAAAAAAAAAAAAAAAAATTCCCTGTAGCTGTCTAGGATTGCAACTAGCACAGCTAGAAACAAATAAAATGCCATATGTAAATAATTATGTACAAGAATATGTTTTTTTTAATTTTTTTTATTTTTTGGAGACACAGTCCCACTCTGTCGCCCAGGCTGGAGTGCAGTGGCACCATCTCAGCCAATTGCAATCTCTACCTCCTGGGTTCGAGCGATTCTCCTGCCTCAATCTCCTGAGTAGCTGGGACTACAGGCATGTGCCACCAAGCCTGGCTAATTTTTGTATTTTTTAATGGAGGCAGGGTTTTGCCATGTTGGCAAGGCTGGTCTCAAACTCCTGACCTCAGGTGATCCACCTGCCTTGGCCTCCCAAAGTGCTGAGACTACAGGTATGAGCCACCGCGCCTGGCAGATTATGTGCAAGAATGTTTAATCAACATTGTTATGATAACAGAAATTCTGGGATCATCGTCAATGCTCATATTTTAAAAAGTTTAAGTGAACTATATTACAGTTATCTCAAGAAATATAAAACTACTATCATTAAGAGTGAAGGTGATTTGGAGAGACTTCTATGATGCAGTGCTGAGAAAAGAAAACTATATAGGCCAATATAATATGATCTTCATTTTTTAACTGGCAAACAATGACAAAGAACTACATAGTCACAGGCATTTTGTGTGTGTGTGTGTGTGTGTGTGTGTGTGTGTGTGCATGCTATAGGTACTATGACACTGGAGAAAAACGATGTAGAGGAAATGAATACACATGAGATTGTTACCAGTGGTCACTTTGTCGATAGCAGTTAAAGGGGAAAAGCAGAGTCATGAAAGAATGGGAGATAAAGGGTAATTATAAAAACTAAAAGTGCTTTAAGGGAAAAATATATGATAAAGACCAATCTATGCAAAATTATTCACATTTATACATATGCTTATAAGAACATCACAAATGTTCGAACTGTGATTATTGCTGGGAGCAGTGGCTCATGCCTGTAATCCCAGCACTTTGGGAGGCCAAGGTGGGCGGATCATGAGGTCAAGAGATGGAGACCATCCTGGCCAACATGATGAAACCCTGTCTCTACTAAAAATACAAAATTAGCTGGGCATGGTGGCACATGCCTGTAGTCCCAGCTACTCGGGTGGCAGAGATTGCAGTGAGCCGAAATCCTACCACTGCACTCCAGCCTGGTGACAGAGCGAGACTCCATCTAAAAAAAAAGAAAAGAAAAGAAAAGAAAAGAAAAATGGTGATTATTACTGGGTGCTGCGAGTATTTGTTAACTTTTTCTTTGTAACATATACTCAATGTTTTATTTTGTATTAGAAACTTTTTTTATATAATGAGAAAAATAATGTATGAACCAATTTCATTGTGGAAATGCGAGTAAATGATTTTTTCCAGTATACGAAAGCCATTTATTGTTATTACATTTCCCAGACTCCTAGGACTTACAGTAGTATTTAGTTAATTGATGGGTTTTCCACTTTTTGAGACAATTATGCAGCCTGCAAAAATGATAATTTTATTTGTTATTTTCTTCTTTGTTTCTGTTTCTCTCCTGTAACAGAACACACAGCACCACTACTATGTGATATGAGGACAGCAGCAATGCTTAGCTTGACCAACCTTAATAATCATGCTTTAGGAGCACATATGTAAAATGCTTGGCTGTTTGAGGTAAATTTATTTACCATGTTAAGGAAGTAGTTATCATTCTTAGTGCAGGAAGAGTTGACCACAATTATTGTTGTGTTTTACCCATTATCAGATTTTTTTTGCTTTAGTTTACTAACAGATGAAATATACTAATAGGATTTCAAATATGAAATAATTGCAAGATTTATAGGATAAGATACATTATTTTGAATAATATTTTTAATGTACTGCTGAGTTGCTCTTATTTACATTTGTTTTAGGGTTTATGTGTGAGATTGGTTCATTTTCAGCATAATAATAATATCAATGCTTGTGATTTACTCTATACAAAGGAAAGCAAAGAGATTGCATAATACTTCTCTGAATTGCCTGATCTCTTAACTAAAATGGATGTACTGTTTCATCGTTTTGGTCATATGAATGCATGGCTCTGGAGCTGCTAGTAACCTTTGACATTGTTGATTTTTCCTTGACATTTCATTATGTGATACAGATTAATGCTACTGTTTTTATGTTCAAAAGACATTATTTGTTACAACAGTAAAGTGAAAGTTATTTTCTGTAAAAAAAAATTTCTAAGTCATTTAAGTGTTTCCAACTTCGCACAGAATTTAAAAGAATGAAAATTTCCTGAGATTCACATAATTGAAATGTATAAGCCACAGGGTGAATAAATAAATCAATGGCCAAATAGCCCTAGTAAAGAGCAAACAGAACTATTGAGGCAAAAACACAAAGTTCAGAAAGAGCATGCTTATGATTCCTTTCTCTGTTTACTCAAAAGGTTTATTTTTGAAAGTTTACCATATGTAATTCTCAGATATCAGTATAAGCTAAAAGTGCAAGTATAAAATTTCTAGGGTTCTCTACAGAAAATAAAAAAAAACATGATTTAAAATAATTAGACCAGGCATGGTGACTCACACATATAATGCCAACACTTTGGGAGGCTGAGGTAAGGGGAGTGCTTGAGCCTGGGAGGTTGAGACTGCAGTGAACTGTAGTCTTGCCATTGTACTTCAGCCTAGGTGATAGAGCAAAACCCTGTCTCCAAAAAAAAAAAGTAAATAAATAATAAAAATAAACAATGGCAACAACAACAAAAATTCAAAAAGCCAACCAAACAAAAAACCCAAAAACCTAAAATAATTTCTAAGAATATAATATTTACTAATATAGTATACAGAAAATTGCACCATAATCTTCATTAAGAATGTGAAATTCTATGCTTTTTTTTTTCAGGTTGAATATCAGCATTGACATAGACTGTGATTGGGACAGTAAACTTTAAAAGGTGGATGTGATCTATTGAATCTGTGCCACCTAAAGTGTCAGTCTCTACTAATTTGTAATGAAGTTTTCAAAAAAAATTGATTTTCTAGTAGGCATTTGCATATACAGTCAGATCTTTCTATGCAAAGCATTCAGATATGTTAAGCAGACACATAGAGTTAAAAATTTAAAAAAAAAGTATTTTTCTGTTGAAATTGCTATTTAGATAGTTTGAAATTTAAATACATGGCTGGGCACAGTGGCTCATGCCTGTTACCTCAGGACTTTGGGAGGCTGAGGCGAGTGGATCACTTGAGGTCAGGAGTTCAAGACCAGCCTGGCCAACATGAAGAAACCCCCTCTCTACTAAAAATACAAAACAAATTAGCCAGGCATGGTGGTGAAAGCCTGTAATCCTAGCTACTTGGGAGGCCAAGGTGGGAGGATTACTTGAATTGGGAAGGCAGAGGTTTCAGTGAGCCGAGATCACGCCACTGCACACTCCAGCCTGGGTGACAGAGCGAGACTCCGCCTCAAAAAAAAAAAAGAAAAAGAAAATTTAAATGCATTTAAATTATGCTCCATTAGTTTTTTTCTAATGCCTAAATGGGAATGGTATAGAGGTCTCCAACAGAAGTCATCACCTTTTTTTATTTTTTCATTTATTCCCATCAGTTGAAACACTAATGTGCCTATGACTCCCAAATATTTATCTCTAATTCTGACTTTTTCCCTGCTTGCTAGACTCACATAACTTGAATGTCTCATAACTGTATCAAATTTAAGAATTACAAAATACAACTTCACCCCATGAATTATTCTAAAATTGTGTATCTCCCAAAAAGTAGCACCAAAAACTTGTATATCAATTTTTATCTCTTGGTCTTCTTCACTTTCTTATGTATTTGACATATCATAAGGTTATTTTAATTCTACTTTCTAAATAATTTCTCAAATATGTTCACATTTCTCCATCTGCACAACCATTACATTAATCCAAATTACTATCCACTCTTACTTGGACGAATAAAATATCACCCTTACTGGCATTTAAGATTTTGATCTGAACTACCTATGGCCTAGTCCACAAACAAAATTTAGAGCAATCTTTTAAAATCATCTACAAAATAGCAAAACTAAGTTGTATCATGTTTCTCTCTGCCTTAAAACTCTTATCCCAATTATCCCAAATAATATCCCAGTTATTGAGATTTGATTATCCCACATTGTATACTTGTATTAAAATATCACATGTACCCCATAAATAATCTATAATAATGTATACATAAAAATTTAAAAATATATAGTTAACATCCTAATACACTTTGAATTCCAAACATAGTTTAATCCTACATTGTTCTGCAAGATGTAGCCTCTGTTTTTCCACCTTCTTTTTATTTCTTAAACTAACTTTCCTGGTGACTGAACTCCATTCACCCTACATTGACCTTTGCATTGTGTCCTAGCCCAGTTCTTTCCCTCAAGGACTTAACTCAGTCACCCCTCTGAATCTTCTGCTAGCTACTCCTTCCCATCCTTCAAGTGCAGCTTAAACCTCATCTCAAAGAAGTCACCCAGGAGCGCGCTCTCAAAAGCATAGTCACACCCTGTTATGCTCTGTCTTCTCTATTACTACAATCACATTTGTTCTTTTCATTTTACTTACCACAATTAGTAATTAGAACTTTATATATTTACTTATGTATCTGTCCTGTATGCTGTTCAGCCTGGGCGACGGAGCGAGACTCTGTCTCAAAAAAAAAAAAAAAAAAAAAAAAAAAAAATACAAGCTGGACCAAGAAGATGAAAGTATTAGTTTTCAAAATGTAGGATAGATTTATCTTTACATATGTAATCTTTAGTCAGTAATTTTATGAGTGAATGGCTTAAAAATTGTAAGTACAATTGCAAAAAAATGGTATGTAATAATTATTAATACATAAGTAGTTCTCTCAGGAAAAAAATGTTAGGTAATAATTATTAATACATAAGTAGTTCTCTCAGGAAAAAACGACCTTATGAGTGTACAGTTTCTGGACTCTCCATTCTGCTGAATTAAAAAATTTATTCATTCTTACATCTCAATGTTTTAATTATAGTAGCTTTATATTAAGTCTTGATACCTGGTAGTGTATGTTTTCCAGCTTTGTTCTTCTTCAAGATTTTCTTAACTACTCTTGGCTCTTTTCATTTACACACACATTTTAAAATAACCTTGTTAATTTCCAGAAAAATTCTGCTGGAAATGTCTATTAAGTTTTTCATGAAGTCATGGATCGCTCTGGGGAGAATTGACATATTGCTATTGTATTGGTAAAGATTCTCAGAGACACAGAGCTGATTGGCTATATAGAGAGATAGCTGTCTGTCTGTCTGTCCTGGGGGAGAAAGAGGGGAAGAAAGAGAAGGATTTTAAGGAATTGACTTACATGATAGTAGAGTCTGGTAAGTCAAAAATCTGAAAGGAAGGCTGGCAGACTGGAGACCCAGGGAAAAGTTGATTGCTGCAGCTTGATTCTCAGGACAATCTGCTGATAAAATCCATTTTTCTCTAGACAGACAGTTTTTTCTCTCTTAAGACCTTCAACTGGTTGAATGAGGCTCACTTACATTATAGAGGGTAATGTACTTTACTCAAAGTCTACTGATTTAAATGTCAATCTCACCTACAAAAATACCTTCTTAGCAACATGGAAACCAGTCTTTGGCCAAATATGGATGTACCATGGCCTGATCAAGTTAACACATAAAAGTAATTATCCTAAGTCCATCCATTGTCAACTTGGCACATCTCCTTAAACCATACACATCTCCTAAACCATACTTGATCTCTAAATAGAGACAATAACAAGATCATAGTTCCATCTAACATGCTACAACTATCCTGCATATAACTGAAAACGCATTAACCCTTTCTCTAGAAGTGGATGCAAAGTCCATGAATGACATTCACTTCTCTGTAATATCCTGTAACTATGTTACTATGATGTGACATTAACAATACTTAAATAATATGGTAAGGGGATGAAAGAGGGAAGAAAGCAAAGAATTTTACTTAATACACACACATATATACATACAAAACAAATATACTCATAAAAAAATGAGGAAGAAACACCCATAACAATGACAGTCCTTGTTTTTGTAACTGGTCATGTGATTGTTACTGATATTTATAATTACTTTCTTCTGGTAACCATTTTGTATTCTCTTTGTTCTCAGGAAGCATTCAGCTGGTTGTGATTCTTTACATGTATTTTTTAGTTATCTTTTCATTATCAATTTGTAACATAGTTCTTCTCTAGCCAGAGAAAACATTGAATTATTTTTTATCATATGAAATTTGTTGAGTCTCGCTTTATGGTCTAACAAATATTTGGTTTTAGAAAACATTCCATAGGTACTTGAAAAGAATGTGCTCTGTCATTATTGGGCATGGTATTTTTACATAACTCTATTAGATAAAGTTTGTTAATTATATTGTCCAGATCTTCCGTATACTTATTTTTGTCTGTTCTATTAGTAATCAAAGAGGTATTATAGAATAGAGATCTCTCATTTTGATTAGAAGTTTGTGCATTTTTCCTTTCTATATTTTCACGTTTCATCATTCTGCTAGTTTTTGGTTTGTATGCATTGAAACTATATTATTAAGTATATAGGAATTTAAAATTATTAGTACTTTAGGTAAGAATGTTCCTCTTTATCTGTTATCAGAAAGAATTTTCTTCATAAAGTCTACTTTATCTTGTATACTGTAGCTACATTAGAAATTTTGCTTTTATTAGTTTTGTATGGCATATTTTTCCATTCTCTTATTTTCAGTCTTTATGTGTCCTTACATTTAAAGTAATTTTTCCTCTAAGCAGCATATAGTTAGGTTTAATTTATCCAACATTAGTTGAATCATTTTTTTGTATTAGCATTCTATGTAATCACTGATGTATTTGGGTTTGCAACTACATTTTACTACTTTTTTTATTTGACTAAAATGTTTTTATTTCTCTTTTCTCTTACTATTTTGTTTTTTCTTGATTAATGAAGTTTTTATTATTCTGCTTTTCTCTTGAAATTGGTTGTCAGCTATATATTTATTTTACTACTTTTTGATTGACTATTACCCTACAGATATTAAGACACTGTAACATTAAATCTTAAAACACTCAACTTCCTGTCTTTTCTGTGCTCACCCTATTAATTCATCATGTCTATCTGTTGAACTATCGGAATTTCTGAGTTAGCACAAATTTTCTGTCAATATTTAGAATGAATAAGCTTCTATGAAGTGATTACAGTTTATCCTTATACATTCAATATCATATTTGAGTATCTTTTCACTGCTAAAAATGCAATAAATTCAAATTGATATGTAAGAAGTGTTTTAAAATGATGTTTATATAACAAATTCTAACTTTCTCATTGTTAATAATAGTTTAATATTAATTACCTTTATTATATAGAGTAAAAAATAAAATAGAACACTGAACTACTCAGAAGTCATTACATGCTTATGAAATAATGTGTGAGTGCTATCATATGATTAATCCCATACACATAAAATTTTCATGCTTAAGTGAATTTTCCCATCTTGAATAAATAATTTCCTGCAATAAAACAATAAAAACATCTAATTTTAACGTGGTTAACTTTTTCAATTTGCTCGATTTCAATCAAAATCCAATTGATTTTATTTGTTTCCACATAAGTACCCATGTTTATTAATTTTCTAGTGACCCTGGTTAACAAATTTACCAAGCTTATTCCAATCCAATCTATTATCAGCAAAGCACAAGAGTGATCTTTTCGATGAAGTAAGTCATGTCCCTTCATTTGCCTGCTTTAAGCACTTCAAACATTTCCAACTGACTTTAATGTATCATGCTTTGGGTACAAAGTTATTCACCACATATTCAGAAACTTTTCACATGCTGTTTTCCCATTCTTTTCCTAGGCAGCTCTTCTCTTCCTTCTAGACTCTGCTATATTATCTTTCTCCTGCCTAACAAATGTAGTTATTTTCTATTCTGTCACTCTCTATTCCACAATCCTAAATTGTTATTCATGGCATTTTACAAAATTTACAAATGTACTGATTTCTAGTTTGCATATTTGATGTCTATCATGCACAATATTATGAATGCAGGTATTGAATTGTTTTGTTCATATATATATGTATGTATGTATGTATACAACCTAGCATAGCCCCAGACACATAGATATATGCAAATTATTTTTGAGCTCTTTGGAAAAGTGAAGGCTGGAGATTATACTTTTAGAGCCATCACTACAATACCTAAAATATTGAGATCAGATGAGTTAGTTTAAAAGATAATATACCATGAAGTAAATACAGAGAGCTGAGACTCACTGTGACTTTATTCTTTGATTAAGGTAGGTAAGAGTTAATAAGGTTAAAATTGCATGTATATATACTCAAAAATAGTTCATTCTATTTTATCCTCATAAGGGAATATATAGAAACTGTTATTTGGAAAAACTGAAACATCTACAAAGAATTTGTTGACCATTCATCTTTCAAATGATTGCTTAATTAACTAATGGCCATTATTTTTATTACAATATTTATTTAGTATACCACCTGATGCAATAATGCAGTATTTGCTAACTATGTGAGTTAGGATAAAGTTCAGTTACTAAGGAATCAATTAAGAGACCTTAATAATATAGCACTTTTCTGTGCTATAGCACTAAAGACATTAGTCACCCTTTTTTTACCTTTCTGCTTCACTATCCTCAAGGTCATCTGTGATTTAGGTTGGATACCAGAACTCCAGGGTTTCTAAAAGAAAAAGGGCACAAAAGAAAGTACAAATACCCATGTTCCAGGTAAAGTTTTAAGGAGCTTTACTTGAATCCCTACCCAATAACATTTTACATCTCATTGTTGACTCCTGACTACAACGAATACTGAAAAATGTAATTCTTTAGCTAGGAGTTTGCCACATAAATAAATAAATAAAACAGAAACTCAGGCTCCAGTAAAAACTAAGATGGGTAGAAGGGTAAACCAGATATAGGACAGAAAAATAACAGTATCATGTGTGTAAGACGTAACGATTTTGAAAGATGTCACTTTAGAAGTACTTACATATAAAACTCCATACCTCTGGCAAAATAGAAATATTTTCTCAGATGGTGAGAGCTAAAAATATGCTGCTTATTAAAAGAAATCCAGTAAGTATTTTATTTTAAGATTTTGTTACCATTAATTTAGTATTATTTTCAAGTTAGATGTGAATCATAATTGCATTTATAATCTTATATTTGTTGATTATTATATATTTAAAACTTTTTTCCCTATCTTATTAAATTTATTTTACTCTTACTTTGACCTAATGGGATTCTGTTTAATGGTGCTGTGGAAGAAATTTACACTTCAAATAATTTCATCATTTCGCAATTTTTAAGAATCCAACAGTTGAAGCTGTTTTAGAAGATCACTATAATAGGCTCAGGAAAGTGCGTGCATAGAGTAGTGTATTTGGCATACTGGGTACCAAGTAGTACATTTATTTAACTTCTCAGCACTTCATTGGCATTTTGGTGAAAAGAGGTGATGGAGGCTATTTAACCTCAAATATTTCATTGGCATAAGAAACTGGATCATCTGCCAGAATCATTAGCAATTTATAAGCTGAGTTCAGCAGCAAATGGTCATAAATTCAATCACATGTAACCTTTCCAGTAAATGACACCAGTCAATTGAAATTTATTATGGGGGAAATCACAGACTTTGACATTCACACTAAATACCTAGAGCATTAAGATTCCACTTGCCAGAACCCTAGATATCACTTTGTAGATTATGTTCAGAATTTTAAAATGCAGAAATGATGAATAAGAACTAAGCAGTTCCTCTGAGTGTTATCAAGAAATATGAGAGGTTCAATATTTGATAATACTTCATTTTCTTCAATAGGACAAACTTATACTGTGGGACCTAGAATGATAACTCTGATTACTGAACAGTAAGTGTCATAAAACACTGGTGAGTACATTTTGGTATAGTGTAGAGTCTGGTGAGGGAGCTTGCTTGGCAAGTTTCCACTAGGTACTCATGATGAATAACCTGAAAAAGCAATCAAATTTCATTTTCTGCATCTTTAGTGGTAATGTGAGGTTATACTTAAAGAGAGTAGAGTGTAATTGATTTTAGAAACTTGATTAAATTATCAATAGCCTGGTATAAATATAGCCTGAATGATTTTAAATTAAGAATACGTTTGTTTTATAGTCTTGGGAATGTTGGAAAAGTGAAGAAGGAGAATAACCGGAGGATTACATCTATAAGATATTAACAACATTCAATATCAGTTATTGACGCACACACTAATATGATCATTTTGATTTGTTAAATTCAATATACTGCCAAACTGCTTCATCAAGTTTAACTTTTCCAGTAAATGACAGAAGCTAATCATTATTTACTAAGTGAGAACAAAGTGCCTTGACAATCACGATTAAGTGTGTTTTCCAAACTTGAGATTTCGCTTAGTAGACAAGGCAATCAGTATTTGTGACACAGAGTTAGTGAGTAAACACTAACAGAATTTTAGGATGACTTTCACATGCATCATATGGCAAAAATTTAAAGTTGTTTTGGAAGTCAATCCTGCATCATTACACAACATCAGACATTCCACTGAAATAGCACAATTAAAAAATTGTATCTAACGGGCGCGATGGCTCACGCCTGTAATCCCAGCACTTTGGGAGGCTGAGGCGGGCGGATCACAAGTTCAGGAGATCGAGACCACCCTGGCTAACACGGTGAAACTCTGTCTCTACTAAAAAATACAAAAAAATTAGCCGGGCGTGGTGGTGCGTGCCTGTAGTCCCAGCTGCTCTGGAGGCTGAGGCAGGAGAATGGTGTGAACCCGGGGGCAGAACTTGCAGTGAGCCGAGATTATGCCACTGCACTCCAGTCTGGGTGACAGAGCAAGACTCCGTCTCAAAAAAAAAAAATTGTATCTAAATATTGGCCATTATACAATTTGTTCAAGCTGATATTTTAGAGGAACAGTTCAGAGTAAAATTCCATTAGTAATACAACCACAGACAGCATTATACCTAAGTTAGATGCATATTTTCAATTAAAAAGACATAATTAATATACAGAAAAATCATTTTAGCTATGAGTTGTATATCTGTACCCATTTTACTTTTTCTTGCTGAAGTTAAAACATGTTTTTAATAGAATAAATATTTGGAAATTTACTTTTTTACTGAAAGGAATTTTGACAGTAAGGATATTTTTATTTTAATATATTTCATCTTTAAAATATGAAAAAGTAACACTGTCATAAAAATTGCATGAACATATATTTTGGAAATTGAGATTATATGCTGACTTTGTTCCACACAAGAAGACAGTAATTCAGTGATGTGGTTCCCAGGGTTAACCCAAAGCAATTCACACCACGAAACATGTTACACACCAAAGCACCCAAACTTAGTGACATAAAACAATGTTCTTTTTATTTCCTTATAATTTTTTTGGTCAGTCGAATGTTTTTTTGTGTGTGTCTTGACCAACACATTTTGATCTATACTGGGCTCTTTTATGCATCTATAGACTCATCTGGCAGTTTGACTGGCAGATCTAGTTTAGGGTGATATTCTATAATTGCCATACTCATATCTGACATATGTCACCACTGGCTGTCAGCTGGGTACATCACTTCCTCTCCATAACGGCACTTCATCTTCCAGAATGCTAGTTTATACTCATTTATATGGATATAGGGTTCCAAGTCCAACAAGAGAGTAAACCCTAGTATGCAAATACTTTTTGCAAGTGTCTGTCTGCATTATATTTGATAAAGTTCCATTGGCTAAGCAAGTCACATTGGAGAGCATAACAAGCAGGTAGTGAAAGATTTTAGTTTTTAAAGATGTTTTATACCTAACAATTCATTCTTTATTATTTGCCGTTAAGATACATGGACACTAAGGAAAAACATGGACAATCTTCTATTTTTTTCTTAATAGTCACATAAAAAAGAAAAACAAATAATATACTGAAAATTCAAATTTTGATTACTTTTTCAGAGTTAAATGGTTAGCAATCAAACAATTGATTAGAAGCTTGTATCAGGTAAAAATAGGATATTTAGTGTAAATATGATTTTCTTTACGGTCCTTGATACATCTTTTCACCATTTTCAACTGAAATATATATGTAAACATAGGGGGTAGGGACCACAATCAACTGCAGAGAATCTTCATGTAATCATAAGATCGACTGAGTTAAATAAAAAAAATCAAATTCTGTGAGCAACACATAATATATGTTCAGGATTAGAATAAAACTATCTGCATGAAAAATGTTTAGAAGAACCTCTATTCATCCACAAATATCTTCTCCTTGTCCACAAACCAGGGTTTGTGCAAGCCTGGAAATTAAATGGCATACCCTTTCCTGAGTGCTACTATTCCTGAGTGCTACTAGGCCAGGGATTTGGCCTAGGTACTGTTGCTCGCAGCACAGAAAGCCAATCACTGAGACAAAGAGTAGTGCCAAGGAAGAAGGCTTTAATTTGGTGCTGAAGTCATGGAGACAGGGAGATAAAATCTCAAATCTGTTGCCTCAGTTGACTAAACTTAGGGGTTTATACAGCAGGGGGAAAATATAAGTATGTGTGAGAAAACAGGAATTAGAGAAGGATAAGGGAGAGGAGTTGATTAACAGGCACAGGTGATCAGTTAGGCAATCATAAGGGGTGAGGGGTCGAGCATCTCATTGACCAGATGTGGCGATCTGGTGAGTTTCAGTTCCTCGATACTGTCTGGGAAGCCTGATAGTTGGTTTCTTGGAAAAGGAACTTGGATAAGACAAATGTAAGTCTCTCAAGTTTTAAGACTCTGAAGGTCAATTTTTATGTTTATTCAAAAGAAACCATAAACATGAGTTCTATGCGACAATGGGGCTGGCTTCACTCTCTTTGAGGTCATAAAGTACCCTTTTATTTGCCTTCTCCTCAACTTTACCTCTTGCTTTGACAATTACTTAGGAAATGCAAACCTCAGGGAAAATAAGGAAAAAAGGAAGTAAGATGAGTGAGAATGAAAAAGCATTCCACACCGCCAGAGAAGAAAAAACTCAGACTGCAATAGATTTATTTATATAAATAAATTTGCATTTATCTAGATGATTATTTTTGTCCAGATTTCTTATTGGTACAGAACATCTTCTAGAGATGTCCTTTATAATACTTTGACTTAAACAATTAAATAGTCATAACAGCTATTGGGCTAAAAAATGTTGCTTGGCCATCACCCAAATAAAAATAGGGGCGATGAATTCTTTCTTAGAGTAAACACCAGGGCTGGGCAGTTACCAACTCATGTGAGATTGAATCAACTGTCAACAACTTGGCTTATGATGAAGAAATCACCACAAACTAATCCATCAAGTACACTATACACATGTCTTCCAGATGAATCTCTCTAACATGCAACTATGACAGCTTGATGGCCTTTAGTGGTATTTAATTGCCAAGCTCCTAAAACTGATTTCCAATATTCTCCATGATCTGGCTACATCTATCCTCTCTAGCCTGATATTTTACTATGCCATCCATCAAGCTTCACTTTCCAAGAATACTAAACTATTGATGATTCTTGCTTCTTTGTGTTTCTTGCCTCTGTTCTTTTGTTTATATTTCTCTCCATCTTGAAATTACCTGGTGCCTTCCTACATTCTCTCTCTCTCTCTCTTCACTTCCTTAAATTCAAATTTAATTTTATTGGATTCAATTCATTTCACACAACTCAGTACGTTACTTCTTTACCAGGGGACTGTCCTTGAACTCTGTGGTCTGGGTTAGGAATGTCTTCTCTTGACTGTCATAATAACTTTTATCTGTCACTGTTCTAGATTGTTCTTATCACAGTGTTTTATAATTGTCTGTTATGCAGTATTTCCAATATATCCCTCCCTATCTCTGCCTCCACTGGGATGGAAACTTTCTAATGTTAAGACTCTCAATGTATCTTTATGTCTCCAGAAATAACACTATGATGAATGCAAAGGAAACAATGCATAAACCTTAAGTAAATGAGTAGAGAAAAGCTGTGACTAAGAGTAAAAGAAGATGGACAAGCTGAAGAGTGTGTAAATAGCCAAAGTCTGTGGAAAGCAATTTGAAAATATGTATTATGAATATTTAAATATTTATACTTTTTGAGTCAGTAATTCTACTTCCAAGATTCTAAGTAGTCTAAGAAATATGAATAGATGCTATAAAAATATGCATATAAAACCTATAACAGAACTATTTTAAAATGCAAACCACTTTAGATAACCCAAATGTCCACGAATAGGAAAAATCTAACTCAATCCTGGTATATACATGTGATGAAGCATGGAAATAACATTTTTAAAAGAATATTTGAGGATATGAGAAAATGCTCTTAACACAATAGCAATTCCATTTATGCATTTTTGATTCCTTTATTATATTTCCCTAAGTGTTGCCTATATAATGTTGATTTATTGTCTTTATTACTCTGAATATTAATTTAATCAGCATAAGTTTGAACATTGTTCTCTTTTCATTGATTTTTTTCTATTATACAGTGATTCATGTCAATCTTTAAAATCAGGCATTTCTTTAACTCCGGAAAGCTTATGTCTATTTTATCTTTGATTACGGCTTTTCTTACATTTGTTCTAATATTATTTTTAGAAAATATGAACTTACATTGGATTTTTCTCTTACGTAAATATCTATTATCTTATTTGGATATTTTCTGCTTATTGGCTATTTTTCTCTGACTTCTGGATTCAATTAACACATTAAAATTGAAATCAAGATTCAGATTTTGTTACAGAGTCACTTCTGCATATTGTTATTTCTGGTAAAAACCACGTGTACAATGGCATTTTAGTTTCCTTTTATATTTTTTACTCATTCAGCTTTCTTATCCCCTTCCACATTTATGGATACCTTTCCATTTCAGTCATTATAATATAATTTTGTTCATGTGTTTAATAGAGCCCATAATTTATTGAATTTTACAGAAAAAAAGTACTTTCCAAAATTTGTCTTGTGTTTTATAAATGGAGTTTTCCAATAAATCTGGAATAGACTTTTTCTATTGCTTACTGTAATGAAGTTTTTATCAAGTTTTATTTTCTCCCGGTCTTGGAGAAAAATAGATAATATGCTGCACATATACAAATAAAATGTTGTTGCATCTTTCTTGCTGACATCTCACTGTCTACCTCGTTGAGCAAAATCTTGACAAAATTTTCCTCCTCTTAGATTTTAAATTATAGGTTTAGTTGACTTTCAAACCATAAGTACAATGTTTAATATTAGTAGCTATTGTTTAGCTAGTGTTAACACTATTGGATTGAGAAAAAATGTTCTTCTTTTACAGATTGCTGTGCCTTCTATGCAGATAATTTAATCTTAGATTATTATAAGCTGTTTATAATGCTTCTTACTCAGCAACATTAACTCTCAGAGTATCCTGATCCTATATCCTATAAACCCATTTATACTACATACTTCACATCATGGAATATACTGTACCATAACTAGTATATTTCTACTCCAAATATATGTATTAGTAACATAAAATTAAAAGTGCAATGGCAATGGCCACTTTATATACCATGTGTTGTGAATTGTAGGGCTGGATTCTAAATCTCTGTCCTTCTACAGATGCACATTTGCTTACCCCCTAAAACTATGTTATGCATGCCCCCTTTTTTTCCCACAATAATTTATTTATTGACAGCCTCCTCTCGCCTCCCTTGCAGTCTCTAAGTCACTTTTTCCGCTTGTAGATTTTGCGTGCAAGCCCCAGAAAGATGGCTGGGGGCAGGAGCGCTGCATACTGTTCGATGAGACCCATGATGTGACTGTAAGTGTCTTCCTCATATTGCAAGAAAACGGCTGGTAGATCCAGCTCCTCATATAGTGCCTTCACCCAGGCCACCTTCTCGGCTTCCTTCTGCCTGAATTTTCCTTCAGGATCTGGTACTGTTACGGAGTGGCCTGTTGCAGACACTGAACCACCAGCCAGCTGCATTTGTTGTCCTGGATGTCAGTGCCAACTTTGCCGGTCACACTGGGGTCCCCAAAGAGGTCAAGGTAATCATCCTGAACCTGAAGGAACTCTCCCATCCCCAGCAGGATCTTCTTGGCATTGGCGTGCTCCTTCTTGCCATCAATTCCTGCCATGTACATGGCTGCAGCTACAGGAAGGTAGAAGGAGTAGAAAGCTGTCTTGTACTTGACAATAGATTTGTGCCTCTTTTCAGTGAATCTGCCAAGATCCACATTGCCCTGGGGGGCTGTGATGAGGTCCAGGGTCTGCCTAATCTCAGTCTGATAGGAACTCTGCAGGAAGAGCACAGTCAGGTTCAGGTAATAGGGCTGCTCCCGGCAATAGATCTTCAGCAGGTGGTAGATGCAATAGATCTTCAGCAGGTGGTAGATACATGCTTCCAGAAGGATAACATCATTGATGGCATCTAAATCCATGCCTGGCTTCTGATACCAGCAGATCTGTCCCCGGCAGGTGAAGGATGAATCCATGATGTCATCTGCCACCAGGAAGAAAGCTTGCAGCAGTTCCACACACAGTCAGGGCCCATTGGAGACTATGAGCAACCTGTTTCCTTGGCTCCACCAGCTTCTGGAACGCTACTAGCACCATCAAACCTCAGTGATACTTGCCTTCAATGGCATCAAACCTCCTTGAGCTGGGCAATAGCATCTCCTGTCTCTGGGTACCCCATCTCATCCTTAGTCAGCACCCTAACAATCTGGGAGAAGTGCTGTACAAATTCCTACTTTTCTTGGGCATAAACATCTGATTTCTCGTCTCATTCATTCTGAGGGAGGAGCAAAGGGCTCTGTTCCTGGATGTGGGTCTGTATGACGCTTTAATAGACTTCCAGGATGTTTCATAGTACATACCATGTACCATGAAGTTGTTAATGGGACATGAGAAGACCTGTGATGTGGCAGGGCTGGTGGTGGGAGATGAGGGTCAGCATTTATAAAGAATCGCTATGAACCCTATGCATTGTCATGGTGGTTGAAAAATACAGGTACATAATTAATTTTTTATGGGAACACTTTCCCAATACTGAATCATGTGATTATAACTTTCCTATGCTTATACCTTGTAGTTAAAAATTTCTGTATTTACATAATTATTTTCTTAAACCTATTATGGAGACTTAACCAGGCAGCCTAATTTTTCAAATATTCAAAATGGAAGTCAGAATATTCCTTTAAATAATTATCATACCTAAATGTATTTTTACAATATTAGAAACTTTTATCAATTAAAATGTAATATGTATTAAAGCAATGAAAGAAAAATTGTCCCTTGTAGTCACCTCTAAAGCTTTCTACATATAATTAACTGTGTAACTCAGTGTCAAAAAGCAAAGTATATCAGTCAGAATCTTGAGTAATTTATGACTGAAATTCTGAACAATGCCTAGATAGAGCAGAAAATAGTGACTATAAACTCAGTCCTTGCTCTGAATGCCCTTGCTTTAAAGATTTAAGTCCCTAAAATGATACAAATTTCATTTTGGATATTTAATTTCTTTTTTCTTAAGTAATAAAATATACATAAGTAATGTGGCAGAGGTGATGATGAATGACTTAAAAGAGATAATCCTCTGGAGAATAATGATAGTTTATAATATTAATGCTATAAGCAGTGAAGACCGAAAAAAGGTGAGAGGCATAGCTTATGTCTTGTGACTTCCTGTGATATTTATTGATATAAATGCTATAGCTGTTCTTGGAGTTTGAAAATCATTTCGATGATTGGTTGCCAATCATAGATTAAGAACTATATTTCATATTGATGGTTACTCAGTTGAGCTGTATACACAGCTTTTAAATTTAGATTCCTTTGCTACAACCAGGAACAGAATATCTAGGCTTAAAGTATAGATATATCTAGTTTTATCCCAAATGACAAGGTACTTTTCTCCCTTTAGTGGCTGTAACCTCAGTGCCTAGAACAATCTGCAGCAATTATGAAAAGTAGTTGTTGAATAAATCAGCAAAATTTAGGAACAACGTTTTTATGGATCACATCTTTCATTTATTAGAATGCCCAAACATGCAGTAACCACCTCAATTGTTATATGATTGTTGCACATCATGCTATTTTCTTTGTAAATCCTATTTTTAAATGGTACTTCTTGAAGTTCTTTATTGACTTATTACTTCTCTTTTTCAGAAGTTAGGTATCCTCCCATATTTTTCTACTTTATAGGGACAGAGCATTAATTACTCACCAACTAATTGATAATTCAATCACTTTGAAAATTTCACTTCATAAGCATTAGCAAGAGTCATGGCTGCGGATTATAGTTATAAAATCTGTAGCCAAAAGTTATGCTAAAGAGTGTTGTATGTTTAAGAAATAACATGAAGGTGCTCTTTGCCCAGGGCAGATAGCAACACCCAAGCATCTGCCATTTACCAGCCACCACTGCTGGAATAGTTCCTCAGGGTAGATGTATGCACAAACAACTGTAGCAGATAAAGGAAGATTGAATAATATATAAGTTGTAAAGTTTTGTTTTCAAAGCCCACTCTAGATTCCTAATGAACTAGGCTGCAGCATGTGCATACTATTAGGTTGGTGCAAAAGTAATTGCAGTTTTGCCATAATACTATAGATATAGCCTCGAACTGACATTGACTAGCTTGCTTTTCTCCCATTCTCCCTTCATAAGTTTTTTAAGTCTTGCTAAGGCTGAAGAAAGGCCAGTCTATTGAAAGGCAACAGGTGTGAGGTGGGAGAGGCAGGCAAGACGGCCGACTGGAAGCAGCTGTGATCAGAAGACCCCTTCGAAAAGAACTATAATAGCATGTGAATCCTTCACCAGCAACCGAGGTATCCAGATTCTCTCATCAGAACTGACTAGGCGGCTGCCATGACCCAAGGATAGGACATAAGAGCAGTGTGGTCCTGTGGCCCACCTGAGTGCCACTGGGGGCAGAGGACCCCCTACCCCTACCCCACCCCCATCCAAGGGAGGCAGTGAGTGAGCACTACCTAACCGGGTAAACCATGCCTTTTCCACAGAATTGTGCAACCCACGGATCAGAAGATCACATTCGTGAACCCACACCACTGGATCCTAGGCTCCCAAGCCCAGAGCCGTGCAGATTTTCGACAGCCTCTCAGGTAGAATCTGTTTAAGTCGGCTGAGTTCCCTAGGGGAGGGGCGACCAGTACCATAGCTGCAGCTGGCTGCTGTCTAAGCAGTTTGAGCCCCTTGTGGGGAAGGGCAACAGCCAACACTGGGACTAATAGCTGCCTAACACACTAAGCTCCCTGGGTGAGGGAATGGCAGCAGCCATCTCTATAGCTCCAGGCCATGCTTTTCCCCTGCTGGAGTTAGGGAATCTCAACAGTTTGGTCCCAAGAGGTGTCCTCCACAGCCCAACACACCAGCTATGGCAGACTCTGGCCAGAGTGCCTCTTTAGCCCTGACCCTGACCCTGACCCTGACCAATCCCTCCTCACTGGGCAGGGCCTCCCTGCAGGAACTCCAACAACTCCAGCCAGGGCCTCAGGGACAAAACTCTGATCTCCATGGGCCTGAGCCCCTAGTGGGAGGCGTGGCCGCAGTCTCTGCAGACAAGCAGATTTACTCTTTCCTCCTGCCAGTTCTGAGGAATCCGGGCAGCCCAGATAAGTGGGTTTCCCCCCAAAGACAGCACAACCCCTCCACTGAGGGACAGTCAAAGTGCTTCATTAAATGTGTCCTGTTCCCTGTGCCACCCAACTGGGTGAGACCCTCCAACAGGGGTTGTGCCCTTCGAAGTCAGAGATCCCAGAGGAAGGAGAAGGCACCCATCTTTGTTGTTCTCCAGCCTCCTTGCTCCTCCCAGGCAAGGGAGCAAACCAGATGAAGTGGACCTGAAGTAAACCCCCAGCAATCCACAGCAGCCCTACAGAAGAGGGACCTAACCACTGAAAGAAAAACAAACAAACAGAAAGCAACAACAACAGCATTAACAACAACAAAAAAGTTCCTACAAAAACCCCATTCAAGGGTCTGCAGCCTCAAAGATCAAAACTAAGCGAACTCATGAAGAAGAAAAAGAATCAATGAAAAAATGCTGAAAAGCCAAAAAGTCTCTTCTCCTCCAAATGACTGCAATGCCTCTCCAGCAAGGGCACAGAACTGGATGGAGAATGAGATGGACAAATCGAGAGAAGTAGGCATTAGAAGATGGGTAATAACAAACTCTGCTGAGCTAAAGGAGCATGTTCTAACACAATACAAAGAAGCTAAGAACCTTGATAAGAAGTTAGAG